>NC_000009.12:132614002-132927820 GCF_000001405.40 Homo sapiens
TGTCTGATGGAGGCAAGCACTGAATGCCAGCCTTCGCTTCCTCACTCTCCTTGTTGAGCCACTGGACTGGCAAGTTTGCCCACAGCTTAAACATAATATCCCAGCAGCACCTGGAGATTGGCGTTTATGAACAGTAATAAAAAGTGTCATTTTAGCAGATCAGCTCCTGGAAGGATCCTGGGGAATCCATCAAAGCTCTATTTACTGAGTAAAGTGAACTCCTTTTCCCAATCGATGAGCAATAATAACCAAGGCAACTCCTCTGTACCCTACTCTTAAATCTGTGCTTACTCCCCTTTTTAATAACTAGGGACTTTTTCAAAGAAAATCTTTAACGCTTCAAATGGTCTGTACTGTTTGGAGTACACAGAGCCCCACTAGATACAGAGCCCCACAGCCAAGCCCTCAGAGGGAAAGGCTCTACTGCTACGCGACCCAGGAGATTCAAGCCTCTTCTCCTCAACCTTTCTTTCCCCAACCCCCAACACTCACTCTGGTCTCAAAAAAGACAAGACCGAAACCAAGTCAAGCCGAAACCATGCCAAGAGCCTGCACTTTTAAAATCTCAGTTACCCAAATCCCGCTCTAGGTCTCTTCATTTCCTACCTCTCTTCTGTGTATGCAGATGAGTCCCTGGGCTTCCACCCTGGTCACCTCTCTTCCTCTCCTCCTCTCCACCAATCCTATGAGCTGAGCACTGAGAGCATCTGTCCCAGGAGATGTAGGTGCCCAGCTAACAGCTTTACAGGGATAATGAGTTTGCCAAGATGTGGCAGGAAGTGTTTTCTCCCCAGACAACTGGCCAGGCAGCATTTCACACTGCATATTTTTACTAAACCTCCTTGTCCTCAAGGCTCCTGTCTCACCGGGGACAGCGACAGTTGGTTGTTCTCACATACTTGCATGGACTCCCATGTTTGGATAATTCAGAGAAGCAGGAATTTCAAAGACGCTGCAGTAGCTGTCTGCAGAACCTTTCAAGGAGCAGGAAGTGCTCATGTTGGCAGCGTCGAGAATGTGCAGAAGGAACAGGGGCTGTGGGACCCACACAAGCGGAAGGTGGAGAAGTAATGAAAGCAGACATTTATTTGGGGTGACGGATGAAGCTACAGGCCACCAGAGTTCAGCACTTTGCAGTCACTGATTCCTATTTCTTGCCAACTACTTAAGGTGCCTGAATTAGGGCAAATCTATTTTCAAGTATCTCACATGGACACATCGTCCTTTTTCATTCCTGGACATTTGGATCAGAAACTAGTGGTATCTTATGATGACTTGTAAGATGAAGGAGACAGAAATAAACAAACCTCCAGCCTGGAAGGTGAAGATCATCTCTGCTCCTCCCAACCCCACCTCCACTCCCACAAGAGCACCCTTCAGTACAGAATAAAGGCACACGCATCTTCAAGACCACCCAACACCTACAGCGACAACTACGGAAAGGATGGAGGAAAAGGAGGTTCCCTGCTGTTCTCTTCAAGACAAAGCATTTGGTAAAGTGCCCAGCCTAGCTCTGACCCCACTGAGGGGAGAAGAATGACTTGTCATCACTGGTGTGGGTTTTCTAGACTTTGAGAAGCATCCCTTCCAAACAGGCATAAATCCTACATGGAGTTCCTGGTCTGCAGGAAGACCTGAAGATGGAGAGGATTAAGCCACAGAAGCAATGGTCATTTGCAGGCAGAGGACTCTAGCTTCCAAGATTTTTGTTCGGGAATCTGGAATTCAAACTTATGTTACCACTCGTTTTACAACTTGAATCCCTAGCTAAATGATGCAAGAAAACAGAGGAAAAAAGGGGTAACTGCTTCTGGAAACTGACAGTTAAATGCTGGTTATTAACAATGACTGGGTCCAAAAATGCAAAAGGAAAACAAATACATACTTGGCCCAGTTTCTAACTAGTTTTCTGCCATCAAGGCAAAAGCCAGCTGCTTTGTTAATTATTCAGGAGGTGGGTTCTGAAATGGCATAAAAGGGAAGCAAGTCAATAGTGGGGAATTTGCATATGCAGATTGAAATGCAAAAGAGTGTCTCCACCTATGGGGTGCAGTGGCTGTTCCTATGCAGTAAATTCAATACATTTAGGGTGGCAAATACGTGTATACTCTCTCAAGCCTCCAAAACTCAGTCCTAAGAAACAGGAGAGAAGGAATGGTGGCGAGACTTATGTCTGAAATGGGGTGACTGAGCTCTGTAAGAGGCGGTGTTGTCCCAGCCCATTATCAATCTGGTGTGGAAATTGATTAGCAAATAAGAGACATGATACGTTTATTTCCTTCATGGTACATAAACATTGGGAAGTGACCCTGTTCCAATATTCCTTAAACAAAAGACAAGTGACCCTGCTTGTTTCATGGTATTAACAAGTTCAATGGTAATAACAGTGAAAGAAAACCCAAAACCACATCCTTTAAGAATTACTGTAACTTCCACTCAGATGACCGAGACACCTTGAAATAGTTGTAGTCTTGCCAAAATATCTGAGGCATCACTGACACCAAAATCGAAGGTGACAGTGTGGGTTTGATTTATTTCTTTCCACTGCAACTTTGATACCAGCCCTGGAATTCAGCAGCACAACACCTTGTTATGTACTGCACAGCCAGCTGAATTTGCCTAACTTTCATCAAAGGTCCAAACTGTAAAGTTACACTGTGACAAAGACCCTATTCCTCTTGAGAGACACAGAGCAATACTCCTCTAGAGGTAGCAAGGTAGGAAAACCCTTGGGAATTGTTGAATTCCCTTTAGGGAAATGCCAAGACAGGATATTATTAGAGAAAAGTCTAGAAGGATATACAATGGCAATTACGGGGACTTCATCTTTTACCTTGTGTGGTTCTGATTTTTAACGACAACCAAGAATTGCAATTATAATGTGCTAAAGGTATGTAACAGGTCCTTGACAATATTTGCTGACTAACCCATTTTTTCATCTATATTTTCTGGTGACCACAATTGCTCCTCAGCCAGGCTCCCAGCTTTCACACTTGCCCCCGCTAGAGTCTATTCTCACACAGCAGCCAGGTGATCTCTTTCAAACCTAAGTCAGATCCCACACTTCTGCTCCCCCTTCATTCCGACCAAGACCCAAAGTCCTACGTGATTCTGCCTTGGCCAGCACCCCCTTTCCACCCACACTGCCTTCCTCGAGCTCGTCTGCACCAGCTCCCACTGCCCAGAATGCCCTTCCTTTAGAGAGCCACGGGGCTCATCCCACTTCAGGTTTTTGCTCAAGTATCACCTACACAATGAGGCTCACTCTGACCCCATTAAAAATGCACTCTGCTATGTCACCCCTTCACCTCCCCCATCTCCTTCTACTTATTCCATAGCTCTTGTCACCTTTAAATGGACTAATCTGTTATGTTTATTATGTTCACTGTCTGCTGCCCCTGCACCCCACTAACATGTTGGCTTCACAAAGCAAGGATTTTTGTTTTGATCTCGCATGCATTCCAAGCACTCAGAATAGTGCCCGATTTGATAAATATTTGTCAAATGAATGGTTTTTAAAGCATTTCTATTTATAAAAAGAAAGGATGCTACAGTGTTCCGATATTGGTAAGCCAGCCTGGCACTCTTCTCAAAATAGCAGGCAACTAACAAAAAAACCCTGTGCATACTCCAGCATGGAGTAAGTCTCATTAGACATGGTCAGTCTCTGGCCAAGACATCCCATGATAAAAAGTACCAGTGATTACAAACCCCCTTCAGCCATACACTGCTTATTACTCAACGTGAACTGTGAAGTCTACATCTAATGTATGGTGATCCCAGGAGCCAACTTATCCAACAAAGGGTCTGAATATTAAGTCAACACCTCTCTCTTTCATAAATTTCCTAGGAATTGGGTTCATGGTCTATGGCTCTTCCTCAGTACTGTTCTTTCTCGTTTTTCTTTGTGCCTTCAAATAGGAACTGCTTAGGTCTAATATTTCCAGCTCTGGCCTTCATCTCTAATTTC
This sequence comes from Homo sapiens, assembly GCF_000001405.40. Classification (NCBI taxonomy): domain Eukaryota; kingdom Metazoa; phylum Chordata; class Mammalia; order Primates; family Hominidae; genus Homo; species Homo sapiens. The sequence continues at coordinate 132,617,973 of NC_000009.12, forward strand.
CATCTCTACAACTATTTCTACTAACGTGTCACATGTCTTCTATCTGGTTTTCAAAGAAAGAGGAAAACAGATCCTTAAGATCCAAGTTGTTGGGTCAAAACTCTAGTCCCGATATAAGCCAAGATAAAGCCTCATTTGTGCAAAACATGGGGAAGGATGAAATTAACATTTAATATCACTTTAAAGCCTTCCGTGCCTGCTTCCAAACCCTGCAGAATTATGGAGATTGAAGGCTTTGGCTGGTGAGCAGGGACCTCCATGTTGGCCTCTCAACCGGTTTGGGGGTATGTGGGTGAAGGTGGGGGAGAGCACTCTGCTGGGCTATCCACTGCGCAAGCACCTAGGAAATCGACTGACCTTTCTTTGCCCAGGAGACCCTCCTCTCACTGGAGTGCACGTAATCTTCAAATACCGTCTGCAAGACTGTGGCTCGCTCTCGGATTTCCTGGGGGCCAACAGCATGGGATTTCTGAGAGGGCGACGGAAGGATTAAAGGAGAGATAGAGTCAAGGTCAGGAATAATGAAGCAGTTTATAATAGATTTAATAACAGTAAAATCACACAGTAACCACCTAGGGCCAACAAGGGTAATCCTTTCAATATTACTAGGAAAAAAGGGAGCTATAGAGATGTCAAAGTCAAGTAAGGATGAGGGTGGCTTTATGAGAGAGAACATCAGGTCTGTTTACTTATTTACTTACTTTTCTTCCTGACCTCTTACCATGCATGTTCAAAATCAAAGACCATTGGAGACACTTTGGAATTTTCCAAGTCCAATTCAGACATTTAAAACATCACTGAACATGAGCTGTTTTCAAATGGGTCTTGGATCTCCTAGGAATCTTCACCTTTCCCTCACGCGCATCAGTGGAACACCGACAATTTCTCTTCATGAGCACTCCACAGTGACCTGCCTAACATTCTGCTTTTAAAAGTTACCCCATCCTTGAATTTCAGAGCAGGCTTCCTCAGTGCCTAGAGCGGTTCAGACTTCTAGTGTTTCAAATTTATTCCTCCAGCCCATGGCCACTGTGGCCAGGAACCTATTAAGGAGTGAGTGGGCTGTTCCAGGACAACACACTCAAAGACTGCCTGGATCTTTGCAGCAAATCGTCCCTGTGTAAGAAGTAGCATCTGTGTGCATGCAAAGAGCCTACAGATGGAAAATGTTAATAAAATAGACAATTATTTTCTTTTCATCCTTTAACAGTACCAGAGAAAAAAATTTCCTTTTTAAATATCCCCGCTAAAAACTAGTGGCTTTTGTCTCCAATATCGTAAAACAAACATGAGTGCTTTCTACTGAATGTGAAATCAAGAGAACACAGATTCTTCCACCCAATGAGGCCAACCTGCCAAGTGACACTGATCACTTGAGTGGTGCTAGTGCCTCTACTTCCACCTGCCACCCTGGTGTGAACCCCCGGGGAAAATCCAGAGTGAGACCGGGTCGTGCTGCTTAACCTTGTAGAGGACGGTGTATGAGCGCCTGCATCTGGCCTCACTAAGACTCCCTGAGCCTCTCTTTCACCTTTAAGGCTGACAGAGGAAGAACAAAGGGGAGGAAAGAAAAAGCCTCATTCTCTGGATCGACGTTCATCTCTATATTAAGAGACTTAACAACGTGAAAATGTTTTTAGTTTAGTCAAATCATTCCTGCTACCTGTTTGGTTGATGACAGTCTCGCTGATTTCACAGTTCAATACAAGGTCCCCCTAAGGGTTCTATCCGCTAAAATGTCAGGAGAAGAGTCACTCAGGAGCCGTGTTACCAAAGTGGACATTTGCTATTGTCATTAACAAGGATTTTTTTTTTTTTACCCTCTTAACTGATGTGAAATGCAAACTTTTTTTTGCTGCCCTCCTTTCGTTAAGCCACCTCAGCAGCGCAACTGTCACCTTCCCTGTGTTTTTTTTTTTTTTTAATATGAATGTGAAATTAGCGAGGATGCCCTTTCCCCTGGCGGACAGAATCCTCTGTTATTAAAAAGTAAAGCACTTTAATAATGAAAACTTTTTCCTCTTTTTCTTGTGTTTTAACTGTTTAAAATTAATGAGAAGGGCAGAATGGTTGTCAAAGCAATATTGAAAGCCGGGCAGCCAGGACCGAATAAGCACAAAAATCCCTCTAGAGTGTTAAATAAACAGAGCTCCAGCCCTCTCCGAATCCCTCTGTTGGTTATTGTATACATTCTGTAACAGCTCTCAGAATAGATCTGAGAGCCAGGGAGGCAGAGAGGTTTCAGAATTCCAATAAAGGCCTCAAATTAAAGACAGCCTGGTGCGAATTCCAGGAGAAAATTAAAGAGACCTCAAGCTTAAGTGACAGGTGACTTGCTTCTGTGTCACAACTGTCAGGGGATTTAGTGATAATATGGCAATATATTACAAAGGGCTTTTCTTATTCCCCCCTTTAGGTTTCAAAATGAGGCATCTTTTCTTCCCAACCAAAAAAAAAAAAAATTACATATATATAATGTGAGTGTGTATACAAGCGAAATACGTAGGGAAAAAAAAAACAGGATAGAACTAGGTTCACAGGTTTGAAATGATAAGGTCAGTTTTAGTAAAATATAAGAAAAAGTTAATGGCAGAAAAAAATATATACAATACTTAGGAAAAAAAAAATCTTACTCCTCCCTAACCCCTGCTTCCAGAAATACCTTATTTTAAAATTGCCCCTCTTGAGAATGAATGAGGTATTTTTCAGTTGTCTTCTGGGGAGGACAGTCTAAATTTAAACTGAAGACAGAGGGGGGCAGAGTTATGCAGCACCATCTCAGCCCCCGACAGGTAAAATGCTCCTATAATGAGAGCGGGTCAAACCCCTGAGGGCACATGGATACCTGGCAGGGCTGGCTCTCCCACCCTCCAAGACACAGAGTCAGTACTGGTTAATGAAGCTAACTTCAACTAGTGGACCATGGGTAGTTTAGAAAAACACATTTCCAACCATCCATCCGCACGCAATGCACCTTTGTCTCTAACATCCTACTGATCTTGGAAAACACAGGCCATCAGAAAGGATGAGCAGGGGGCTCTGAACTTATTTTAAGATCTCGCAATGCCAGCAACGGCTCCTTTGTTGGGATAAGTTTACAGGTATATTTCACAGGACAAAAACGCTTGTAGGAAAAACATGGTTGGGTGTGTGTATACTTTGATGATGAAGATTTCACACCTATCAAGAAGCAACAGATGAGTCTAAGATAAATAGGCTGGACTATTTTTATTATAAAAAGTAATAGCAAAGGTGGGAGGTTTTTGTGAAAGCCTGCACCTTGATATTGCCAACTTCCAAGGTATTTTTAAGCAAAATGGAAGGGTTTTGTTTTAATCACTTTATTGCCAAGCTGAGTTTTACCCCCATGGTCCCTAGAACCTTCTGAGTGCTTCCCAGTAAAGTTGAAAGATCAAATTTATTCTCTTTGTAGGTAGGTGAACATTCACACACCCAGACATAGCTATATATGTTTTATATACCTAAATATGAAATATACATTTTACAGATGCTTCACTCGCTTTCTTTCTGTTCACAGAAGCCCAAAAATGTATGTGCCAAAGGGACATTTACCATGGGCTTCAATCACGCTGGGTGAAGGAGAGGGGCACTGTAATGAGGTGTCTGGCTATCTGAACGAAAGGCCTAGCTACTGAACCCACATTTACATGCCTGGCATTAGTTCACATGCTAGAGAACTGCTCAAATTGAGGACAGCAATTAAGACACACGTTATTTCTTACGCATAACAGATTTAAAAGTTGTATCCAGCATCTACTTTATTCTTCTTACTACTGACATGAATCACACATAAAATACTCTCTCGGGTTGTGTATATCTATGTGATAATTAGTAACACAGTCAATTTAGTTTAGTTTTTCTTTTTCCTCTGAATTCAAGTTAAACTTGGCTCAGCAAGCCAGGTCTTCACCAACATGACACCTACAACGTAGGATGGTTAATTTAGCTTTCTAAGTTAACCAGTTATATCATGAAAGCCCAAACTTACTCAGCTTTTCTTAAAAAAAAAAAAAAAAAAAATCACCAAACCTTAAAAATATCCAAGCATTCACTACTGTCTATCAAGGTAGGAGCTGGGGCTGAGATCATGAGACAGAGTTTCTAGACCTAAGAATCTATGAGGTCTGGAACTCTACAGGGCACTTTATACCTCGTTTTATTTAAATCTCACAGCAATTGTATGTTTTACAGATGGGAAAACTGAGACTGGGGAGAAGATAATCTGCCTGAGATTGCAGAGCTAACAGCTGGGAAGCAAGGATTCAAACTCAAACTCATATCTATCTGGGACCTGGCTCTTACTCATGAAGTTAGAGCCACTCCTCAAGTCTCAGGAAGTCCTTGAGGCTGGCCTCAAGCCAGGGAAAGTCTTAAGGAGAAGAATTTATGCTGCAAGGCCACAGAAGGGCAGATGCTACCAAAAAAAAACGACTGTAGCTTGTTGCTGACAGAGTGGAGGGAGATGCAGCTGCTCCGCTCCTTCTCTGGGGACGTGTCCTTCAGGAGAGGCTTCCTGCCCTTCTACAGCTTCCCTGCGTTGCGCAGACACACAGTGATCAACTCCCTGGAGAGAAATGATCTGCACTCGGGGATAAAGACTGACACCAATGCCAGGCCCAGAAAGAGTATACCTGAGACGACGTTTGATCAAACTTACTATCTCATTGTGTAATTGTACTACTTGCCTTTATTTCTAGAGAGCTGGCAGATGCTAATGTTCCACTTATTATGATACAGCAAAAAAGGGCACTGGGATTCATGTCCCTGAGTCTGGGCTTTAATTCCACATCTGCTACTAACTTGTATGACTACAAATAATCCTGATAGTTACAGTAATAATAAAAAATGCCCTTTGGGCCGCGTGTGGTGGCTCATGCTTGTAATCCCAGCACTTTGGGAGGCCAAGATGGGCAGATCACCTGAGGTCAGGAGTTTGAGGCCAGCCTGGCCAAGATGGTGAAACCCCGTCTCTACTAAAAATACAAAAGTTAGCCGGGCATGGTGGTGTGTGTCTGTAATCGAGCTACTTGGGAGGCTGAGGCAGGAGAATCGGTGGAACCCAGGAGGCAGAGGTTGCAATAAGCTGAGGTCACGCCAGTGCATTCCAGCCTGGGAGACACAGCAAGACTCCATCTCAAAAAAAAAAAAAGCCCTTTGGTCCTATGTTTTATACTTGGGACTCCAGGACTATTTCCCACACAATCCTCTGACGTCCTTAAAAGAACACTATTTTATCTCAACTTTACGTGCGAAGAAACTGAGGCTTAGAAAGGTCCAGTCCAGGCCGGGTGCAGTGGCTCATGCCTGTAATCCCAGCACTTTGGGAGGCTGAGGCGGGCGGATCACAAAGTCAAGAGATTGAGACCATCCTGGCCAACATAGTGAAACCCCGTCTCTACTAAAAATACGAAAATTAGGTGGGCATGGTGGCATGCGCCTGTATTCCCAGCTACTTGGGAGGCTGAGGCAGAACTGCTTGAACCTGGGAGGCAGAGGTTGTAGTGAGCCAAGATCGTGCCACTGTACTCCAGCCTGGCGATAGAGCGAGACTCCATCTCAAAAAAAAAAAAAAAAAGAAAAAAAAAAGAAAAAAGAAAAAAGAAAGGTCCGATCACAGGCTGGTGACAGATGAGGAACGTGACCCTGAGGCGTGCTCTTAGCCACTCTGCTACACTGCCTCTCCGAAAAGAAACTAAGGCTTAGAGAGGTCCAGTCCCTGCCCAAGGTCACACACTGGTGACAGATGAGGAACATGACCCTAAGGCCATGCTCTTAGCCACTCTGCTACACTGCCTCCTCCAACAGATCCACATCTGCTCCCTGCTGATCCCACAGAGCTGCCCTGGAGCCATAATGAAGTATCTGGGGGAACATTAAAAAAGAAACCAAAAGGCCGGCTACGGTGGCTCACACCTGTAATCCCAGCACTTTGGGAGACCAAGGCGGGTGAATCATGGGGTCAGGAGTTCGAGACCAGCCTGACCAACATGGTGAAACCCTGTCTCTACTAAAAATACGAAAAAATTAGCTGGGCGTGGTGGCATGTGCCTGTAGTCCCAGCTGCTCAAGAGGCTGAGGCAGAAGAATCACTCGAACCTGGGAGGCAGGGGTTGCAGTGAGCCAAGATCGCGCCATTGCACTCCAGCATGGGCGACAGAGCGAGACTCCGTCTCAAAAAAAAAAAAAAAAAAAAAAAAAAAGAAGAAACCAAAAAAGCCCCTTAACTAGAATTTATGATAGTTCCAAAAGAACGGAAGTGTGCCAAGACCAATGAAGATCTGTCTGGTCACAGGTCAACACCCCTAATAACAAACTTAATAAAGGGTGGTCCAGAGGCTTACGAGTCTTATATGAAGTACTGACTTGCTTAAAGTAACCTGATGACCAATGGAGTCTTTAACAGCTTTTATTGTTCACAGGGATCTTTGCTGTGGTTGATCAAATTTCACCTCTAAATATGACTAACATTTCCTTATTTAGAAAAAGACTCAATTATCTTGGTTTAGTTAATACTAATAAAGGCATATTGGTATACAGTTAAATATATGTGCTTTGAAGTTAAGACTTCAAATCCCAGAATGACTAAAGCATATTAGTGTGCCCCTGTGAAAGTTCCTTTACCTCTCTAAGTCTCAGTTTCCTCATCTATAAATTGGGGCCATCACCAACTTCTCGGATTGCTATAAGATTAAATGGGACCGTGCACATAAAGAGTGTAGCACAGTCCTAGGTTGGGAACACACACTTTGCTAATAGAGGCTATGGCTATCTCCTCTCCTGGTATTACATACATTTCCTTAGATGCTCTCTAAAACAAGAGAATTTAAGTCAGGCTCAGTGAAACGGGGTCCCTCCCTGCTCAGGGAGAATAATGATCCAAATACAGGCACATGCTAAAGCATGAAAGAAACTCTTAAGCTTGATCTATCTGGCCCTGATTTTCCAGTTCATCCTCAGGCATACAAAAACAAATGTAAAATATTCAAGTGATTAATATCTCATAGACAAAATTACATACAGCAACACTGCACCCACACACGGGAATACTGAGTAAGGGGGTGGGGTGGGGTGAGGGAATAATGGTCTAGTCGGGTGCAGCCTTAAGAGAAGGAGCAGGAAAGGGTGTCCAGGGCTGCCTGCACCTGCTCAGAATCTCCATATGGAACTGCATGGATAATAAAAATTTTTCTTCTTAATGATCTCAACTTTACTCTTCCTCTGTGGATAGCACACACACATTAAAAAATGGATGAACTAACTGTGTCTGAAAGGAGACACAGAGATACTTATTTCTTCCATGCTGTCTGGGATAGGCAGGTCTAGGCAGCCGTCCTTGCTGAGAATCTGGACAGGGACCACCGGGGCTGAGCGTGTGGCACTGCCTCCAGACTCATTCTGGCCTGGACCTCCTTTCTGGGGAGCCTGCTGCTGTCTGGCAGGCTTCCAGAATGGACCGTAGCCCACTCGCTAGATGAGAGTGGCAAACGCATCCAGAAGCAAAGACGAGGAAAAAAAAAAAACAATCAAGATTTGGCCTCATCTAATGTTCATGGTTCTTAAAATAAATGTATTGCTTGACAGAGGAAGTAACCCATACACAAAGTCTCTACTACCCCAAATCAAGTGAGTCACATCTGTTGGCAGCGAGCACAATAAATAACAAAACTCACCTGGGCTCCCCATCGTTTCCCTTTAAAACAATCATCTCTTGTCAGAACACACAAAATATCTTCCATCTTAATCTCAGAAACGCTGTAAAAGGAAGGGCACAGCAAGGTAACTTTTTGCTCTTTCAAAAACACCCAAGACCTTGATGCACAAAACTGGCCTATTCTTGAGCTAATTAGACATGAAGTAGAAGTGACACCTTCCTAGGAAAGGAAATATTTTCCTAAACCCTTAGGAATTGAGAAGGGGACCTCTATGATATTAAAGGGACAGGATGATATTCCTGACAATTTCTTTCCTCTCTGATGAATTTAAAATAGGCTACATTTAGAATTTCCTTAATAGAGATTATGTCATTATTTCTTAATAAATCTTGAATACCAAATAAGTGTGCCCACTCACTGATCCACTCCCTTGATTTGAGCAGATGATGATGAAATAGAAGCATTTTGGTCTCTTTAGTTTATACTGAAGAGGAAAAAAAAAAAAAAAAGGAAGAAAAGGGTGGCCAAACATCCTCCACTGTGGGGTAAACACCCCTGTGAGGGTAACGAGGGCACAAAGCCCTGTCCCAGCAGCACTGGCCTTTCTTCTTCTACCCTGGAGGAGCTTCACTCCCCCATCTCTTAATTACTGATGGGTGAAGACCAAAGGATCTCTAACGAAGCCGGAGCTGTGTGCCAAGCACTGAGACAAGAGCTTGGGCTTCACTCAGGAACAGAAGCCACAAGGAGCCAGAACACAACAGTCAGACCTGCCTAGCAGTGGAGTCTGGAAAGCCTCCGCTTCATCCAATCAACTGCAAGGCCACAGCATTTGAATGTAGGGAGCAAAGAGAGACTTGCGTGTCAGAGATGAAGGAAGAAACGTGAGCTGCTGAAAGGATACTTCCCAGGGAGAAAGAGAAACAGAAAGAGAAGAAGGAGTTCTGAGGGGGAAACAGATCATAAGAAGACAAATGATTTTGTTGTATGCTCTTTTTTTTTTTTGAAAATGTAACAGCAAATTAAAACATGAATGGCAACCTCTTAGGTGGGAGAAGACAATTCTCCCCCTTTCACCCAAAGGTTACTCTGACAAGGCTATGAATGAAAATGCCACGTCTCTGACAGCGATTTACCTGAAATGTGTCATCTCCCTGCACACCCCCAGCCCTCACCCCTCAGCATCCTCTCTCTGCTGCCAACTCACAGCCCTATGGATGAGTGAAGCCTTTTTACAGCAGCAAAGAGTCAACCAGAGGAGGCAGAGCATGCTCTGAAAGGGCAGGAGTCAGAGGGAGAGTGCCCTGACTTCATGGGAAATCTATTTTTCATAGGAGAGAGCAATGCATGGGTATTGAACTCGCCTCTCATTTGTGCCTGGCACCCCGAGGGAAGGTGAAAACAGAGCCCAGTCCCATCTTTTTCTTGGTCTGATTTGCTTCTATTCATCACTTTTTTCTTGAGAAAAAAAGAGGAAAAACACAAAAATAAAAGAAATGCAAGAATTTGGAGTCAAATCTTGAAGCAGAAAGAAAAGAGTAATGCCGTTTGCAGTCAGGAACAGAAAAAGCTAAATATGCCACAGAACAGTAAGGCAGTGTTCTCAAATGCGTGTGCTGATATTCCAGCCAGAGTGTGGCTCATATGCTGTGTCCACATGGCGACGTCGGGGAACCACACACCCTAAGCAAACAGGAGCTGAGAGGGAACGGGAGTGATTTACAGTTTAAAAGGGCCTTCTTCCTCTTCCTAAGAAACTGCTGCTTCTGAGGAACAAAGCAAATCTACTATGATTATTTATGGGTCCATCAACAGATCTGAATCACCTCACCTTAGTATGAAACGAGATGGATAAATAAATAAATTCAGGGAACTGTCTTATGCCTGATCTAAGAAATACACATTTTGATGAAGCATTTACATTTTAATAAACCAATGATGATTTTCATTAGAAACACATTTAAAGGGGAGGCAGAAAAAAGTTAAGAAGTTGACAAATACAAAGAAGTCAAAAGAATGCAGAAGCAAAGTTCTGAGCATCTAGACAGAGGTGGCAATGGCCCAGGAACCTGTCTCTTGCCCTGTCTGCTCCATTCAACTGCTAGGGCGAGCACCGCAGTGCTCGATCTAGGAAGGCGGGCAGCCATTTGTCGTGCTGGCCCTTGCTGCCGAGAGCCTCGGCCTGCCTTCTCCAATCTGCCCTGTGGTGCCTCAGCCCTCCCAACGCCCCTCTGCCTGGCTCTCATGTTCTCAGGCACGAAACATGCACATGCTTCCTCCTCAAAAAATATTTAGGAGTCGACCTTTTGGATTCTAGAAACTTTCCAGTCTGCTTCTTCCCACTGCGCACTTTGCAACTAGTTAATAGGGGTTTTGTTGTTGTCGTTGTTGCTGTTTTGCATTAAGTCAAAGAAACAGTTCATGTATAGATACAGCCAATGTAGGGCCTTTCCTCAAACAGAAATTGGGAAGAACAATGCATGACTGCAACGTAATAACCCAGATTCTGATGTCTGTTTAAGTTGATTACAGTGCACCCACGAGGCAGCAGCAGTCCAGGCCCAGGCCCCTCACAAGTGAGTTTTCAGAGCCGACGCCAGTGAAGTGGGGCTCATGCAAGGACCCTCCCTCCTCACGCAAATGCTCTTCCACCACCCTGCAGAGTTCCTCCCCAAAAGACCTACTTCCTCCTTTCAGAAGAGGTGGCGTTATCACTGAGTTGTCTCCTTTCTAATGCGGGATTAAAAAGGGAGTCACGTAAATGCGGGCACACTATTTTTTCCAGACAAGATCATCACAGCAGATGATGGTATTTGTTATGTCTTTAAAATATACCTGACTCCCTAATACTTCGTGCCTTTGCTAATCACTGTTTTCCCTTCTCAATTTTAGCTTTATATCTGAGCCCTTCATAGCAATCTACTTGAATGTGTTATTAGAGAAAAATGAAGAGAGCAGAGAGAGGCACCTCTGCTGTTAACTCTGGCATTAGACAATTATCATTGGGCTCTGCAACTGCTGTCACTCATTTTTCTTAGGAAGAGGTCATGTTAAAGTGAACGAGCATGGGGGAACATCCAGAGAGCTGCGGCCAGGAAGGAATGGGAAAATGGAATTTGTAGCTCTAGAATGGAAGGAAGAGGAAAAGAAGTGTGAAGCGACTGACAGGCTGTTATGGTGTGGTGACTACATTTTCTATTGTGGGGTTACAACACAAAATTCTGAAGATGCTTTCTGCATGTACACAAATTCCTATGACAGAGAAAAGCAGCCACCAGCAGCATTATGACGGGCTCCCAGCCTGTGAGAACAGGGTCAGGGAGGAAAAGGAAACTGGCTGCGCCAGCGGGCTTGCATTTTACCTTCCCCAGGGTTCCTGGTACACCCGCCCTGGTGGGTGTCAGCCTCGATGCTGAAAGGGCAGCAAAGAGAGGCCAGCCAGCCTCCAGCTGAGGGAGCTCAGAACTCAGCCGGAGAAGCAGCGCTGGGTGAAAAGTGACTGACTGATCTATATGAGACTTCTTTCACTAATAAGATACAATATGCACATCTTCCTTAACAAATAAAAACCACTCTTTCAACTGACAGATTGTGTTAAGATAAAGAACACACTGAAGAAAGGAAAACCCAAACTATTATTTTGGCCCCCTGACATTACAACCAGGAGTAGTTTCCTGCCTCCCCCAACACTGAAGGACACACAGCATGTTTTCTGAATGAGCCTCAGTCCGTAAGTGTTCACACTAACAACCTTGAAAGAGTTTTGAAAAGTCTTACTAGCATGAGAGGCAGAGTTCTGCGGATGGGAGACGGGGCAGGTGTGGTGGGGACAGCCACACACGGCTCCTGCAACTGAGTGGGCTGCACCCCACAACAGGCCCCCAGGCTGCCTGCTAGGATGTTTTCATTCCAATGAAGAACGTAGTGCTTTTTTCTAGCACTGTACTTTAGGGGAGAAAAGTGTTGCAGTTTTATTTGATGTTTTACATAAAACACAGGGCTGGGCAAGGAAAAAGAAATAAGACTATCCCATTTACAGCGAGCTGGGCTGTGTGCTCATGGCACACCAAGTCTAGAATCCAGGGCTTTACGCAGAGGTATGAGGTGCTGAACTGTGACACACAAGATGGCAGCTGAATGTCCTGGCTGTGAGTGTAGTGTGGATTTCAACTGCCTCAAAATCATTTCCCCTGGGTTCATCTTCCTGGGGGAGGGAAATTGTGTGATGAGTAAAAAGCATTATTTCTTTAAAAGACAAATCAACTTTGAAGATACAAACCATTAATTGCAAGAAATAAAAGTTGTGAATAAGAGTCCTTTCAGAAGCTGCGAAGATGGTGCACACTTATCTTGCAGCAGGAGAAACGAAACGCAGCTCTCTAAAAGAAAACCAAGTACAACACATCGTCCTATGACTTAGTCTGGCAACGCAATGAAAACTGTCATGTGCTGAGGATATTAAAGGTTTTAGTTTTTGCCACTGGCTATTCTGGGACTCATTTAGGGATCACAAGGGTTAATGGCTCTTCGTCAGCTTACAAGGCCCATTCACTGTAAAAAGCGACAGAAAGTTAATTAGGTGAGACCAGCCGAAACCCCATTCAGGTTTCTGACTCACTTGATTTTGTGAGAAGCCAACGAGTTGACATATTCTGCCTCCGAAGGAGCCAAAATGAGCAGGCTGCTCCCATGGCAGCCAATCCGGGCGGTTCTTCCAATCCGGTGGATGTATTCTGCAGGTGAAGATGGAGCGTTGTACTAAAAAGGGTAACAAAAATGAAGGCATTCATAGATCAAGGGACTGCCATTAATTGGAAGTGCAATACTCCTCACCTGCCTCCAGGTATCCCAAGAATTAAATCCTGGTGCTATGGTTACCCTAACACAATCACAAGGAGAAGTCACCCAACCCTGAAACTCCTGGCTTCATTGGAAATAACAAGGCTCCGACAAGCAAATGTGAACAGTGGCCAAGTTTCCGATAAACGAGACGTCTTCTCATCCCAGTATCTCCTTTTTAATTTTACTTCTCCACAGGTCTCTTCATTTTCTTATTTGCATCTTTTCACTGTGGTGACTGGATGAGGTGAAAATGTAGGCAGGTGGGGGTAAATTTCTCCAGGATGACCACATGACCTTGGCCTACTTCCTTGGTAGACAAGGCCACAGGGTGAGGTGTCCAGAGGACACTGGAGGGTGTAAGGATGAAGGGGCTCCCTGCTCTGTGGGCAGGGTCTACCTCTGATGCCAGGCCACCAGGAGCAGGCCCCAGGAGCTGGTCCCCACCAGCCTGCAGCAGCCCCACTCAGTCCTTCAGAATGACGGCCATTCTACAGAATGCGGGCAGGTGAGGGGCAGGTTCCCTGCAGGTAGGGACATGCTTCTGCTTGCACGGAGAGCACTGCCAACTCAGAGAAAAGAGCAGACTCTATCACTCATTACAATGGATAATGCAAAGCATTGTATGTTTTCTTTGGCAATAACTTTGTCATCATTAAAGCTAATTGACCATCCACTCATTCTTCCCTATGTTTTCCCTTTGATGCTACACATATCAGAGAGATGAGGGCCAAGGTCAATATAATGTATGGGAGGCTAGGCATATTAAATGAATCAATATTCACAATATAAGCTCTAAATGATCAATTCTGTATGTCTGGCCTCCCATACATTAAAATTGTCATTGCCTTATCTTCAGTTCACTCTGTGGCCAGCAGGAAAGAAGACACAATGCCTCCAGTTCTAAAGTGATCATCTGCAGTGAGCAGATCAGACATCCTGGCCAGTGACAGGCATGCAATCCCACTAAAATGTGAATAAACCATGACTCACGTCAACAGGGCATGTCCCCCAGCCCCGACACAAAAGGGCTTAAAAATACCATTCTGTAGACTAATGAAAAGAAAAAACAAAACTAAAACCACCAGACTCTAGTGCTAACACCTGTACCCTCTGGCAAAGCGTCTAAGGCTAGAGGTATGTGTAAGATGCTGTCAGGAACTTAATTGCTCCCTGCAGGTCAACGTACACGGACACGGCTCTCGGACAGCTGAGCCATCTCCTTCTGGACACAATGAGGCCTCCCAGGGACCGAGGTAATTCCCATTATTTTCAGGTTGTTGAAATTTTGGTTTGTGACACGAATTAGTCTAGAAGCAGGAGAGCCTGCCACCTCCCTCTCGTGAACGCACATTCTGGCTGTTTTGCTGCAGTGGTGAGGTGGGCTGGGTTAAGGAAAGATGTCAGGGGAATTGAACAGATAAGGCTGGTTTGCTGCCTGGTTACCAGGGCAACACCCAAGAGGATAATAATAATTATTCTACTTAAAGCCAATGCATCTACTCATGATCATATATTCCTGCCTAAAGCTTACACCTTAACAACTAAAAAATTACCTGAACAATCCACGTGACTTGAGGGAGATCTAAGCCCCGAGCTGCAACATCCTTTAACAAAGAAAAGAATATGGTTTAACACTGAGTTTCTGAACCTTTCTGGGGTCCTGGATATGTTTGATAATTTAATGCAAACTCTGAGAGTTCACCCGCCCACAGTACATGCACATTCGGGCATACACGTATATGCCCAGTACGTGTACACACACACACACACACACACACACACACACACACACACACACACACACACACACAGTCCTGCATACAACTTCAGGGGGCTCAGGGACCTACTGCAGTCCTCTTGTGGTTAAAAATTCTGATTTAGGGGCAAATTCTACAGAACCCATTGATGAGGGAGTCACAACACCCTTTGCTAAAAGAATCCACAGGTTAGCCTAGGAACTTAAACAGTAATTATCAGTTGTGTAATGTAAAGAACTCTGAACTCTTCTAGCATGTTTTATTGATTTACATTTTATCTGAAAAACCACTTGAGGAACACATTCATGGATTATCACCCCCCGCCCACAACCATGAGCAACGCCTAACAAGCTGGCCTTGAGGTGTGTTCTGGAACATCTCCCCTCAAGGCATTCGCTGTGGGAGTGAAGTGCAAAGTATTTACTTAGGATTTTGCTTTCTGGCCTCAGAGAGCAGCAAGGATCTAGTAACCCCCTACCCCCATCTCTTCAGGTAGCTGGATTAGAATACAGGCCAAGCCCATTAATCGCTTCAAAGATTTAGCTAGATAGCTGAAAAACTATAAAAGCAATGGAGATTTATTTTTTAATTTTATGTATCTTTTCAACTAGTCACCACCCAAAGAGCAAAAATTCTCTACTCTCTCTAGTCTCTCACCATTCTAGCAGACCAGAAAGTGGGAATTTCCCTGACTTTAGCATACATCTGTACTCAGCATTCATTCTTCAAGAATAACAGTCGTAACAAGAGTGTCCCAGCCAACATTTACTGAACACTTACTACCCACCACACACTGCGCTGAGACCTTTACCTGCGTTATCTTGACTAATCCTCAAAACAACTATTACCCCCATCTGACAGATGACAAAACCAAAGTTAAGAGAGATAAAGTATTTTGTTCGGGGACACACAGCTGGGAAGTGGAAATAATCCTCGAATCCAGGTCTGCTTTGCTTTTTCAAGGCCATATTATATTATACCGCATTCCACCATCAAAAATGATCCCATGTCCCTCATATGCTGCTGGTGGGAATCCCTATGGCAGGGAATTGGGTAGTATCTAGCAAAATTACATGTGCATTTGCTCTTGACCCAGAGCAGTATCACTTCTAAAAGTCCACACAAAAAAAGATACACTGACAAAAATACAAAATGATATAGGCATGAGGCCATTCATTTCAGCACTATATATAATTTGTAGATCTAGAAAAAAACTGTCAACCAGCAGAAGACAGGTTCAATAAAATACAGCAATATCTCATATAACAGAGTACTATACAGCTATAAAAAGAACAAAGATTTCTATATACGGATATGGAGACTCTAGGATATATTTTGAGTGTGTCTAGTATGCTTGTGTAAGAAGTTGGGAAAATACAAACATATTTGCTCATATTTCAGTAGGAAATAATGGTGGGAAGAACCCCCAAAGCTTAAAAAAACAGTTATCGCCAGGGGAGGAAAAGAAGAGGAAGGACAGGATAAAGATGGAAGCTACACTTCCTTTAATGAACTTTGATACTTTTGACTCAGACCGAAGTGTATTGGCATAATTTAAAAAGATAAACAGCTGTCACTATAGGAAACACAGAGTATCACTTATGACATATTCTCGCCAAACAAAATAAAACCTGAAACCTAGAACCTAAATCTAATCAAGTCTCTAGATCCAACTACTAGTTTACAGGAAGTATGGGAAAGAGGAACATGTTGAACACCGTGAGGACACAATTAGCCAAATCCTGAATGTAGGGTATTCTAAAAGACAAATGATCTGGTTTCTTCAACAAAAAAGTTAAATAAAGGAGGAGTAACGACACCCAAAACACATTAAATAGGCAGATGGAGAACCAATACCATGATAGAGGCTCACAAAACCACCAACTGTGGTTATCTCTGGACAGAGGGATCTAGGGGGATTTTTACTTTTCTCTTTGTGTTTGGCTTTAACAATGAATTCTTATCATTTCCCCTACAATTTTTATTTAGAAAAATTTAAACCTACAGAAAAGTTAAAAGACTAGTACAATCTAGATGAAGGAGATACAGATGTAACTCCTTTACCTAGATTCTGCCACCACCAGTCTTTGGCCCATCTGTGTTCTATCTACGCATGCCCACGCACACACACACATATGCAAGCACATTTTTCTGAACCATCTGAAAGTAGGTTGCAAACATCATGACAATTTAACCCTAAATACTTTAACACATACCTCCTAAGTAAAAGGACACTGATCTACATAACCACACCACCATTATCACACCTCAGAAATTTAATGCTGAATAGCATTTTCTAATAAACAGTCCATATTCAAATTCTCCAACTGTACCTAAGATGTTTTTTTTTTTTTTTTTTTTTTTTAAAGATGGGGTCTCATTCTGCTGCCCAGGCTGGAGTGCAGTGGCACAATCACTGCTCACTGCAGCCTCAACCTCCTGGGTTCAAGTGATGCTCTGGCCTCGACCTCCTGAGTAGCTGGACGACCAGAGGTAAGTTCCGCCACACCCAGCTAATCTAGACTCTTTCTGCCCAGGCTGGTCTTAAACTCCTGGGCTCAAGCGATCCCCCCATCCCAGCCTCCCAAAGCGTTGGGATTACAGGCAAGAGCCACCACGCCTTAAGATGCCTCTTACAGTTGTTTTTCTTTCCTAAACTAGGATCAGATGGTAGGTCACGCACTCCGTTGTGTCTCTGTAGACTTCCTTAGTTTGGAACCACACCCCTGCCTTTGATTGACTTACTTAGTTTTTCGATGTCTGTCATTTTTTAAGAACATCAAAATGTTCCTGAGGACATCGGACAACTGGATTTGTCTAACTGCTTCCTCATGGTAAGGTTGCGGTTAGGCTTTCTGGCACAAACAACCTCAGGGTGGTGTGTGCTTCCCATGGTTCCATGTCGGGAAACACACTGGGGCAGTCTGTCCTGTATGGGTCCCTCTGTTGAGAAGGTGACTTTCTCCTTCGTAATGAGTAAGTAGCTGGGGAGTTACACTTTGAGACCATGCGAATAGCATGGTCCTGTTTCCTAAAACCTTTCACCCAAGGCTTTTAGCATTTACTGATGGCCCTTGTCTGTACTGTTACCTTGATGACTCTTTAAGTCTATCATTCCTTCCATCCATTTCACAGCTCTGGGATACTTTTGTAAAAACAGCCCACCCCCAACCTACTGTTAAGTATCACAAAGGATTCATATGTACATAGCTTTTTTTTTTTTTTTTTTTTTTGAGATGGAGTCTCGCTCTGTCGCCCAGGCTGGAGTGCAGTGGTCTTGATCTCCTGGACGTCATGATCTGCCCGCCTCGGCCTCCCAAAGTGCTAGGATTACAGGTGTGAGCCACCGTGCCTGGCCTGTACATAGCTTTTTTGAAAAACAATAATACTATGCAAAATTTCTATAAGAAACACACTCCCGGTGGGCGCAGTGGCTCACACCTATAATCCCAGCACTTTGGGGGGCCGAGGTGGGTGAATCACCTGAGGTCAGGAGTTCGAGACCAGCTTGACCAACATGGTGAACCCCATCTCTACTAAAAACACAAAATTAGCCAGGCATGGTGGTGCATGCCTGTAGTCCCAGCTACTTCGGAGACAGAGGCAGGAAAACTGCTTGAACCCGGGAGGTGGAGGGTGCAGTGAGCCAAGATTGCGCCGTTGCACTCCAGCCTGGGCAACAAGAGCAAAACTCTGTCTCAAAAAAAAAGAGAAGAAGAAAAAGAAAAGAAACACACTCCTGCTTCCCCCAGCGTCGGAGGCAGGACTTGAGGGAGACACCATCCCACCATCACTCCCCCAGAAGGACCACTGAGGGTACCTCAGGATTTGTCTGTCTTCACTCGTAACTGAGATTTGCAGGTTTCCTTTGAATGCTGGCTAGGCTGCATTTATAAGTGTGTAAGCAGAAGTTAAATGCACTAAAAGTGTGTCAACCACCCACAAAGTGTTTTCAGACAGCTCCCACAGGCTCTGGAAGCTGAAGGCTGATGTTGCAGAGCTGATGCCTTTGAGAACACAATTTAGGATGTTCTCTATCTAAAGGGGAGCGGGAGCCACTTTCTACACCAACTACAGTTTATGTTTTTAGAAACACTGATGAGTTCTTACATCTGCAAAGCTCTTGTGAAGAACTGATTTCTTGTCTTTAAGTGCACTGCAGTGGGAGATCCACGTAGGCACGGGCTGCTTGAGCTTCACAGACGTGCCTTGTAAAAATTTAATGCTCATTGGCTTAGTAAATTCAACCAGCAAACACTAAGACTCTAAAGACTCTAAAATAACATGTGACGTTCATGAAACTCACTGTGAGTCCAAACACAGCGCAACAGTGAGTGATGAAGGGCGCCAGCAGCCTGTCATTGTGTCTTCAAGGCTCTATTTCCTACCTGGGTGACCTAGCTCTGGACAACAGGCTAAGACACAATCTTCCGGTCTCCCACTAATGCGTGTGTTGGGGGAACCTCACTGACGGCCAGCCACTGCCCAATACTCCTTGTTTTCTCTCCCCCAGATTTAACTCAGCCATTTCTTTAGGCTACCACAGTGAATAAGGAGAAAGAAAGGCAAGTCCTAGTCTAGGAAGAGAGAACTGGACTGCTTGCTCCAGTCCCACTTAGGGGCTGTCCAATCTGCGTGGGTCAGTTTGGCAAGCTGAGCCTCAGCTGCCCCGCCTATAAAATGGCTGGGAGAACCATGCTATGTACGTCATGAGGTTGTTGCTAAGATCAAATGAGACCACGTATATGACAAATATCTTCAGACCTATAAATCTCAGTATTCTGAGACTCTGTAAATCTCACTTATCCTGGTGAAGTAAGAACTGGTATCATGGCAATTAGGCAGAGAAGTGATTTCAATGTCTCTGTACTCTCCTCTTCCATCATATCTCATTCTCTGCCCCCGCCCTACCCAGGGAGAGGTCCCAGGGAAACAGCAGAGGCTCCATCTCCCTGGAGCACAGTCAGCCAGCTACATCAGATCAACAGGAGATCATGACCCACCAAGACTCAGCAGAGGATTCTGTTCTGTCTGCTCTTAGAACTTAGATGTAGCTTCATTTTATTCCTTTAAGCTAATTCGAGCAAAAGAATTGCTAAAGTCAGTTCTGAAAGACACTCAACGGTGAGGCCTTGAAGGCCCTGGGCCTGACAATTGGCTGCCTCCATGAGACCTAGGAGTACAGATGGAAGGCAGCTTGCTCAGGTGCCAGCCTGTCAGTTGGATTAAAATGACTCATTTATTTACCCAAGAACCTCACAAAGTGCTTTTACTAACAGGGAGAGGGGGCCTGCCGTCTCTCTGAGAAGGGACGCAGCACACTCGCCTCTGACGCCTTCCCGGCCTGCCAAAAGTCATTACTGCCGTGTGTGGAAAGCCATCAGCAGGGTCCAGGCCCCCGTTGTCCGGGTGACAGATTGGGCTGCGTAATCAGAGGAGGAAGGAGAGAGTGCAGAAGCTGTCAGAGGCGAGAGATCTTGGCTGGAGCCGCCAAAAAACTGGCAACATGAGTTAGCGTAACTGAGTAAACAGCAAACAATCTCCAAATGATCTTTCCATTAACGAAACAAAATAAAACGAAAAAGATACACTTTACCTAAAAAGCATACCCCAGAGAAAAGCACGAAAGTCTACATTTATTTGGGACACAGAACTGACATTGTGACTCTTCACAGCCGTATCTCCTTTGTCTCCTAGCCTCCTGGCACGGTGGAAATTCCCCAGGAGGAGAGGAAATTAAGAACTGCACAGACAGAACAGTATGCTTCAAGCGGAAAAAAATACGGAGAAGGTGGAGGAAAGCAGCACAGGTGATTTAGGTGCATCTTCTGAAAAAGAAATGCACGCGCCGGACAGCCAAGGAGGATGCCAAGGGACAGTTGGCGCCCAGGGCGGGCTGCAGGTATCTTTCCTTTCTGGGAAAAAGGTGACTGCACTCCATCCAGGGACAATCAAGGACAGCCACCGGAGACCAACAGAAAACCTAATGTCAGCCTTAAAATCAGGTGGCTTAGAAACTCCATTTTCCGGCCATTCGGTGGTACTTCTTATCAACTCGTCAACATAATGATGGTATTAAAAGCAAGGTTCCTTTCCTCTGGCTTAGGGTGAGTTCTTCACTGTAAGTAGGAGGAAATAACATTTTGCAGATAATCCAGTGTCTGATATCTGATCCCTTTGATTGCTTAATTCCACTTGGGAAAGTGGGCTTTGAACTTCCAATGACTCCTTCTTGCTCATCCCTACTTCCTACTTAACTTGGCTTTTTCTTAGATCTAGTTTTCCAGAAGACACGAAATTACATTGTGAATGTGTGAGGACTCCTCGTCTTTCACACACTGATTTCTTTTGCCCCCAGCTATGCTCTGCCTAGACTCCATCTTACCATAGCCACACCTTCATTGAACAGCCACATTACACAAAGCCACATTATCAGGACTTGCGAGCTGCATGAAACTAAAAAGGTCCCTGCTTTTGAGATGTTTATAATGAAAATGAAATGAAACACACACATGCACCCTTAACTGTTCCTAGCAAGAAGGAAAATGGGGTGGGGGACTTTTTAACCATGAAGGAAACAGCGTAATTGTGAACTTCTGTGTGAGCACACTGCTATTTCCAAATTTTCATAAAGACATTCATTCTGGCCTTGTTAAAAGGATCTCGGGATGATAAATTAAAATGGCAAAAGGCACAGTATAAAGGGGGGAAAATCCCCATGTAACGATTAACAGCACGATTCTTCTTTATCAAAAGAAGCCAGTTCTCCATCTGTCTCGTCCTGAAGTGGCCCTCGTTCCTCATTAACACCAAGGAGGCTCCTGGAGAGTGTTCGGATAGCCTGGCAAGCAACAGGCTGCTTAAAAGGACGCAGAGTGGCAGCATCTCCCCCGACCCAGGCATGATCTATTACAGCGTGTGTGTCCCACTCGCCCCGCAGCTCTCATATGCTAGAAGCATCAGCTAGAGCAAACAAGCATGGCAGAAGAGCCAGGAACACCGAGAGGAAGCGAAGAACTTCCCACGACTGGGAACCGGCCCTCCTGTTCTGGCCCAGCAACCGAGAGAAATGAACCCCACCCAGCTCTTCTCCAGTCATCTTCACTACACAGCAAAGAGAGTCCCCAGAATATCGGCATGCTGGAGTGACCTGGACTAGAAAATGAACAAAGACTGAGGGCTTTAGAGAAATCAGGCTGTGGGCGAGGGAGAGTTCTCTTTCCATGTGGCACCTGGGACTGGCAGGGCGCAGAGGGCTGGGAGGTACTGTGCTTTGCCAAGACAATGGCATTCTTTGTCTAGCTGATACCACGTGCCTGCAGGTATCATCAGCCAGACAGAACAAGGAAAGTGATTGTATGCTTTTGACCTGAGAATTATATTAACTATTTCAGAAAGAATAATCTTTTCTTCCACGCAGAGCTACTAAAAATACAAACAACAGAACTTCAGATACCTGGAGTTTTCTTTAAGGCTTACAACTCACTCATGTCTGTAAAGTGTTTGCATACTAGGAGACTCAACAATTTCTGAGGGATAAATCCAGCATGTTATGGGTCAAAGATAAAATATTCTGTTCCTATAATAACCCAAACTCCACCCCAAAGGTTCCTACTGCTTTCTATTTCAATATTCACAGTCCAGAACATTCACTTCTCAGATAACACCAGATGAATGAAAAACTTATTCCCAGTGAGCAAGTCTATTAATCTCTGTCTTTAGAAAAACACACACACTGGTAGCTCTTAACATCAAGTTTCTTGGGCCCTGTCTAGCGCCCCCAATTTGATCTACAAAACCAAGCGCCTACTGCATGCCTGCTCTGTGCTAGACACTGGGATAGAAATGCAAACAAATCACAGTCCTTGTCTTCATGATGCTTACGACCGGCTGGGAAGGCACGCAGACCAGGTGGGATGATCATTACAGTGAAGAAACGTAGGGTGCATTGGGACAGCCCCATGGGGAAGAATGGGGGGGCTTCTGAGTTTCATTTCTCTGAAGACATAAAATTTAAGGGGAGACCTAAAGATGGTTTAGTCAAAATCATGGTAGTGTTCCAGGCAGAGGGACTAGCATGAATCAAGGCCCCAAAGCTAGAAAAAGCCAGATGATACATTCCAGGACTGAAAGAGGGGGCTGTTTTGCTGAAGGGTAGGGAGCAAGGGGGAGTAGGGTGAAAAGAGACAAATAGGGGTCAGGTTCCACAAAGTATTGTTAGATATAATAAGGATTTTTGACAAATTTCTTTCCCCCGCTTTTTTTCTTTTGAGACAAGGTCTTGCTTTGTTGCTCAGGCTGGAATGCAGTGGTGCAATCACAGCTCACTGTAGCCTCGACCTTCTGGGCTCAAGTGATCCTCCCGACTCAGCCTCCTGAGTAGTTGGAACTATGGGCACGTGCCACCATGCCTGGCTAATTTTTATTCCTTAATATTTTTTGTAGAGACGGGGTCTTGCTATATTGTTGCTCAGGCTGGTCGTGAACTCCTGGGCTCAAGCGATCCTCCCACCTCGGCCTCCCAAAGTGGTGGGCTGGTAGGCATGAACCATCACACCTGGCCCAACAAATTTCTTTATTAAGTAGATTATTTGGAATTAATCTTCACTAGAGACCACGGATAAAGATGGCTTTAGAACAAGCTCGAGCATCTGACTCGTGGATGGGCCTCATAAAGGGAAGGACTTGGTCAGACACAGATCTCCTCAGGAGGCAAGTATTCCATGGTTACAGCTCTCAGGTCTGAATGAGTGTCTGCAGAGCCACTGTTTGCCTCACACACGAGAAATGACACTGTGATAAGCAGGTTACCAATAAGCCCCCTCTTGCAGATAAGCACACATATATAAACACACAAGAAACCATGCTGCACTCATACAGAGACTCTACACTTAAGACAGAAAAGTCTCCATTGCCTTTAATACTGAATATGGAATACAAGTTCCTTAAAAAGTAATTGCATCAAATGTGGCCTAGATGGGCATTCAAACAGCTTAGTATCTTTGTTTCTACCCAGCACTTGTTCACTGGATTGACTAAATTTATGGTACAATTTCATTACTGTGTATATAGGGACTTCTCCAATAACCAGCTGGGGATTAAGTTACATCATCCAAGATGGAACAGAGAAGGCATTTTAATCTTTGGAGATAGCAACAACTACGGTAAAGTGAATCCCCAGCCTGGGGGTAGAGAACACTGAAGGTTTGAGTTTTTAATCTCAAAAGAGCACAAGAGGCATGAGTTTAAAAGGTCAGTGTTGTGCTGGAGGAGGCAGCTATCCCGGACTGCAGAGCCTGAGGCTGAGGGAGCAGGCCCTGAAATCACAGGACAAATGATAGTCGGAGACAGCAGCAAATAAAATCGGCCCAAATGCACCGATTTTCCTTTAAGAAAAGGTAAGCAGAGGCAATCAGAGTCATTTTGTTGTGGAAAGACTTTCTCAGCTCTAATTACTCCCGATAGCTGTAATTTACAAGTTTTTGGTGGATAGAAATCTCCAAGATTCACACATTTTCAGACCAACAGCTGCCACTATTAGTGAGCAAATTGCCAAGTCTTCTGCACGGTGGTGGCTGGCTATCTGCAGCCCTGTCAGGTAACAAGAAAGAGGTGCAAAGAGGCCAGCCCCACCAAGGGGCCCCTAGTGTTCCTGGGCCCTGTAGGACTGACCACAGGACAAACTGTCAAGAGACGAAAGATTACACAGCCATCACAGAAATGTATCAGCCTTCACATGGAACACAGGAGGATACGTACCGTGCAAAGAAGGACGCCTCTTCTGGAATGTGAAAATTCCTGAAACACTGCTGTTCTTTCCTACAAAAACAAGGAAAAATAGAGCCTTACAACTCAGAGACAAACTCCAGCAAGGTAGGCTTACATCTCCCTAGCTCTCTCCATCTCCTACTGCTAGAGCTATTTTCAGGCACAGAGAGGTTTGCCAGGAAAGAGGAAGAAGCGGATTCTTTACATCTTCTAAGATGACCCTGTACTTACAGGACCGGACTTGAGGCTACAGCCAAGTAGCAGGCGCTTTGAGGGTGCATTTTTGTGAGACACTACCAGGGCAGGCACACTCTCCAGGAATGGCCAAAAACAAGAACAGGAAGGCACAAGTTACTGCATGCAGGGCTTCAAGCCTGCGTGCAATTTATTCTAAACATTCTCCTACAAGTGCTCTGAAGGAATAAAGAATAACCAACCTTCTCTACAGGCAGTTTTTTAAAAGATTAGATATTTATAAAACTATGTATTTTAATTGGAGAGAAAATATATTTACATTAGAGGAAGAAAATATAATACCACTCAAGGCAAACCCCCACTACCACCAGGGACACCTTGACGTTTCCCGAGTCTCCATTTTATGCATAACATAACCAAATATGCAGCTTTCCAAAAAAAAAAAAGGCATCCTACTATTTATACTATTAACATGCTCTTATATAGCAACAGAATATGAACATCTCTTCATGCCAATAAGTATCCAAAGACCAGGTCATCTGCTGTGGTGAAATAGTATTCAACTAAATGGATGCACCATTATTTACGTGACCAATGTTGTATTATGGCAATTAAGGTTGTCTCTGATTTTTTTTTTTTTTTGAGACAGGGTCTCATTTTGTCACCCAGGCTCACTGCACAATCTCAGCTCACTATAACCTCCACCTCCCGGGCTCAAGTGATCCTCCCACCTTGGCCTCCTGAGTAGCTGGGACTACAGGCATACACACAATGCCTGGCTAATTTTTGTATTTTCTGAAGAGACGAGGTTTTGCCATGCTGCTCAGGCTGGTCTCGAACGCCTGAGCTCAAGCAACTCACCAGCCTCAGCCTCCCAAAGTGCTAGGATTACAGGCGTGAGCCACCTCGCCCTGCTGATTTTTTAATATTGCAATCAATGCTGTGATAAACATCTCTATAAATAAGTCACTGTGTAGATTCTTAATTACTCCCTTAGGTTAAATTCCTAGAAACAGACTCGCTGGACCAAAAGGTGAGCATCCTAGAATGCTTTCAGTATGAGCCTGAAACGGCGCATTCTGAGTGCTCTTCAGTCATGAAGCTCTATGCACTTGAGTTGGTCACATTCACCTGTCAGCAGCAAATACAAAGAAATAGAACCAAACTACTCAAAATCTGGAAAAAAGTAAAGTCTCTGCCGCTTTGGCACAGTCACTATGTGCTGTGGCATGTCTTTCTGGTCTTTCCTGTGCGTAGATTTTGTCCATGGCTGGAAGCCCGGGGCACACCTCACTGAGTACACTGGATAAAGACATACAAACAACAAACATTCATCGAGTGCCCACCATGTACCAGACCTCACACGTCTGAACTTTGCTAATCCTCACAACAACCCTATGTGTAAGTACTATCATCACCCCCATTTTCCAGAAGAAAAAAACTGAGGCACAGACAGGTTAAGGAACTTGCCCAAAGGACACGCACACCTGGTAAAGGGCCGGAATGATATCCGAACCCAGGGAGCTGTGTTCCGGAGTCAGTGCTCAGACCCTCAAAAGGACAGATCCATTTGTCCAGTCTGCTGCACGGTCTTTATAAACGATCATTTTTAATGGCTGCATCGTAGAATCAAAATCAGAAAAAAATCAGAAAGTTCATAAAAGCTTATGAAACACCTTAAAGACTAGTTATGATGTATTCAGATTTGGGGTAAGAAAAAAAAAAAACCTACCAAACTCTAGACTTTCATCACAACTACCATGCAAATAGTAACGTCTATCCAATGCTCATAAACTTTTTTAGAACCATGTCAACCATCTAAGGAGACCATGCTAAGGCCTTGTAGGACAGTGGCCAGGGTAATAAGTCAGGAAAATTTAAGTGGGACTGTTTCAGCTTAGTCTGGAACAAGAAACTCACCCCTAATACTTACAAAAGAAAACACAGGGATACTATAACCTCCTGTCTTCCACTGCAAAGGCTAAATACTACACAGACATTCTACTTTTTAAACTATAAAAACACAATTTTAACTATAAAAAAACAACTTTTAAACTATAAAAAAAGAACTATTCCTGAAAGACAGATAAAAACAATAGTAATAAAGGCACTTTAACATCTACTGAGCACTTCCTGTGTGCTAGGCCCTGTACGGAGGGCTTTGTCTGCATTAACTCAGCCAACCTTAAAGGAAGTACAATTATCATCCCCATTTTACAGACATGGAAACTAGGTCACAGAGAGGTTAAATATTTACCTGAGATTACACAGCCAGCAAGTGACAGCCAGGACAAGACCACAAGCAGGGTGCCCCCAGAGGGCACAGCTATAAACAGCACGCTAGACTACTCCCCTGTTACAAAGTGAGATGAACAGCCTCTGTATAATGAAGCTATAGACTCTTGTGTGTGATCTATTACAGCGAATTCCTAGACCATTCTGAGTCCATACCCAGCTCCCCCCAACCACGCTTGGATCGACGCCGCAGAATGCCTCTGGTAAAAACGGATTCACAGGATTAGTAAACAAAGCTTGAAACAAAAACAAAACCCCAAACCATTAACGGTATTAAATAAATAAAACCAACAACTTTGATTGAATCAGGGATCCAAAGGTAAAGACCAAGAGTTTACCTAATGCGCAAGGGCTGGAATATTCAGGGATTTCTATATAATCTTGTGGCAAATAACCGGTGTCCTTGAGTGACCTTGAACAAGTTCGCTTTTCTGGGCCTCTATTTACTTAATTATTAAAACAAAAGAGCAAAAGCAAAGAGAGGCTGGACTTGTTTAGGATCGTGTCAAACCTCTAGTGTCCCTTTTAGCTCTAAAAATCTTATGATCTTTTAAGCTGGCTCAAGTCAAATCTCATCCTGATTTCTAGTTTTCTTTCACACTTTCTAATTTTTGAAGCTGCCTGGTAACCTCTCCTCTAGGGCAAAATGGCTCCTATTTCGAGTCTTGCTCGTTCTTTCTTTCCCAATTCCAGTGAGTATATCTCACTCCCATATTCCACCCCGACTCCATAACAAACGGCCTAGTTAAGAGTGGAGGAATGCGACTCACATAGCCAAGTCCCTAAAATAGGGGAAATGTTGTATTCTTCTTCCTGAACAGAAATCTTACTCCGTGCCGAGAAAGAACTGGGAACCCGAAGCCCCTTTGGTTCACGGTACCCTCTCCCAACCGAAAGTGTTCTGAGTGCAGCGCTGTGTCTTGTTGACAATGACAGCAGCCGTGCTCAGCAGTACCATATGGGATCCACAATTTAGCTCCATTAATGCTCTTAATTTGAAGACATCAAGCCCTAATTACACACTGGGTACTAAAAAGGCAAAACCCTTCCCTGGTGCCAGCTACTTAGTGGTACTCTGTTGCCTTAACAGCTGGTTGAGGTAGATTCAGGCCAAGTCCAGGGCCTGTGAGCTCTCTCGGGTGGAAGAGACCAGCTCCCAGAGCAAAAGCAAATGGGAACAATAGACTCCCCTTGCCCCCATCAATCCAGCAGTGTGATCCCCTCTAGTTTCAGTGGGTCACCCATTTTCGTCTCATTCTTGACTTGCCCAGTGGAGTGTGCAAGGGTCGTAGCCATTGCTGAGCCTAAAGACCAGGTTTGCCGGACTCAGGTTCGCCCCCATCTCCACGTGGGGCCGCAGTGTTGTCGCTGCACAGGGAGATCAGTGCTCACCTCCTGCTCCATGCCGCCATGCAGCCGTAGGAATTTTAATCGCATGGAGGCAGATGGCAACTGCCCTGATGCCGGCGCCCCTGAGCTGCTCAGCAGGGTCTGTAGGAAGAGGCTGTAGTGGAACTCCACCAGCTCGCAACTTGAGAAAAAGACAACCATCTTCTGGTCTTCCTCAAACTACATCGATACAAAGGGAGGAAAAACCGACATATTTTAAGATTAGGTGACGCCAAAACGAATATTTCTCTAAACTATACAGTCATGCTGACCCCCATTTGGAAATAAAGGTGACTATCTTTGAATTATTTAAAAAAACAAAAACAAAAACAGTGATACTCCACTCTACAAAGAATGCAGGAGAGGAAAACGACACAGCTATCATTTCAAACAGGTTTCCCTTATCTGACAAAAATAAACACACCTGGGAGCACAGCTGTGTGGGAGCTCCGTTCCCTTTATTCGCCCAGGGCTTGCCACATGCAACACTACCTGGCTGAGACCCTACATATGCAGAAAACCTTCACCCTTAAGCCCTTCCACTTACTATTTTCTCACATCTCAGAGTCAGCGCAGAAATCTAGTAAATAAATACACAAATGCCAAGACTCTTGGAGAAACATGAGCACAAGCCCCTACGTCTGCCTCACATCCAGCTGTTCCCGCCACCTGTGATGTTCCTAATATCAGTCCCAGGAAAGGTATCGAGAACATTTCAAGCTGAACATCATGGCTATCATTGACCTCTGAGTTTTTACCATAATCCTAAAACCTGACTGAAAGGATGTATATCAAAGTCTGCATCCGGAATGCAGACATAAGTTGGAAAACCTCTGATTTTTGGTGTCTCAACTCATTGCTCCCAATGGCTTAACACAAGAAAGCAGGCCTTTCTTCCCTGAATCAAGTCGGCTCTAGCCCACAGTCCCACCTTGCATTTCTGAAGGATGAAGGCCGCTAGGCAGACAAGCCTCAGTTTGCTGGGAACCACAGTCACATGCTGCTTGAGACTCTCTGGTATTGCAAAGCTGTCCAGCTTGTCGCCAGCTGGTGGAGGACAGACCTCCTGGACCGCTTTGTCCTTTGGGTTCAACTGGTCATGGCTCTTGTCCAGGACAGAAATACTGACTGGATCATGCAAACTGATATCAGCTAGCCGCGTTACACCTTGGATAAAAGTAAGAAGGGCAAAGCAGACAACAAACACACCATGAAACTGGTCACAAAAGCGTACCCCCATACAGCACCCACCCATGTATGTTAGGACTACGTATGTTACCCCATGGGTATCACCAAGTCCCAGCACTGATCCGCCCTAGTGCCAACGTGTGTGTTGCAGGGAGATCTACCAACGTATCTTTCCATAGCCATTCTATAAACACTCACCTATGGAACAGCGTCCAAAAGATAGCAACAGATACTGCGCCCACCCCCACCTCCCAAAAGGGTTCTTTGGTCAAGTAAGTTATGGCAAATCTTGGATTTCAAAGGTTTCACAAAAGCGTTTTTGCTATAAGCAGCCCTCTCAGGGCCTTTATTGTGTTAATGTGCCCTGAGAATATCCAAGGGAGGGATGTGGGGCATTTCTCAAACTTTCTTGACCACAGAATCCCTTCTTCGTGAATCATCCCTCAAAAATTAGAACATAGGGAACTGTGAGGGACCACATGCATGGCATCTGGTACATGCACATCATAATGTGGCCTAGTAAATCAAGGAAACCAGACAGAAAAACGTGAAAGCTGCACTGCTGGTCAATGACTCACTGTGTGGGGTGGATCTGGTAGAGTGATACAACTTTTCCAAGCCTTCGTGTTCCCAGTGATAAAAAAGAGAGCTAAGAATTTCCATCTCACATGGATGGAAGACAGAGAAGCGCTTCATTGATATATTTTTTAAGTTTAATAGCTCTATAGGAGGAAGAGTGATTACATTAAAAATGCACTCAGATAAGAGGTCATCATCTTCAGTGCAAGGGCCCTGCTCTCCATGGGTTGCAAGTGCACAAAAACCTCATGAAACCACCAAGCCAATAGCAGCCAGTCTTTTCTCGTCCTCATCCCTGCCCTTTCTCCCTTTCCCCATGCCCTGGGGAACATATCTGTCTTGGATGACTTGCAGAGGGAAGTTGGGAGTGTAGAACATAGAGTTTGAAAAGGCAGTCTTCTAAGGACAGCTCTCTCCCTGCCCCCACCTCCCTGAGGTTGAGAATCACTGCAGCAAACAACCCAGGTTAAATCTAGGTCCTTCCTCTTCATTAAGAACAAAGAAGGACCCATCACTTCTTTTCAACTCACCTTCTGTGAGTGTCGCTGATAGCAAGACATTCTGTCGTTTTTGGCATTCAGCATTTACAGCATTAAGTATCACTGTGATGTCCTTTTCAAAACCCAAATCCAAGATTCTGTGATTGTAAAAAAAAAAAGAAATTTTCAACTATATGAAGAGCAGATGTGGTCTAAGGGGCTACAGAAGTTGCAACAAGGAGAGGAGAAACAGCCCTTCTCTTCTACCTGTTATCATCCTGGGACGAGGCTCACCTGTCTGCTTCATCAAACACCAACCACCGCAGCCGACTAAAATGAATGTTCTTTGTGGATTTTATATGATCCACCAGGCGTCCAGGAGTTGAGATAAGGATATTTATTCCTTTGCGGAGTCTGTTTAAAATTATATATCATAAAAGAAAGTAAATCAAACAGGGCCACGCCAGTAGAAAACACAGGAAAAAGGCAAAATAGACAGACTCATTTCATGTACAGTGCAAACGTGCCATAGCCTGAAATCATGACAAAACATAAAAACTGGGTAGAAAGCTGTACTTGAGTCTTTCCCTGTACTGTGAAATGCAATTGTTAAGATCTGAAATTACATTAAAATCATAAAACTTTAACTTTGAAAGGGATCATAACTACATAATCCAATGCTCTTTATCTGACTCATAAATCCTCTCTAGAACCTTCCAAAGAGATTGTAGTCTAGCCTGTTCTCGAAGGTTTCTGTGCCAGAGAATCTAGTATCTGAGCAAGTGATTCCATGCCAATGTGCTCCAATTGCTAGGACACTTTTTTCTTATGCTAAGCCCTTTATGTAACTTCCATTCAACGGGGCTCAGCTTTGTCCCATGGGTTATATACAATAAATCTAATTTCTCATTCCCCAGACAACCATTTTCCTGTCAGTCCACCGTAATAAAAGCTTCCAATTTTTAGCACATTTTTTTTTTCTTTGTAGAGACGGGGGTCTCACTATGTTGCCTAGGCTGGTCTCAAACTCCTGGTCTTAAGTCATCCTCCTGCCTTGGCCTCCCTAAGTGCTAGGATTACAGGCATGAGCCACTGCACCCAGCCTAGCTGGATATATTTTCAAGCTTCCCTTGCAGTTAAGTATAGTCATGTTTGTTTTAGCAATGGGATAAAAGGTAAAGGGAACACGCCAATCACACAAGCACCTTCAGAGGGAGCAGGTATGAGCATCTCTGTACCCGCTGGCAAGAAATTAGATGCAATGGTTGGAGTGCCTGCAACTATCTAAGACTATGAGGTAATCTTAAAAATGGAATCCTCCCATAGTGGCACAAAAAGACAGAAAGAGCTTGGTCCCCGACACTGGAGCACCAGGCCAGCCTTGGACTGGCTCTGTCAGATTTCTTAAATGTGAAAGAAAAATAAAACTTGTATATTGTTTGTGCCACTGTTATTTGTTATTATTGTTGTTATTCACAGCTGAGTCTAATCCTAACCAATGCTTTGAGGTTTCAGGTTTCATATTTACTCCTCAGTTATAGACTACATGCATCATTATTGAGTACTGATTATTAAGCTATAATACAATAAAAATGTTTTCAAAAGAATGAAGACAATTTGAGATTTACTTGTTGCAACGATTTTCAACTGACACCCATTACAAATCCTAATAAAGGAACAAACATATTCGGTTGTAAAAAGCAAGTTACAAAGCATTATATAAGTGAATGATCTTGTTTTTGTAAAAGCAAACAACAAAACCCCAAACTCTTAATGTCCACAAAAATGAGTGGCATGCAGGTGGATGTATACTAAACCAGGGATGCTATAGAGCATTGGGTAGGTGGGAGTTAAGAAGTTGACAGCACTGTTACTAGCAACATCAGAAGGAAACCTGTTTGTAGGTTTAATATTTTAAAAAACAGCACCGTCTAGAGGTGACCGCTCCCCACTGACTCAATCTGTCCCTGTGCACCGGGACTAGGAAGCAGAGCCTGAGACAAAGCTCTCAGCAGGTTTAGAAGGACCCAGCCTTACTGAATAGGAAGGCAGGACACATTCAAGAAGGAAACAACAACCAACAAACCTCTTCCTACCTGGCCTTTTCTGATTTTCTCTTCTCTCCTCCCATTAACACTCCAGGCACAATCCAGGTGAAAGGCTACAGAAAGACAGCAGACCACAGTCAGTGCAAAGCCCCCTTTACTAACATCAGACATTGATTCCAAATTCCCTTTCCTTAAACAAGGCATGGGAGAAAACTGGTGCTTCTCATTGTATAAGGTGTTATTGTGCAGACACAATTCCTAGGCATTGCTACACCCATGTTCACTATCAGCAGTAACTTGAATTATAGGTATATAACTAGCTTCTACCACAGTGAGAGAGAAATGTGAGCTTCTTAAATCATTCAAGTAGCTTGCCTTTCTTTTCCCACAGAGCCTGAACTGAAAACACATGTCAGTAAGTCTACTGCCATTTTTGGGGTTAAGATAAAAACCCAAGCAACACCCTTCCCTACTCTCCACCCCTAATAAAAGAAAGGATGGATCAATTCATGATCCAATTTGGTGAGCTGGCTGGCTTTGATTCTGAAGCCTTCACTCTCCTTTCTTAAACAAATCCTACTTGCAGCTAAGTTGCTTTCTACTGGATCACCATCAGGCTGTACCTGTGAATTTCTGTATGTGGCTTGCTAGTGACTATGATGAACAAATTGCAGGACTTTATGCACCAGGAGTCACTGATAATTCAGCTAAGCTAGAAATTGGTAGGTTTAGATCAGTAAAAACCTATAAACTGCCTAGAGAGAGCAGAGATATCCAGGCAAAAGGAAATAATTCTTATCTCTTTGAAAATAAAGAATAGACTGTAGTATATTAAATCCTTCCTCAAAGTCAGCAAGCAAGATGAAATGGAACTCATGGTTTGCCTTACCTTAAGCAGTTTCTGGACAGTGTCAAAGCTTTGTAGAGCTAGCTGTAAAAATTTTAAAAGTTATAGATGATGAACAGGATCCCCCTTTTTTTTTTTTTAAAGACAATTTAATGTGATTAGGATCCAAACTTGGACCTCAAGTTAAGATTTAAGAAGAAAAAAAATCCTATACACAGAATCTAATATACCTTGTTCTTAGACTGGTTCTGCAACCTGTCAGTTTGGGCAAAGAGGGTAAAGACAACACTTCTATTTCTTGGACATACACAAAAATAGTGTTTTGTGCTCCCTCTGCTGGCTCAAATTCCCAGAGTGCCACACAGAGAAGTTCAAGTCTGTGGTGCACAAAAACGTAAGAGAATGAAACAAAGTAACCTGAATTTGACTCTCCTTAGAAAGAGAAAGAATATAATATGTACGCAGAGTAAACCACAATAGTGACGCAACAGGGTAGCCTCTGGGAACTTCGCTCTCAAGGAGCGATGACTGTATTCTACAACTGTGCCAGGATATCTGAAGCCTGGGAGATGGTCGCTCCTCAAGTTTATATCAATAAAACAAAAGCAAACCAACAGCTCCATTTGAGAACAAAGCAAGTGAAAATTAAAGTAGGCTACAACCATTAACAACCTTCAAAAATGCCTCATACAGAATCCCGTTCTTAAAGAACGTATATACAGTTTCCACATATTTAGTATTCATGAAGCATCCTCGAGAAGTAGCAAGTTTGCTGCTGTAAAAATTTTAATAGCTTCTGTGCCTGCTCCTTCATTGGACTGAGCTGAGATAGGGGACTGCAGGCTATATGAAAAGCTGACTTCAAATCATCTCTGTGATCAATTCTCTGTAAGGAAGTGATTAGCATTTGATATAGAAACCACATACCCTAATCTGAAGTTGCCTCTGTAGGCAAATAAAATAGATCAGATAGAAGAGATTTCCACCAAGAAAGAAAAAAATATTGAAAAGTTTAACTTTTAGGAACAAGTAACATTTTTGGTAGCAGTAGCTTCTTAAAAAAAATAAAGGTTCATTTTCAGAGCCAACTGCTTTTGGTTTTGAATAAAGTTGCTAAAAAATTGCATTTCTGTAGGTTTTTTTTTAGCAACTTAATTCAAAACCCAATTAAACAGACATTTAATAGTATCATTAGTTTCTAGACAATAGGAAAATACTTTTCCATACTTATGATTCTCAGAGACTACTTGAATTTTTCTCCTTGACAAGAACCAGAAGGATGGTTTCCAGGCAAATGGAACTGGTGTGCAGTGGCTTGTGCAGTAGGGAGAAACATGGTAAAACCACTTTTAAATTCAACGGGACATTAGTGAAAGCATGTGCTTAAAACTTGTCCCAAAAGGGAGCCTGCTTACCTCTCTCGTTGGCACGAGCACCAGGGCATAGGGGCCATCACTGCGCTGTTGACACACAGAAAAAAAATGCCATGAGCAGGATAAACAAAGGCAGACTCCAAACGGACAGGACACAGGGGTGGCCGGTTGTAGAACATCAGAAGCACTCTTAATGAAGAAAGGGACAAAATAAGGTTGCCCACTGATGTGGTCTGGCTGTGCCCCCACCCAAATTTCGACTTGCATTGTATCTCCCAGAATTCCCACATGTTGTAGGAGGAAGGGCAGGGGGGCAGGAGTGAGGTGGTAATTGAATCAGGGGGGCCGGTTATTCTCGTGATAATGAATAAGTCTCACGAGATCTGATGGGTTTATCAGGGGTTTCTGCTTTTGCGTCTTCCTCATTCTCTCTTGCTGCTGCCATGTAAGAAATGTCTTTCGTCCTCTGCCATGATTATGAGACCTCCCCCAGCCATGTGGAACTGTAAGTCAAATTAAACCTCTTTGTCTTCCCAGTCTCGGGTATGTTTTTATCAGCAGTGTAAAAATGGACTAACACACCCACTAACCCCATTATTCTAGAATACTGTTCTAGAGGTCCTGGCCCATACAATCAGACAAGAAATATGATGTATAAAATTAGAAAATAGGAAACAAAATTATTGTTAGCAGATGTTATTTTATCTTACAAAAAAAAAAACCATAAGAGAACTAATGTAAAATCTATTACAAACAAGATAATTTTGTCAAGCAGCTGAATGCAAAATTAACATATAAAAATCAATAGCCAGGTGCAGTGGCTCACGCCTGTAATCCCAGCACTTTGGGAGGCCAAGACAGGCGGATCACTTGAGGTCAGGAGTTTGAGACCAGCCTGGCCAACATGGTGAAACCCCGTCTCTACTAAAAATACAAAAATTAGCTGGGCATGGTGGCGGGCGCCTGTAATCCCAGCTCTTCGGGAGGCTGAGGCAGGAGAATCACTTGAACCCAGGAGGTGGAGGTTGCAGTGGGCTGAGATCGCACCATTGTGCTCCAGCCTGGGCAACAAGTGAAAAACTCAGTCTCAAAAAAAAAAAAAAAAAAAAAAAAAAAAAAAAAAAAAAAAATTTCAACAGCCTTCCAATATAAAAAGTTAATAGCAACAAAAAAGATAAAAGGAATATAAGCTTAGCAAAAAATATACAAAATCTATATGAAGAAAATTTAAAAACACCTCTGAGGGGCATAAAGTAAATTTTGAATAAATGGAAGGATACACCCTATTTCCAGATAAGAGGATGCAATAGTACATATAAGCTAATTCTCTCTAAATCACTCCATAAACGTAATGTGATGCTAATAAAAATGCCACAAATGTGTATATATAAAATAACATATATAACCAAACAACCTGATTTGAAAGTTCATATGGAAAAATAAATGTACAAAAATAACCAAGACATTTATGAAAAACATCAGATGTTAAAATAATTTAAAGCTACAGCAATTACAAATAATGATACTGGCACATGAATAGAGATTATAATAGCAAATAAAGTTGAGAATAGAATCAAATAGATAACAAAATTTAGAAAATAATATAAGGGCCATTTTATATCAGCAAGAAAAAGATGGTTTAATTCAAAAGTCCTGTGAGAAAAAAATAAAGTTAGGAAAACAAAGCTGGAATTGTCCTTTTAACAGATGACATAAAACTCAGAAACCTTAAAATAAAACACTGATACGTTTTATTACCTAAGAATTTTAAATTTCAGAATGGAAAAATAATACCTAAACAAAACCAAGAGTCAAATGATAACCTGGGGAGAAAATATGCCACACCTGAGAGAAAGAGCTAATTTCCTTAATTTATATATTTTAAAAAGCCCTGTAATTCAATCTTTAAAAAAAGACCAACTTGGCCAGGCACGGTGGCTCACGCCTGTAATCTCAGCACTTTGGGAGGCTGAGGTGGGTGGATTACTTGAGGTCAGGAGTTAGAGACCAGCCTGGCCAACATGGTGAAACCCTGTCTCTACAGAAATACAAAAAAAATTAGCCAGGCGTGGTGGTGCATGCCTGTAATCCCAGCTACTCAGGAGGCTGAGACAGGAGAATCTCTTGAACCCAGGAGGTGGAGGTTGCAGTGAGCCGAGATCGTGCCATCGCACTCCAGCCTGGGCGACAGAGCGAGACTTCATCTCAAACAAAACAAAACAAAACAAAACAAAATTCAAATAGAAAAATGAATAAAGGGCCGGATGTGGTGGCTCATGCCTGTAATCCCAGCACTATGGGAGGCCAAGGCGGGTGGATCACTTGAGGTCAGAAGTTCAAGTCCAGCTTGGCCAACATGGTGAAACCCCATCTCTACTAAAACTACAAAAATTAGGCGGGCGTGGTGGTAGGCATCTGTAATCCCAGCTGCTTGGGAGCCTGAGGCAGGAGAACTGCTTGAATCCGGGAGGTGGAGGTTTCAGTGAGCCGAGATTACGCCACTCCACTCCAACCAGGGCAACAGAGCGAGACTCTGTCTCAAAAAAAAAAAAAAAAAAAGAAGAAGAAGAAACATAAAGCAGCTGAGAGCATTGGAGGGCATGGGAAAACTGGACCTTCTACACCGCTGCTGGAGTGCACACTGGCATATTCCCTTTCAAGTTTAATGTTGGCATTATCTACTAAAATAAAAATGCACATTCCACTTACAGAAATTTCTCCTATAGACCATATGTGTGTGTAAAGAGGTTGTAGAATATTTTACAGACTGTAGAGTATTTAAGTGGCCTTGTTTGTAGCAAAATACTGAACATAATATAAATTCCACCAACCAATAAGAGAATGAGTCAGTAATTCACGGTACATACATACATACAATGAAATGCTAGGCAGTCATCAAAAAGAACAAGGTAGCCCAATATGGTGCTAATTAAGGAGCCCAAAACACATCAAAGAAACCAAAGCAAGGCACAGAACATCCTGCATAACAAAGCAACCACTCATGTATCAAACCAAGCAAAACAGAAAAACAAAAAACTTCACAAAATTGGTAAGAGGAATTACACATCCTCAAATTTGCTTGATATGCAGAGAATTTCCCCAGGAGGATATACAAGAGACTGGTAATAACCACCATGGCATCTTGAGAAGCAAACTGTGCCACTAAGGGAAAGTGGGAATAGATGACTTTACTTTTCGCTATATATATTTTTGGTACTCTTTGAAATTTTTAAAACATATATGGTACATTATATCTAAAAAGTATTAATAAAAAAAACAGAAGAAACCAAAGTAATCCGAAAAAGGCCCCTAAGCCAATGGTGCCTTGCACATTCAAAGTGCTCAAAGACACTGAATGAATGAACAAAACAACGTTACTGCCAAAGCTAAGCACAGAGTTAACAGCAAATTCAATTACAAGTATGGTTTTCGTGTTTTGCATAAGAAACATTTACCCAAAAGAAGAAAAGGATTTGGAATTCAAACCAGAGTTGTCTGTACTCAACATCGACTTTGTGAGACTACACTGAACGCAGGCTAGGAATGGTAAATATGCTAGTACAACAGCAGCAACGTGCCGCTGTGTGACGTTAGGAGATTCTGACATTTCAAAAGGTGTTACTACATAGAGAAGAAGAAAGAAAAATCAATTCCTCACAGGGCACAAGTAAGTGAGGGAGGATGGATATGATGTTAAAAAAAAAATCAGAGCCAAAATAACTGAAGAGTGTGAACACAGAAAAGCAGTCCGTTCTCACGCCATCACCAAAGTAATTTAAGGATCTGTTGGGTGCCTTAAATTTGCTGTGCCCTCCAGATAAGCTTTTTACAGGTCAAATCATTTTACAATGAACTCCAAGGGACTATATTATTACTTGAAATAAGTGAATTAAATTGAGGCTTGGAAAACTGTGTTTCTACAGAATATTCCAGTCTTTAATAGAATGACCGACCTGTTCGTGATTTTTTAAAATATTGCAGCAAGTAAAATATGACATATAACCAATCAAATCACTGCCCCTCCAACTAGCCACATGACCACGTTGCTGACGATGGCTAAAGCATGATGTCACCATGCACTGCCCGTCGGGTCTCAACACTGCACATGCATTAGCTCAACCCTGATCCCAGCCCTTGGAGACAGGCACTGACCGCTACCATCCCTGTGCCACAGCAAAGGCACTGAGGCACAGAGGATGAACAATTTGCCTCAAGTTACCCTCAGACCCAGGATTGAGCACAGCTGCCCACCACACCATTCCCCTGATATGTATGTCATCAAATCTCTCTCATCCTCCAGTCATGGATCTATGAAATTAGAGTTAGGCTAGAACTGTATAAGCCATTCCAGCTCAAATAGTCCAAACTCTTCAACTGGTATAAAGAAAAACCTCTCCACTGGCAAGATGCTCTCCTGGAGTACGTAAGTGGATGAGACTTTACTACATGATTGTAGTAATTTACATTTATTTTTCTCTATGTGCCAGGGACAATGCTAAGCACTTTACACAAATTCTCTCACCGTAAAGCACTTAATAGGGGGAAAAAAATCAGTTACCTTTAGGAAGTAAAATTCCTCACTCAGAGAAAACCAATGTTAACAGTTTGCTAAGAATTATTCCAGCCTTTTTATGCATGCATACACAACTATTACTTATGAAACTGGGGTCACACTATACACATCATTTTGTAACCTGCCCTTTTTCAAGTAACAAAGCAAGAATATTTGCTCAAGTTCACAAATAGTAATTGAAAAAGTATCATTTTTTAATGGCTATACTTGGTTCCATCTCTGGATGATTTTGTAGGGTTTAACTGATTTTTAAAAATTCTGAACCTATTCATTTTGAATGAATTCAGGCTTATAATTTCAGACTTACAAAATTTTGCATAAAAAAATACAAGGAATTTCCACACACCCTTCTCTCAGCTTCTCCATATGTATTATCAACACTTTCATCCACTCATTTTAGCATCTATGATAACTCACGCCTGAAACAATACTACTGTGGCATTTGCCAAATGGTGACTTTCTATTTCTATCATTTGTATATTTATTTATTAGAGTTCTACATAAAGAAGAATTCTACCTTCTCCCTCATTTATTTATTCAATAATTTATTTGTATCAGTTTGAACTCACGGATATTTTGTTTTAGTTTATAGACTGTAATGCAACACTATTATTGTCACTCAAATATCAGGTAGGCTAGATATACTGCTAATTCTGCATATCCAAACTGAGAAAAACAGTAATCGATTAGCTTTTGTCTGTTTTTTGCAGTCACCTCACTTTCTATTTCTGGTCTCACCACTCCCTCTCAGCTGAGAATAACGAGGCTGTATTTGTAGGATCCTGGGCTGGCGTTTGAGATGAAGCCTCTGCCCACGGATCACAGCAGTTAACTGGCCTCCTAGGGAACTCAACCCAGGCACTAACTTAACATGTTTCACAACTAAAGATAAATTCTACATAATCTCAAAAATGAGGTAGCCCAATTTGTCCTCATATTAACATTTCAGCTAAATGGCTGCTTATTTTCATATTTACTGTTCATGAGAAACCACTGTTTTAAATATGAAGTTCAGCCTTCTTGGTCAAAAGCAAACACCACATTGGAACTTAGAAGGTTAAAATATAATGCTTTATATACAACACAGACTCAAGCATGAATGGATAGCTGCAAAACCAAATCACCTTTATTGAGTGACCATTCTGTAAAAGGTCCCACGTTAGGTACTGTGGAAGACACAGATGCATGGCCCCTACATAGCACAGGAGCCAGGAATTAACCTTCACTGTAAGTCTTCACACAAGAGTAAGGAGCTTGGTCTCTGCAGCCAAACAGAACTGAGGTAGAAATCCAGTTCCTCCATTACTTGCTGCATGGCCTTGGTTATTTAACTTTCCTAAGCCTCTGTTCTTCTTCGTAAAATGTGGATAACAGTAATACCTATAACACAGTGGGGGAGAGAGCAGTTAAAGATTCAAGAAGGGAACACATGCAAAGTATCATGCCTGACACACGGGGAGCATCTTACAAAGCTTCCCTGTTACACTTACTATGACAATTGTGAAGTGTATTTATTCTACTCTAGGCACAGTCTCTAGATACAACACATTTATGCAATAAATAAATTAAAAGGAGGTGAAAAAAATACTCAGTGAAAACAGATTCTTTTAGTCCTAATATTTCTGTTATGCTTCAGTTTGATGGTTGCTTATGCACTATGAGCAATGACAGAAAAACACATTTGATACACACCTGTATTTTTGACTCCATTGCTTGAAGGGACTGGACCACAGGGATGCAATAGGCAAGAGTTTTACCTTTCAAAAAAAAAGCAGAAGCAATTAAAATCACACACCCTACAGATGTTTAAGAAAAGCAAAGGATGTAAAGGAAACAGGCTCTGCTATCTTCCAGTAGTACTAAATTCTAGGGAAAGGGAAACTGCCCATTATACATCCAAGAGAAGTGAAAAGGGACTTCCCCTGTCTGCCACAAATCCCAATTTTGCTTTGTAAAATGAGTACTTCTAAAAAACTAGAAGCTTCAGTTCCTTTATTCATCTAACAAGAGATAACGATATGTCTCCCAAATTACACAGAAGCTCAACTTGATGGCTGTCTGTAGGAGCCAGAAAATTCCTCCTTTGAAGTCCTCCCTACCCTCTCAGATGAGCTTCAGTGGTCAATTACATCTCTGCAGTGCTGATGTGATTGGGAGCCAGTCTGTACTCTAGAGCTAATCTCTAATTGCAGAGAAACCAACAGATGGCAAAAACTTTGGGTATCCAGCCTTCTGAATGGTGGCCGAGCTGGTGGGAGTAAAGGATAGCTGACTGCCCACTGAGGGCACATGAGGGTCAAAAAAGCAAGTCCAGACTGGCCTGGAACACGGCAGAAACAGTGTTCTGTCCTCGAGCACAACTGGCATCTGATCAGTGTACGCTCAGGCCAGAAATCACTCTGTGTTTAACACCAGAAGAAGACATTCATTCTCCACTAGAGTGAGAATGGGCAACTGTGGCCACCACACCTTGGTAAAGCCCCGAAATAGGCTCTGAGGAAATTATAGCCGAACCTGACTACTTCCTAATCATTTCTCATCGTGGTACCATCAACTGTCCCCTTCCTTTCATTATGTGAACACATTCAGGGCTCTAATCAAAAGCATGGCCTCCCTCCCCCAAACGAAACAAAACTGCCACCACCACCAACCCAGACACCGCATGGCAAAACCTAGTGCATGACCATGGGCCTGAGCAGATGAAAAAGGGCAGAGATGAAATGAGACTAACCTGAGCCCGTCTGGGATCTCACGAGAGCATCTCTGCCTTCCAGCAACACAGGAATACTTTGCTTCTGAACACTGGGCCACCCGAAAAAAAGAACACACTTTACCTATATTACCCAGTTACTGGCAGAGACGCAGGATACATAAAAGGCAACTGCCCACACTTGGATTCATCTGGCAACTGCCTCCTTAGAAGCTATCAAAGCATTCAAATAAAGGTGTGAAGAAACTTTTGATGATTATAAAGATCAAACCCTAGTTATATTTTTAGAACTTAGCCTGAAAATGGTGAGGCAAACCAGAGACTGGCCATTCTATTAAACTAATTCTTTTAAAAATGGGACAGGCAGCCGACTGCAGTGGCTCACACCTGTAATCCCTGCACTTTGGGAAGCTGAGGTGGGTGGATCACCTGAGGTAAGGAGTTTGACCAGCCTGGCCAACATGATGAAACCCCATCTCTACTAAAAATACAAAAAATTAGCTGGGAGTGATGGCACGCACTTGTAATCCCAGCTACTCAGGAGGTTGAGGCAGGAGAATCGCTTGAACCTGGGAGGCAGAGATTGTAGTGAGCCAAGATCGCACCACTGCACTCCAGCCTGGGCAACAAGAGCAAAACTCCGTCTCAAAAAAAAAAAAAAAAAGAAAAAGAAACAGGCATGACAACAAATCAGAGTTACCACCAAGTGTATCACACACTCTTGCCCTCACTAACAGGAATATGAAACACAACGAAACATAATGGAAAGGTTTCCATGCAGGATAGCAGGAGGAAGCTCGCCAACTATTCAGAGAGCCAGCAGCAGCTGTCCATTCTCCAGGAAAAGGTTATGGACATGCTGAAATGTGTGTCTACACATGTATTTTAAAACAAGAAACAAAAGAGACACAAAAATCACTTAAATTTGGTTGATAAAAAACTTGTGGGGAGGTCCCTTAATTTGGACTTTAATATTCCTATTAATTTTTACTAGTAAAAGTAAAAAATCATTATGAAAATGCACAGAAGCACAAATACTCAAAACAAGGAAGCTCATCTCCTCGCACCTATTTTACTTCTTTATTTTCCAGGAGTCATTCCCTGTAACAAACATTGAAAACATTTTTTCAGTATCCCACTCTATCCAACTGAACATTTACTCTTGTCTTTTTGGTTGACCCTAATTCTTACTACTAAGAAACGACATGGTCACATGCTATATTTTGGCCAAATTCTTTTCAGGGAAGCACAGAAAACAGCGGCGCTCATGCAGCCCACCTTCTGGATGAGACGTCTCTTGCGGTTCAGAGCCAAGGGCAGAACTGGATGGAAAGCCAGTCTTTCCATTTAACAGGTGGAGAGAATGAGTAGCTAAGTGAGACGACAACCCTTTATGGTCGATAACCTGGCACTGTGTTCCAACGCCAAGACACAAATTTGCTCTGCCTTGCACACACAGGTTTCGTCCGGTTATACCCACGTAATGCCTAAGAAATCAAGAGGAGCCTGAAGTTCTTACCTGGTCATACTAGACATTTTTAAGACCGTATTTATTGTGGAAATCTAAAAGAGGAGATGAAAAAGCTTTAATTAAT
This sequence comes from Homo sapiens, assembly GCF_000001405.40. NCBI lineage: Eukaryota > Metazoa > Chordata > Mammalia > Primates > Hominidae > Homo > Homo sapiens. The sequence continues at coordinate 132,661,284 of NC_000009.12, forward strand.
ATTTTGATACAAAATATTTAACGGAAATTACACAAGAAAGGAGAAACTATTGAGAGAACATTGACTACTATGATCAAATTAAGTTCCTCCACCCAGGTGGTGCTCTCTACTTGGGGCGATTCTGCCACCCGCCCTAACTCCCTGGGGACACAGGGCAAAGTCTGGAAAAATTTGTGCTTGTTATAACCAGGGGAGGGGGGCACTGCTGGCATCTAGTGGGTAGAGGCCTGGGATGCTGCTGAACATCCTACAGTGCACAGGACAGTCCCCAAAACTAAGACTGACCTAGTCCAAAATGTCCACAGCACCAAGGCTGAGAAACCCTGATCCACCCCCCAGGTGAGAAAACAAGTTTAGGTAACCCACCCTACAGAAGGGGTAGTAAGCTGTAACCGAAAGTGCAGAGGAAACCAAGCCTGCCTAAAAGTTAATATATTTTTTTCTTCTTACTCATGAGTCTGGAGAACTCACTTTTTTTCCTTTAAAGTGTCCATTTGTTTGTAGAACACACACCAAAATACTCTTCTTCCCTTACTTCTCTAAAACTGTGGACGTCCTTTAACAGCAAGATGCCAGCACAGTTCCCTCTCCTATGGCCACTGTGACATCTGCCACCACAAATGGCTTCACCACTACAACTATCCAGTAAATAGGGAGCTGTTTTAAGTTTAGCAAGTGATGTCCTGACCCTAAATCACGTTAGTCGAGGAAAGTCTTCAATACTTAAAAAAACACACACACAAAAACACAAAAAAACAGAGGATGGGGGAAGGGGGGGCCAGAAAACAGTGAACAGTAACCTAAGCACCCTTGAACTGTCCTAGAAGAGTATCATATCAATCTGAGTTCATTCAGGTAACTTAGAGCAGAAACAAACACTCTCTGATCTCTCCTCCTAGAGCGGCCATTTCACAGACCTTCTGAACGGACAAACACACCAAAAAAAACTGACCCAGAAAACACTGAAAGGTACTTACTAAATGTGGGTGGAGGCCCAGCTCATGAAAAGCAGCTGAAGTAAACACTTTTTCTTGCACCTGCTTTACCACAGGTCTGCAAATGATGAACAAGAACCCAGGCATCAGTGCCAATATTAACAAAGAAAAGGCAGAACACATTTTTTTCTTCCTGAAGGGCATCCGCCCCTGGACATACCTGTGGAGTTCTGGAATGTCAGGGTTGTTTTTAAACAGTGATGAAGTCTTAATGCACTGTCTCTCCTCCTGGTTTCTATCACTTGTGCTAACCGAATGCTTCTTTGGAGAAAACATTTTTTGTGCGTTCCCCTTAAAAGTCCTCTGAGTTTCTTTAACACTAGTTTTCTTGGCTGGGAGAAATGAAGTTTCGTTCCTCCGTTTCGCTGGGGGAGCCTCACTGGACGCTTGGTATTTTCTTTTCGTAGCCTTTGCTTGCTGCGTTGTTCCCAGAAGGAAAGATCAACAAGAGATGCATTAGTCCATGAAAACAGAGCTCGGAGTGAAGCCTGACTGCCCACAGAATTGCATCTCTCCCTGCAGAGATCATTATGCCCCATATGTCAAGCAACAGTTTAGGGTTTGCAATCAGACTCTTTGACTCAGCTTCTTCCAAAAGGTAAAGAAAAGAAAAAAGAAAAAAGTCTCAGCTCACTCATCTACCAGACCTCACCAGCCATTCTTAACTGTTAAATCAATCAAGATAAGGTAAGGATGAAGAAGCAGCATTTTTCCAGTTGAATGTTAACTAATGGAGTCTGTTTTAAGGGAAGCAAGAATCCACCTTGTGAAGGGTGTGTCAATCCATATTCCTAGGAACCCATTCACCCAAGGAGAAAAGAGGGGTGGGGGAAAACGAATCTTTTCTCTCCACCAACAAAGCACACTGGAGACCGCACAGGAGAGAGGGGCGAGGGGGAATGCGCATCTCAGCCCGTGCCCAGGAAGCGGAAACATTCATTACCATTCTACCCTAGCGCCTGGATCTCTCTCATTCTCTCCTCTCAAGCTGCTCCTCCAGATTCAGACGGCCTGGAGAAAATTCCTACGCCCTGTTCCCATTCCAAATGAGAATGCTGCTCCATCCATCACCTCTACCACAATTACTTCCTACCTCCCTTGCCTTTCGAGTCTCTGAGTCCCCGAGTCTCTGCCTGATTGCGGATTACAGGCTACACAGCACTAGGGATCTCTTGCCTGTTGCTTCTTATTTCCATTACAGGAATGTGCTTAAATGCATGATGTCCAAACTTCCCCTAGGAGAAGGAACATCCAATTCCTCTATTTTCTTTGGCCTTCTTTTCTGATTTACAAATGAATATAAAAGCATCCCTTGAGTAGCCAGTGCTTGTTATTCTGGAGTTTTGGGTTCTCTCAGAATATGTTATTTTCCTCTTTGCTTGAAATAATGACTTGGTTTTACATGTCGGCTTTCTTTAGCCATGACTGTCAGCTTCAGACTAACCTACCAATAACAACAGTTCTTTGTTCCCTAAGGATTCTTTTACCTAAGTAATTAAATACAACTTCAAATATCTAATATTAATAAAGTAAAAACGGACATATTCCATCTTACAAATTTATTTTTTACAAAATCTCAAGTTTATGAATTTTCAGATTAAAGAAAGAGATGAAATCAAGTTTCAGGTTTGTTGAATCATTTGCAAGACAGTATGAAATGTGCAGACTTCACCTGATTTACAGACCCAGGACTCCTGGAGCACAAAAACTCTTAAAGGCCACTCCCGCCATACATGGACTTCCTGACAGTCCCGGGCAGGTGGACTGGCAGCCTCTCCCTGCACACCTCCTGCATCCCATGAGGCAGCCCATTCTGTTCATGACCCATTCTAGGAATCAGGAAGCTGTCTCTGACATTTATGCAAGATCTGCATCCTTGAACATCTACCTAATAGTCTGAGGTATACTTTCTGCAGCAACACAGAACAAGCTTACTTCCTCTTAACACATAACATTCCTTCATATATCACATAACTCTCTTTTCTTTCTTCTTTGGACTCAATATTTCAAACAGGACACAACTTTAGATCCTTTATCATCTTGGTCACCCTTTATTCCTATGTCAACATCTCTCTAAAAGCAAGTACTCAGAGTTAAACCCATTAGGTTTTCCATTGCTCTTAGGCTGAACTAAAAAATCTGTAATATTGCCAGGTGCCATGGATCATGCCTGTAATCCCAGCACTTTGTGAGGCTGAGGTGAGCTGATTGCTTGAGGCCAGGAGTTCGAGACCAGCCTGGGCAATATGGTGAAACCCTGTCTCTACAAAAAAATACAAAAATTAGCTGGGCATGGTGGTGCATGTCTGTAGTCCCAGCTACCTGGAGGCTAAGTTGGGGGCATCACCTGAGCCCGGGAGGTCAAGGCTGGATTGAGTCGTGATGACGCCATGATGCCACTGCTCTCCAGCCTGGGTGACAGAGTAAGACCCTCGCTCAAAAAAAAAAAAAAAAAAAAACTGTAATATGATCAACAAAGCCTTCTAGAATCTGACCTCTGGCCACCTCACCAGCTTCAGCTTTACTCTCTGCCACTCGGGTCTTCCTTCAGTTCCTAGAATGTGCTGTGCTCCTTCCTCCTCCTTTGCACATGCTACTCCCACATCCAGGACTCCACTCTGCCCTCTGGCTGGCCACCCTGTACTCATCCTTCAGATGGAGGCTGACCAACTCCTTCCTCAGAAGAGCCTTTCCTGACCTCTCTTCACCCAGTCAAGCCAAGGTGCTCTGTTCTTGGCTCTCCTGGCACCCGTATTCTCCTCCATAGCATTCGACAAAATAATAAGCATAGCACGGAACTCGTTGTTTTATGTCTGTCTTTCCCGTTAGATTGTAAGCTCCACAAGAAAGGGGCCAGTCTGTCCTACATAGCACTGTATCCCCTGTATAGGCCCCTGTCTGGCAGAGTAAGCACTCAACAAATACTTGTAAGATGAATGAATAACACACAATGGAATTATCCCTTTCCACCAGCTGGATACGGTTCTACTACTTGTTAGCTTTTCTCCCCCAGCATCCAAAACACATTCATTTAGCAGTTGTCAAGAAGCTTCGTTCTGAAGATACAAAGTAGATTTGCCAAGCCCTTGAGGAAGTTACACACTAGCAGAGGAGACAAAAGTATAAAGGCATAAATCCAACCTCTACATTGGTGCTACAGAAGAGGTACATAAAAAAGGCTATGAGAGCACCAACAAAAGCTAGACTAACATGGCCTCCTTCTGGCAAAGGAGAGGGAGGCAAGAAAACCAAGAATGCTTCGTGAGGTAGCCTCTGAGCAGAGAGGGAGCAAGGACATATCTGAATCTACTAAAAATTACTACTAAAAATCTAAAATCTACTAAAAATCTACTAAAAAATTCGTTTGAGTCTCTGTTGCCGCACCTGTAAAATGAGGGGATTTTGGCAGATGACCTCTAGGGCCCATCAAGACCTGAGAGTCTAAGATGCCATGGCTTTGATATTAATAAACATACTGAGTAGTTACTATATGCCAAGGAGTATACTAAGTACTCACATGTATTCTCTCATTTATCAACACAGGTACTGTTATCATCTCATTTTAAGATGCAAACATGGAGGCAGAGATGTGACGTAATTTGTCCCAGAATCACTGAAGGAACCAGGCTTTCCCCAGGCATCATGATTCTACATTCTAGAGGCCTCACAACAATACTATAATCCCTTTTATTAACTGCATCCTCTTTGCTTTAGAAAACATGTGTATGCTGGAAACTTACTCTTTCTGCTCAACATTATAGTTTTGCCTTGTATAGTCTTAATCCACATGGATTTGGTTTTTTATACATAGTGCGAGATAAGGTTCCAATTTCAGTTTTTAAATTCACACAACCACACAACCAATTGTTCCAGTGCCACTTATTAAAAATGTCAGCTTTTCCTAAGCAATTTGCAGTGTCATCTCGGTCATGAATAAAATTTCCATTTTTGTATTGGTCTGCTTCTGGGCTCTCTTTTCTCCTTTGCTGGTCAATTTGTACAGTTTTGCACCTTATTCCAGACTGTCTGAAGAAATAGAGCTTCATAATAATTCTTAATTTTTGATAAGTTAAAAAAAAAAAAGAAAACATCATGTGTAGTGATTCCAATTTTGAGTTGTTCTCTAAAAGGACATACACCAAAATGGCAACAAGCATTGTCTGAGTATGGCAATTATGAGTGGGTTTTTAAAAATCTTTTTTCCTAATTTTCTATAATAAATTTGTATTAATATCAGAAATTTTTTTTTGTTTTGCTTTTGTTTTGAGACAGTCTCACACTGTCACCCCAGCTGGAGTGCAGTGATCTCTGCTCACTGCAACCTCCACTGGTTCCTGGGTTCAAGTGATTCTCGTGCCTCAGCCTCCCGAGTGGCTGGGATCACAGGCACCCACCACCACACCCAGCTATTTTTGTGTTTGTTTTTTGTTTTTGTTTTTTTTTTTTGAGACAGAGTCTCGCTCTGTCGCCCAGGCTGGAGTGCAGTGGCGCAATCTCGGCTCACTGCAAGCTCCGCCTCCTGGGTTCACAGCATTGTCCTGCCTCAGCCTCCCGAGTGGCTTGGACTATAGTCACCCACCACCAGCCACCACACCCGGCTAATTTTTTGTATTTTTAATAGAGACGGGGTTTCACTGTGTTAGCCAGGATGGTCTCGATCTCCTGACCTCGTGATCCACCGGCCTCGGCCTCCCAAAGTGCTGGGATTACAGGCGTGAGCCACTGCGCCAAGCCTTTTTTTTGTATTTTTAGTAGAGATGGGGTTTCACCGTGTTGGCCAGGCTGGTCTCCAACTCCTGACCTCAAGTGATCTGCCTGCCTCGGCCTCCCAAAGTGATGAGATTACAGGTGTGAGCCACCTCGCCCAGCCCAGAAAGTATTTTTAGAGAGAAAATTTCTGCATAGTGTTAGATACAGCATAATTTAAGCTGTTAGTCTTTCTAAATCCAGTATATTAGCTACCCATCTCAAGTTCAGGCTACTGGCAAGTCTCATCAGCATATCCATCATTCTCATTCACGACATCAATGAAAATGTAGATCTAGGCCTGGCTGGCTCACGCCTGTAATCCCAGCACTGTGGGAGGCCGAGGTGGGCAGATCACAAGGTCGGGAGATGGAGACCATCCTGGCTAACACACAGTGAAACCCCATCTCTATTAAAAATTCAAAAAAATTAGCCGGGTGTGGTGGTGGGCACCTGTAGTCCCAGCTACTCAAGAGGCTGAGGCAGGAGAATGGTGTGAACTCAGGAGGCAGAGCTTGCAGTGAGCAGAGATCGCGCCACTGCACTCCAGCCTGGGAGACAGAGCGAGACTCCATCTCAAAAAAACAAAACAAAACAAAACAAAAAACGTAGATCTAGACAAGGCCACCGCAGACACCTGTCATCACTGCATTAATTAATCCCCTTTTGATAACCATAAAACTAGGTAGCCTATATGTATTTACTCAATGCTTCTTATGTGTTAGTTACCAGGCTCTGCAGAGGACACAAGCACCCCACTGACCTCCTGATGTAGCAATCTATTATCCAAAATGGAGCCAAAACTACTTTATACTGTTGGCATTTATTAAGTGCTTCTATGGGCCAGACAACGTATAGTCTTCATGTATACTATCTCAATGAATCCTTACAATAGTCTTCTATGGAGTAGAAATTATTGTTCTCATTTTATAGATAGGAAAAGTGAGAATCAGAAAGATTAAGTGACTTGCTCCAAGGTCACAGAGCTAGTGTGCAGCAAGGGCAGCATCCGAATCCCAAGTGTATCCTATTCCAAATCCCATGCTCCCAGTGGCTCTTCTATCCTTCTCCCCGCTCCACCCAGATGCAGCTACACTTGGCTAGCTGGACTCCTTACTGCCAAACATCTAAATCCTAAAGTTTGATGATCACTTTATGATTTTAATCAGTCTTTCTGTCCTGTAGTCCTCTTTTCTAAGAGACAAATCAACTATCCTAGAAACCAGTTTTCAGTTACTGCTTAAGTTAATTCTAGGGCATCTTACCCCTCTCTAGCAATGGGATTATATCAATGAAACCGATTTTCCTATCCCCCTCCATTGCATGGGGATGAAAATCTGTCCCATTTTTGAAAGCTCTTCAAAAAAACTCCTAGTTGCCAGTCCTCATTCCTGAAACAAACGAACCTTCCTCATGGCGACCAAAAGAGTTAAACTCAAAAATATCTGAAGAGACTTATTCTGAGCCAAGTATGAGTGACCATGGCCCATGATCCAGCCCTCGAGAGGTCCTGAGAACATGTGCCCAAGGTGGTCGGGGTGCAGCTTTTTTTTTTTTTTTTGAGACGGAGTCTCGTTCTGTTGCCCAGGCTGGAGTGCAATGGCATGATCTCGGCTCACTGCAAGCTCCGCCTCCTGGGTTCACGCCATTCTCCTGCCTCAGCCTCCCGAGTAGCTGGGACTACAGGCGCCCACCACCACGCCCAGCTAATTTTTTGTATTTTTAGTAGAGACGGGGGTTTCATCTTGTTAGCCAGGATGGTCTCGATCTCCTGACCTCGTGATCCGCCTGCCTCGGCCTCCCAAAGTGCTGGGATTACAGGCGTGAGCCACCGCGCCCGGCCGCGGCTTGGTTTTATACATTCTAGAGAGGCATGAGACATCAAATACATTTCAGAAATACACTGGTTTTGTCCAGAAAGGTGGGACAACTCAAAGCGGGGGCTTCCAGGCTATAGGTAAATTTAAACATTTTCTAGTTGACGGTTGAGTTTGTCTAAACACCTGGGATGGATACAAAGAAAATGCTCAGGTTAAGATAAAAGATTGTGGAGACCAAGGTTCTTTTCAAGTCTTTAGTGGCTGCCCTTAGAGACAACAGACAAGTGTTTCCTATTCAGATCTTTGAAAGGTGGTAGACTCTTAATCTCTTTAGGATTGGGAGGGCCTGGAAGAAAAAGATCTAGCTATGTTAATAGAGATTCTTTGCAGATGCAAATGTCCACCCCGCCCGCCCCCCCCAAAGAACAGCTTTGCAAAGCCATTTCAAAATGTGGCAAAGAAACATGTTTAGGGGTAATATTTTAACTTTCTTCTTTGTCACATAATGTTAGGCCAGAGCCAGTTTGGAAAGTAAGTCACGATATATAGGGTTAAATGAAAGCCATCTGATGAGAATTTATGGTTTGTAGGGCATGACTCTTCCCAGACAGGAATGTGGGCAAGATAAAAAAAAAAATCAGAGCTTAGTCCGCACTCAGTCGAGGAAACTGGCTTAGAGAAGTTAAGCTTTGGCCTGGGACTTGCGCCGGAACTTCAGGTCCTACCTTCCACGGGAAACAGCCTCTAATTCCTTCCTTTACTTTTCTAGGCGCAGGAGCCAGCTCCCCGCCCCTCCACACCGCTCCACTCCCCGCTTCCAGGCGCATCCCTGCGGGTGGTGTTCCGGTTAGAGACACGTGTTTCGGCGCAACTTGTCCCGAAGCTGCCCGGTGTCTTTCTCCCGCTTAACTCCGTGAATGACTCGAAACCCGACTCCAAGGCACGGCTGCAGCTCGCGGCGCGCCCACAGCCGGGCCGCGGGTGGGGACGGAGCTGAAGCCGGGTCAGAACTCACCCGACTCGCCTGGGCTGGGGGACGTCTGGAGAACGTCCTGGGGTTGTCGAAGAGCGAACCGTCGGCGGCTGCCATGGTCTGCGTGGGTGACGCGTGGTGCAGCAGCGAGCCCGGTGCGCAGACTGCTGGGCCCGGGACCCCACGTGGGACGCGCGAGGACCCTGCGCCACCGCCCCTTCCGGGTCCGGAACGGCTCCAGCTGTACGGACTCGTCCCGAGGGGAGCCGGGGACGGCGGCACCGGGCGGGTAGGGACAAGACTACCGCGCGTGCCCCCGCCTGGTGGCAGCCCCTCTCTGCGTCCCTCGCGGCCTGGCAAAATTACATTCGGCCGAGAGTTCACGCTGGGGAAGCTCTCTGAATGCCTCTGAGAAGCGAGATCCGGCGCCATCTCACCGACGAGCCTCCCCTTTACCGCCCCGTGCGTTTCCTCAGCACTTTAGGAACTAAAGCCTGTCTGGGTAGCTCCCTAACAGGCTCTGGAGCTCAATCCCTGGGCAGGGAAAAGGGGGTCCTCGGGGCTCCCCGCTCGCTGTCCTTTTTCTGGACAGGCAGTTCCTTGGCCACCTGGTAGGGCCGCGTTGCCTGGCAACGGCGGGGTCCTTCTTGGCTCGGCGGCGCTCGGGGCCTGAGGGGAGAAAACCGCCGCGGAGGGCGCTGGGGGTGGCGGCGGCGGTCCGGGAGGTGGTCGCGCGACTGCGTGGAGCGCCAGGGCGTCCGACCTCTGCACCTGAGAGAAGATGAACACGGCCGACCAGGCCCGGGTGGGGCCCGCGGACGACGGGCCTGCGCCGTCTGGGGAGGAGGAGGGAGAGGGGGGCGGCGAGGCGGGCGGGAAGGAGCCAGCAGCGGACGCGGCCCCGGGGCCCAGCGCTGCATTCCGCCTCATGGTGACTCGGCGGGAGCCGGCCGTGAAGCTGCAGTATGCGGTGAGCGGCCTGGAACCGCTGGCTTGGTCCGAGGACCACCGCGTGTCTGTGTCCACGGCCCGCAGCATCGCTGTGCTGGAGCTCATCTGCGACGTGCACAACCCGGGCCAGGACCTGGTTATCCACCGCACCTCGGTGCCCGCACCGCTCAACAGCTGTCTCCTCAAAGTAAGTCATCCCCCGCCATCCCTGGGGTCTTCCCCTGTCCCCCTCTCGCGGCCGCATCATCCGTCCCAGGGGAATCCGATCCCACACTCTGTCCGGGGATTTCCCTCTTCGCACCGAGCGCTGGGGATTTATTAAGCAGCCAGGGTTACCACAGCTTAAAAAAAAAAAAAGAAAAGCTCTGCAGCTGTCTGCACCCTGTTTCCCCAGGTCACCCGCCGCCGCAAACACAGGTACACACCCAGGGGGCTTCCCGGAGTTGAGTCCCAGGAACCCCTCCTTCGCCCCTCCGTCGGGCCCGCACATGGAGCGGGTTACTCGATGGTGCTTTCTGAGACTCCACCCCCTGTAGATCCAACCCGGGGCCTGCCTCTGTCGTTGCTGCTATTGTTTGGGGCCGACTTTCCGAGGTTCTTGGCTGGCTTTGTCTACTGTGTGTGTCCTCCTCTCGCGCCTCTTTAGCTTCAGAAAAGAAAAACTGGTCCCATCCATTGTCTTAATTGTTTCAGTGACTTTATTATGAATGGTCCTCGCCTCTCCTTGGGCAAACGGGTAAATACTGGATCTCGGGGTTTGTACTTTAGTTTTTCTTTACTAGCTAAACATCTTTGGGATGTTGAATGAAAATAAAGATTCGAAACAACTACCTATCTTAAACTTCAAGCGCAAGGTCAAGTAGTAAGCCATAGCGTTCCTTTTAGTTGCTTAGAGGTGTAAAAACTTTCCATATATCCTTGATAGAGGTGTACGCTTACATGTGAACTGTCAGTGTATATTCATACATTCAATAGATATTTGAATACCATTCTGCTTGGTGCTGCCCCATGTTCTGGAAATAAAGCAGTGTACAAAACAGAACCCCTGCCCTCATGAAGCTTACATTCTTTGGCAAGTCAAGCACAAATGATAAGGTCCTGTCAGGTAGTGATAAGCACTGTAAAGATGTGTATCCGCACATAGAGAACATGTTTATGTGTTCGTAAACTCTTATTTTGGAAAACCATTGAAAATATGAGTCATTAGCTATAGGTAGGGTGCAGATAACCCTCATCACTTTGTAGCATACTTAATTCAAGTTTCAAACATCTTTCTGTTGTTAGATTGTTAGTCAGCTTGTATGACTAAGCTTCCTCTAAGATCTTCTTGAAGAAGATATGAACACATTTGTTCAAGTGTAAACAAATCAGATAGACAGATGCAACCCTATGAAATTGAGAAATACAAAAGGAGGGAGGCAGAAGAAAGGTGATTTAAAAGGTGTATCTTCTGCTGTAAAGGAATTTAACTGTTTCCAAGGATGTTCATCCGCACAGCAACTCAAGGAAAGTATGTATGTCAGTATAGTAGACATCGAATACCTTAGCAGAGAGAATGTAAAGAAAGGAGGGAGTAGTAAGGGGAGAGACTTATGGGGCAGGTCATCTGGTGGTGAATCTGCAGCAGTCCTAAAGAAGGTAGTGTTTGGTTTGTAAGAGGAAGGAAGGAAAGGGCATTCCAGGCGGCAGGAATGAGGCATTCATCCCATGTGCATACACGTTTAAGTCATGAACATAATTAATTATTGTTTGTATAATGACGGATCAGTACATGAGCTCAAGTAGGTCTTCTAGAGAGTCCGAGAAAGTAAGATGAGACCAGTTTGTGGACTTGGAAGGTCGGTATGAGGAAGTTGGCTTCAATCTAGGAAGTCTTTAAGATGCTGTTACAGTTTCATTAGCATAGAGTGACCTGCTGTGGTTCAGGAACATTACTGGATAGAGGCAAGAAGATGATTGTTGTGATCAGTGTAAAATAAAAGTGAAGAGACTGGGCTTTGGCACAAGATAGGCCTATCTATAAAAGGGGGATAATGAAGCGTTGTTTAGGTTTTTTGGAAGATTAAACACACATAATCACTTGGCCCAGTTCTTGGCACGCTGTAAATGCTCAAGGTGAAAATATAATGAGTTGGGCCGGGCGCGGTGGCTCACGCCTGTAATCCCAGCACTTTGGGAGGCCGAGGCGAGCGGATCACGAGGTCAGGAGATCGAGACCATCCTGGCTAACACAGTGAAACCCCGTTTCTACTAAAAATACAAAAAATTAGCCGGGCGTGGTGGCGGGCGCCTGTAGTCCTAGCTACTGGGAGGCTGAGGCAGGAGAATGGCGTGAATCCGGGAGGCGGAGCTTGCTATGAGCCAAGATTGCGCCACTGTACTCCAGCCTGGGCGACAGAGCCAGACTCCGTCTCAAAAAAAAAGAAAGAAAATATAATGCAGTTATACAGGTATGAAGGAGTAGGAGTCTGGATTAATGTCGTGGTTGTGGACATGAGTATTCTGATAAAATTTTGACTGTCATTTTGCCTCAGTTAACATTTACCACAACTGCTAACTAGTAACAGGAAATCCTTATATAGCTCTCTTATAGTTGACAAATGGCTTCTATGAAATTAATTAGTAACATCTTCCCCTTCTGTACTGTTGTTTTTTTTTTAATATGCACATCACATAAACCATCAGTCATTTAGCAGTCTTTTTAGACTGATTGAAGTGAATGAATGCTGAGTTGACCCTGCAGTTCTACAAGAGCCCTCTGTGGGTTAAAACTGGTGTGACGGTAGGAATGTAAAGAAGTCTGTGTCAGCACTTTGATGACTCCACCCATTGGCAGTCTGTGGATTTAAATCTGCTCGGTGCCGTGCAGCATGCCTTCGCGCTAACCTAAATGGTGGACAGTCTGCAGCGCAGATGACAGTTTTAGTGTAGCACTGTTAGAAAGCTAGGTACTAAACACCTTTGAAGCTTTTGCTCTATAATTCTGTTATTTAGATTATGAATTTGCAGGAAAATCTGCAGTTATGTAATAGTTCAGACATTAATTATCAGCTGTTTTATAAGATTGTATGATATAAAGGTGGACAGTATAAATCTGAAAAGCAATGAAATAGTGATTTAAGAATGTCAGAATTGTTTTTCCCATTGGACTACTGATTTAGTGACTCATCTAGTGAGACATTTGTGTATAGTTCCAAATTCTGATAATATTTGTGTACCGAATTGTATTGTGCATCAATTGTTAGGAGCCTTAGAAAGTATTAACTTCATCTGCTACATTAAGTTAAATAACTGTTGCCTGTCTTTGGACTCTATTACCTGTCCTCAAGAAGCTTACTGTCTAAAAGCTTCAAGTGAATTTTTGTCAGGTGCTTACAAAATGCCTAACAGTTAGTATTAAAAGTATTTGCCATTAAAAGTGATGGTGAAAACCGCAATTACTTTTGCACCAACCTAATAGTGGTCAACTGGAAACTGGATGGTGTACAATTAAATGATTGGCTGCGGGCAGGCCTCTGGGAGCTGGACTTTTTAAGTATACTCCTTGGGCATCTGAATACTTGATTTGTTAACAGTTTTGTGATAGGGAGAGTTGGAGGGAGGTTCAGTAGTCTAGTTGAAACATATGTCAGAAATTGCTACACAAAACCCTAAGACTTTTTCCTACCAGTCAAGATCTGTACTGCTCTCCATCCTGTCAAGAATTCTTCCCACAATGAGTAGGACCAAGGGTTGCTTAAGCTTCCTTTATTTCATCCCGTGCTGCTGCTTTGGGTTACCAATCCTGTGAGTTTACTTCTACAGTAGCTTTTATTTGTAGCAAATTTAACCTATTCTAAGGAGTATTGCTTAGTTCACAGTATTAAAGGATTTGATGAACAATTTTATATCTACCTTTCATTTGGTACACAACTTTATGTCTACCTTGCATTTTTGCATACTTTTATTAGCATTAAATATCTTATTAACATTTACTTAAGGCTGAGTGCTGTGGCTCACACCTGTAATCCCAACACTTTGGAAGGCCAAGGCCGGAGGATCGCTTGAGCCCAGGAGTTAAAGACCAGCCTGGGCAACAGAGAGAGACCGCATCTCTACAAAAAATTTTAAAAATTAGCCAGGCATGGTGGTGTGCACCTGTGGTCCTAGCTACTCAGGAGGCTGAGGTGAAAGGATCACTTGACCCCGGGAGGTTGAGGCGGCAGTGAGCTGTAGTCACGCCAGCTGCACTGCAGCCAGGGTGACAGAGAGGAATCTCAAAAGTTTTTTTTTTAACTTAGTCCTCAGAGTATATTAACAATTATCATAGGTAACTTTATTGAGCGCTTAATATATGCTTTGATATATTGACTTATTTAACCTTCCTAACTTTCTGGGACATGTATTAGTCTCATTTATAAATGAGGAAATTAAGGTCAGAAGGTTTAAGCAATTTGCGCACACAGAGCTGGTATGTAGCAGAGCCAGCATTTGAACCCAGGTAGTCTGGCGTCATAGCACAGATTTTCAGTTATTATGTTGTGCTTCATTATGTCATCTCACAAATTTCATCTGCCTGTAGAAAGCACCGGGCTTTGATTAGCATTGTTTTATTTCCAAGCCAGCCACCTACACCTCATTTAATTGGCATTTTCAGTCTATGATTCTCCAGCAAGTTTCATAGTGTATCCAAGAGACTACTTTAAAATGCCTTCCTAAAATCAAGATACACTGCCTAAAACACCATTCCCAAAGTATTCCACATACTTTTGGATAATAAAGGGTAATAACTGCCTCCCTCACCTCCAAAAAAAAGGCTCTGTTGTTTAAAAAGGCAAAAAAGTTTGGCTTCCTGTGGCTCAGTAGGTCTTTATAGTAGTTCCCTGGCCGAGGCATTTAGTGTCCTCGTGTCACTTTTCAAGGGAGAACGACATATAAATATAGTATTTCCAAAGCTTGTTTGGCCATAGAACTATTTTTCAAGGGACAATTAAAGGGAGTAGTGTACTGTGAAACACACTGTAGGAAAAGTTAGTTCTCTATTTTGTGGACAATTTTCTATTTACATTTCATTTTATTTGCTTATCTATTATGTCATCTAGCAATTTTAGCAGAAAAGAGAATAAGAATAGACTATTCCAGTTACCCTTTTTTTTTTTTTTTTTTTTTGAGATGGAGTTTTGCTCTGTTGCCCAGGCTGGAGTGCAGTGGTGCCATCTTGGCTCACTGCAGGCTCCACCTCCCGGGTTCATGCCATTCTCCTTCCTCAGCCTCCTGAGTCGCTGGGACTACAGGCACCCACCACCATGCCCGGCTAATTTTTTTGTATTTTTAGTAGAGACGGAGTTTCACCGTGTTAGCCAGGATGGTCTCGATCTCCTGACCTCATGATCCGCCCACCTCAGCCTCCCAAAGTGCTGGGATTACAGGCGTGAGCCACCACGCCCAGCCATCCTTTGCTTGTTTCTAATCATCACTCCTGTCTGCACAAACTATTCATTTGTTAATACATTGAGGAATTTTCTGTTAGGCTTAATGGTCTGTAGTTTTTGTTATTTATGTACCATTTGGGGGATTTTTTTTTTTTTTTTTGCAAAGCCTGGCTCCATCACCCAGGCTGGAGTGCAGTGGCGCAATCTCGGCTCACTTCAACCTCTGCCTCCCAGATTCAAGCAGTTCTCCTGCCTCAGCCTCCCAAGTAGCTGGGGTTATGGGTGCCCACCACCACGCCTGGCTAATTTTTTGCTATTTTTAGTAGAGATGGGGCCTCACTATGTTGCCCAGGCTGGTCTCAAACTCCTGGTCTCCAGTGATCCACCTACCTCGGCCTCCCAAAGTGCTGGGAGTACAGGTGTGAGCCACCATGCCCAGCCATGGGGGATATTTTTTAACTCTTTGTTGCACTCTGATTTTCTGATACATCCCCAGTTGTCCAGACTTCATCTAGGATGTAGTAAGTGGTTCTGAGTTAATGTCTTCCAAGTGCTTTCTGTGTCCTGGAGGGTAATTCCTCTAGGCTTGAACATTTAAACTCATTCAAGTGACTTTTATTATATCCATGTGTGTCTTAGGCTGGAATTTCCTTTTAATCATGTTCTACCCTTTCCAGTTTAAAGAGCAGCCTCTTTGAAAAAGGAAATTGACACTAAAAAATAATTGAAGCATTCTTTTTCTTTTACCCATTTCTCTAAAGACAGTGGATAAAGTCCTTCCTTCTTCCTGCTTTCAACATAACAAAACATCTTTTGGCTAGTCTCTGCTCTTTTTGGCTTTAGCTTTCCTATTTTTTTATGGTTCTGAACCACTTTCTTTTGGTCATTTATCTCTTCCTCCATCTTTGATGTCCCTTTAAAATCTTATTAAAGAGCTCACAGCTGGGCACGGTGGCTCACACCTGTAATCCCAGCACTTTGGGAGGCCGAGGCAGGTGGATCACTTGAGGTCAGGAGTTCAAGACCAGCCTGACCAACATGGTGAAACCCTGTCTCTACTAAAAATACAAAAATTAGCTGGGTGTGGTGGTGCACGCTTGTAATCCCAGCCACTTGGGAGGCTAAGGCAGGATAATCACTTGAACCCTGGAGGTGGGGTTTGCGGTGAGCCGAGATTGTGCCACTGCACTCCAGCCCGGGCGACAGAATGAGACTCTGTCTTACTGTCCCATACATGTTACGAACTTGGAGGAGGGAGAGATGAATGAAAGCTTGAATGACCTCAAAAGGCCTTATAGGGAGAATTAGATCTGGTAGGATAGATGGGATTTACATAGGGAGAAGAACTAGGCAAGGGAGCCGGGGAAAGCTGAGGTGGGAATGTTCAGGAATGGCAACTAGAATAGTCTGATTAGAGTGAACATTATTCTATAGAAACAGTAAACAAAGCAGTTGGAGTTGGCTCTCGCCATTATTTGTCAATGAAATTTCAGATAAAGGACCTAAAGCTGGCATTTGTATTGCAAAGATGTTGTAAAAATCTAAATATCAATTTGTATCAAAGATATATATAGATACATATTTTCATAAATTTGTTAACACCTTTTTTGTTTTGTGACTAGTTCAGGTAAATGCTCTGTTGAATCTTAAGAATCAAGTACATCTCTCTTGCATATATTAATTCTAAGAAGAATATGGGAACCAGGCTATGAATAATGACATTCTGACTTATTTTAAAAAATTGCCATCTCCTTGAGTAAATGCTCATCTGATAGTTTTTATATCTCTTATTTTCAGGTTGGCTCAAAAACAGAAGTTGCTGAGTGCAAGGAGAAATTCGCCGCCTCCAAGGACCCCACGGTCAGTCAGACTTTCATGTTGGATAGGGTGTTCAACCCTGAGGGGAAGGCTTTACCACCAATGAGAGGATTCAAGTACACCAGCTGGTCTCCCATGGGTTGCGATGCTAATGGCAGGTGCCTCTTGGCAGCACTGACCATGGACAATCGCCTGACCATCCAGGCAAATCTCAACAGACTGCAGTGGGTCCAGCTGGTTGACCTGACTGAGATCTATGGAGAACGTCTTTATGAGACCAGTTACAGGCTCTCTAAAAATGAGGCCCCGGAAGGAAATCTCGGGGATTTTGCTGAGTTTCAGAGGAGACACAGCATGCAGACCCCAGTCAGAATGGAGTGGTCGGGCATCTGTACCACCCAGCAGGTCAAGCATAACAACGAATGCCGGGACGTTGGCAGTGTGCTCCTGGCTGTCCTCTTTGAAAACGGTAATATCGCCGTGTGGCAGTTTCAGCTGCCGTTTGTAGGAAAAGAATCCATCTCTTCATGCAACACAATTGAGTCAGGAATCACCTCTCCCAGTGTATTGTTTTGGTGGGAATATGAGCACAATAATCGAAAAATGAGTGGCCTTATTGTGGGGAGTGCTTTTGGACCCATAAAAATTCTTCCTGTCAATCTCAAAGCAGTCAAAGGCTATTTCACTTTAAGGCAGCCTGTTATCTTGTGGAAAGAAATGGACCAGTTACCTGTGCACAGTATCAAATGTGTGCCACTTTATCATCCTTACCAGAAGTGTAGTTGCAGCTTAGTAGTGGCTGCAAGAGGCTCTTATGTATTTTGGTGTCTTCTTCTGATCTCCAAAGCAGGGCTGAATGTTCACAATTCCCATGTCACAGGCCTTCACTCACTGCCAATTGTCTCCATGACTGCAGACAAACAGAATGGAACAGTCTATACTTGCTCCAGTGACGGAAAGGTGAGGCAGCTGATTCCCATTTTCACAGATGTTGCATTGAAGTTTGAACACCAGTTGATTAAACTCTCAGATGTGTTTGGCTCAGTGAGGACTCACGGGATAGCAGTGAGCCCCTGCGGTGCATACCTGGCCATCATCACCACTGAGGGCATGATCAACGGCCTCCACCCTGTTAACAAAAACTACCAGGTCCAATTTGTTACTCTCAAAACCTTTGAAGAGGCAGCTGCTCAGCTCCTGGAATCTTCAGTTCAAAACCTTTTTAAGCAGGTAGATTTAATAGACCTAGTACGCTGGAAGATTTTAAAAGATAAACATATCCCTCAATTTTTACAAGAAGCTTTGGAAAAAAAGATTGAAAGCAGTGGAGTCACCTATTTTTGGCGTTTTAAGCTTTTCCTCCTGAGGATTTTATATCAGTCAATGCAGAAAACCCCTTCAGAAGCCTTGTGGAAACCCACCCATGAGGACTCAAAAATCTTACTAGTGGATTCGCCTGGGATGGGCAATGCTGACGATGAACAGCAGGAAGAAGGCACTTCTTCCAAACAGGTGGTGAAGCAAGGCCTGCAGGAGAGGAGCAAGGAAGGAGATGTAGAGGAGCCCACTGATGACTCGCTCCCCACGACTGGAGATGCTGGAGGCCGTGAGCCAATGGAAGAGAAACTCCTGGAAATCCAAGGGAAAATCGAAGCTGTGGAGATGCACTTGACCAGGGAACACATGAAGCGAGTCTTAGGAGAAGTGTATCTGCACACCTGGATCACAGAAAACACTAGCATCCCCACCCGCGGACTCTGTAACTTTTTAATGTCTGATGAAGAGTATGATGACAGAACTGCACGGGTAGGTGTTTATTAACAAAAACTCTGAAATTGTAAAGCCTGCTTTCTTCATGAGAAAGAAATGACCTAAATTGAGTTCCTGAAGCTCAACTTTTGCTTTGACATTTTTTAGGTAATTTATTTGCTTGAGGTGCAGGGTAATAAATAGGAAGCGTGGATTAATGCAGAGGATGCATTCATAGCATATAAAGAATATTTTGATTCTTCTTCACACTGGCCTTGTTAGATATGCAAAGTTTGCAGGATGAGCTTTCCAGACTGGATTAGCTCAGAGGCTGCATTTAGCTGAGTAGTATGTGATGGGCAATCATGGCTGTAGAAATATGGTGCCCATGCTCCCTGCCCTTCCTCTTTTGCAAAAGTTTTGTATGGGAGGGGTGTAGTGACATGTTTTCCATTTGATAGAACTTAAGGATATCTTCAGATTTAGTCAAGAAAGACATATAAAGTAAACAAATTATTACTCATGTCTCATTTTTACAAAAACTGGGCACAGTCTTTATTTTGGTAACAGAACAAACTTACCTAGAATGTATTCTATAGAATTTAAGTTGCTTAACAGAGCACTAGGGTTCCCAGTGCATATTACCACTCAAAGCGTTCTGAGGATTCCTACAGAAAAGAAACTGATACCTTTGTGTAGCTCGGTATTACTCAGACTTCTTGATCAGAGAATCTTTCTTGCAGCTAACAGTTGTTAAAATCCTGAAGAACTTGTGTTCCAAGAAATATACTGTGTTCTGAAATATTCAAAACCACAAATATCTGTACTCCTTTTTACTTCAAAGACTGATACTTACTGACTAAAGTCTTATTTAAAGTATTAATTGAAGGCAGTATCCTTGTTCTTAATGTTAAGCCATTCACAATCACTTGTTGCACTTTCTTGTTGGAAAGAATGTGTATGTTTGTGTACACACGTTCGCCTTTGAAATTATTGCTCATAGAATGTTTGCAATGGTCTTAAGAGTATTAAGATGCACTGTTCATGTAACTGACTTTACTTCTTTAAAAGTTAACTTTTGGGGCTGGGCGTGGTGGCTCACGCCTGTAATCCTAGTACTTTGGGAGGCCGAGGAGGGCAGAACACAAGGTCAGGAGACCAGGAGACTAGCTGGCCAACATGGCGAAACCCCGTCTCTACTAAAAATAAAAATTAGCCGGGTGTGGTGGCGGGCGCCTGTAATCCCAGCTACTTGGGAGGCTGAGGCAGGAGAATCGCTTGAACCTGGGAGGCGAAAGTTGCAGTGAGCTGAGATTGTGCCATTGCACAATCGACAAGAGCAAAACCCATCTCAAAAAAAAAAGTTAATTTTTAAACGTTGTTTCATTGTGTTCCACATTGTCTGGAAAAGTATTCTGGTTATCACAGTGCCATGGGACCTGGTTAGGTTTATTATAAGAGTCAGTGAAAAATTAGCAAAAACATGTTAGAAAGTACTAGAGGTTGGATTTGTAATGATTTAGAATAATTGTCCAGATACTCCATGAGCCTGGGAAGTTACATTTAGCATGGTGATGTGATTCCAACATAGCCATTTTAAAAACCAGAAGATTGCACACCCGTCCCTGTTTATAGCAACTGAGTTTATTGAAGACCACGCATTCCTGTCTTAAAAATCCAACTATATGCATAAAATGAAGACTTTTTAAACCTAGGATGTTGGCTTATTAGCAGTTATAAATTATTTTGGAGATTATCAGCCTAGTATGCTAGTACAGTTAAACTAGCATTTTTTAACCTTTTTAAATTATCACTCCCCCCCGAACATTTTTAGACACTTTTTCTGAATTGCCCCTGCCCATGAAGTTTTAATGTATTTTGTGTGTCTGTTTATGTACTGTGTGTATATCTATGTTTTATACGTAAAAGTAAGAACTTTTTGTCCCAAGAACTAATATTTGCTGCTTTGGAAGGACTATCACTCCCATTGAGAATGTGTGAGTCAGAATAACACAGTTGAGAGTTCAGCTTGCCGAGATCAGGGCTACTGAGAACAAATAGCAATCCTTCCTTATGTAAAATTGAGATATATCTGGGCCGGGCACAGTGGTCATGCCTGTGACCCCAGCACTTTGGGAGGCCAGGGTGTGAGGATCGCTTGAGCCCAGGAGTTCAAGGCCAGCCTGAGCAACATGGTGAGACCCTGTCTCTACATAAAGTAAAAAAAAAAAAAAAAAAAAAAAATTATCCTGGTGTGGTGGCACAGGCCTGTAGTCCTAGCTACTTGGGAGGCTGATGGGGGAGCCATGTTCTCACCACTGCACTCTAGCCGGGGCAACAGCGAGACCCTGTCTTAAAAAGGAAAAAGAAAAAATAGAGGTATGTATGGGAGGAATTCTGAGTAGTTTTTGTCACTGTATCATTATCAGGATGTTTGGCCTGTCTAGAATAGCAGAGTGAGTTTGGTCATCTTTGCTGTTAGGGACCATATGTTAGAATTCTTAAGACTGAAAAGAAAAAAGGCCAAAAATTAATGGGATTTAAATTTGTAGAGGATATACAGAAGAGGTAAGATAGCTGGCTTACCAACTTCTGAGCTAGTAAGACACCCTTTGAAACGTAAGTGAACTAATTTTAGTGAATTAATCCAAAATCTTGTGGATTCATCCATAAGAGGTTAAGCAGAAATGGATTCGAAACTAGAAGGGCGCTATCACTAGTAAGAGAAGACAACTCTTGAGGGTTGTGTATCCCAGCCTCCAAATTACATATCCAGTGAAGTTTTAAAAAAAAAAAAAGAATTGGATTCAAGTTTTCTTTTCAGACTTTTATTTTTAAACAGTATAATCTTTTTTTTTTTTTTTTTTTTTTTACTGAGATGGAGTCTCACTGTGTCAACCCAGGCTGATGTGCAGTGGCGCAATCTCGGCTCACTGCAACCTCCACTCACGGGCTCAGGCAGATCCTTCTGCCTCAGCCTCCTGAGTAGCTGGAATTACAGGTATGTGCCACCGTGCCTGGCTACTTTTTGTATTTTTAGTAGAGACGGGGTTTCACCATGTTGGCCACCTGGTCTCGAACTCCTGACCTCAAGTGATCCACCCGCCTTGGCCTCCCAAAGTGCAGGGATTACAGGCATGAGCCACTGTGCCCAGCCAAGAGTGTAATCTTAAAGCAGAGAAAAGCAAAACTGAAGCAAAGAAAGGCCTAGAGCCTGTGCCATTACCTCTCTCACTCCCAGCTTCTTGCTCCTATCGTGGGTCTTGCCATGCCTCTGCAGTGGGGTCAGCTTGTCTCAGATTGCAGGCTACTGGACCATGTTGGCCATGGGTCTTTGGGCCATCAGAATAGACATTTGTACAGTTCTGCAAAGAGAGCAGTATTCCACATAATATTTTGCCTATAGAGATTATGCTTTTTCTTCTTAAAGTCAAAACATTATAAATAATAGCTAAATACTTTGTCTTCTAACAGAACTCTGAAATCCTTGTTTCAGAAGCAACTAAAACAAGGCAAGTAATAAGATTTTGGTTTTCAGAACAGTTTTCTCCTTAGTGGTTACAGTTTACCCTGTTATCACAGAGTACCTGAATAAATTTATTTTATTTAGCTAGTTGACACAGGTTGAAACTCTAGTTCTTTTATTTTTCAGACAGTATAATCAGGATTTGTGGAAATGCAAATCTCCTGTCTTCTGTAAAATATTGCTCTTTTCTTTTTTTCTTTATTTTTTAATTTTCCCTTTGTGTTTGTAGGCTTTTTCTTCAGGAAATCCTGCACTTACACTAAACTTTGCTGACTACTTTGTCTTACTAGGTGCTGATTGGACATATCTCAAAGAAGATGAACAAACAGACTTTCCCTGAGCACTGTAGTTTGTGTAAAGAGATCTTGCCATTCACAGATCGCAAACAGGCAGTCTGTTCCAATGGCCACATTTGGCTCCGGTAAGCCATTTTAAAAGTTTCTACTTCTGCTCATTTTTCAGTTTTGTGTAGCACAAACTACTGTATGTGACAGAATAGCAACTTTATGCCAGTTATCTGTTGCCCTTGCCAATTTGTTGGAGAAAAGCTGCTATTATAAAGCCTGATGTGGACTTTTTTCATCAGTGTCACTCAAGCAAGTTGGCCTTTAAAGACAGTTTTTTACTGCTTAATATATAGGAGTTTTCTTGTTTTATTTGTTCATTTTCCTAATTGAACAAATTATGGCTCCTCTTCCTAGCCTCACTCTAAGACCTTGGTGTGTCCTCATGTTACTGGACCTGTGGGCTGCATTTGGCACAATTACTCCCTCCTTGAAGCACTTTCATCACCTGCCTTCCGGGACACAGCACTCCCTGGTTTTTGTCCTGTCTCTGACTCTTCATTCTCAGTTGTCTTTGCTGATGGGCACCTCAGCTGTCTGTCTTTCTGCCTGTTTTTCTTCTCTCAGCACTTTCCCTGGGTGGTTGCTTATCATCTGCACACTGATGATTTAAACATAGAGTTTTTGCCTGTATCTCTCCCCCTAAGTCTAGGCTTATATATCTAACTGCCTGCTCAGTACCTCTATTTGGATGTTTAATAGGCATTTCAAATTGGAATCCAACCTTTTGTTCCTACCTCTGCAGCCCTGGTCCAAAACACCATCATCTCTTGCCCAGCTTATTACACCTGTAGTTACCTTCCATCTGGTCTTCCCACTTCCATCCTTGCCCCTCCAGTCTGTTATTATAGTTGTGATAGTGATTGTATCAAAACTTTGTCACTGGCTACTTGTTTCTGATGAGTAAAACTAAAACCCTCTCAGTGATCCACAAGACGCCACACAGCCTGGGGCCCCTTCCTCCCTTTGTCCTCCCGCTGACCTCATCTGCTGTATTTGTCCATCTTGTTCGCTTCACTCCAGGCAGAATGGCTTCATTCCTCAGGTACGTGAGGCGCCCTCCACCTCAGGACGTCTACACTGGCTGATTCCTCTACCTAGGATGCTGTTCCAGCAGATGTCCACGTGGCTTCCTTCAGTTTCCCATTATCAGTTAGGCCTTCCTGGCCACCATATCTAAAATTGTAACACCCCACTGACATACCTTCCCCTCCCATTACTTTGCATCCTCCTTCCTTGCGTTATTATTTTCCTCCTTAATAATTATCACTATTTAATATATTTTTTCCTTGTCCTTCCTCTAGAATGGAAAGCTGTATGAGGACAGGAACTTATGTGTTTTGTTTACAGCTATTTCTAGAACAATGCCTAGTACATGGTGGGCACTAAATTTTTTAATTTTTTTTTTTTTTTTTTGAGACAGGGTCTTGCTGTATTGCCCAGGCTGGAGTGCAGTGGCACAATCTTGGCTCACTGTGACCTTTGCCTCCTGGGTTCAAGCGATTCTCCCACCTCAGCTTCCCCTATAGCTGGAACTACAGGCATGCGCCACCACACCCGGCTAATTTTTTTTTTTGTATTTTTGGTAGAGACGGGGTTTCACCATGTTGACCAGGCTGGTCTTGAACTCCTGGGCTCAAGTGATCCACCCACCTTGGCCTCCCAGAGTGCTGGAACTACAGGCGTGAGCCACTGCACCCGGCCAAATTTTTAACAAGATTGTGCTACACGTACCATATTAACTCACCAGTTCTGTTATCAAAATGTATGTACATTTTTCTACATCACTACAAAGATAACATTCTTAATGGCTATAGAGGTTTCTAGTGTATGAATGTTTCATAATTTACCCCCTTATTATAATTTGTTTTTTTTCCAATTTGTATTGCATTCCTACACTTTTTTTTTTTTTGAGATGGGGAGATGAGGTCTCACTATGTTGCCCATGGCAGACTCGAACTCCTGGGCTCCAGTGATCCTCCTGCCTCAGCCTCCTGAGCAGCCAGGACTATGGGCATGTACCACCATGCCTGGCTTCTACACTTTTTCTAATTTGAGTGTTCAGACTTTTTAAGAGAAAAGAATAGGAAATAAGCTTGTAGTATATTTTAGGTTAGTAATAAAAATAAAAACATATACTGAGTGCTATTAATATGCCAGGCACAGTCTAAGCTGTACACACTTATTAAGTTACTATATTATGGTGGTTGTGAAAATAAGTTACTAGGATTACAGGTGTGTGCCATTGCACCTGGCTTTCTGTTAGTTAAGATTGGGTATAACTACTGTCTTTAAGACTGACAGTACATTGGGGAAAACCCTGACGAATATTGAAGGCAAAATTAATGATGCAAGAAGAGACAGGACACTAACAAATGTTCACAGGTTCAATTCCATCCAAAGATTATTCATTGAGCCTTTACCAGGGCCAGGCAAATAAGGATAGGTGGAATGTATTTTTGCAACAACCATGTATGGGGAGCATCATGATTACTTTTGTTTTTACAGATGAGATTGGGGCCTGGGGAAGTTAAATAATTTGCCCAAGTCACAATGGTGGCTTGTGGCATAGCTCAGAACCTGACATTCTGTCTCCAGAAGCCACATGTGTAAGCATTACACATTAATGTCTCCTAGATGGGTTCTTTCAGGAAAACTGTTTTCATTTTTCTTGACTAAAGTTAGGGCTGAAATACCCCAGTATGATTTCTCTAGGTGAGAACCAGTGCTTGCTGTCACTCAGTTGTAATCTTTCTTCCTAGATATTCAGTTCTTTACTCAAGGTGTGCCTGCCTGGAGTCCCTTCCCCTAACCTCTGCCTGCTTGGAGTCCCTTCCCCAACCTCCTCCTTTGTGTTTTCTGCTCCTTAGTTGCTCACCTGAAAACTGTTATTTTTTGGGAAACCTTCCCTGCAACCCAGATGTACCCTTTCCCATCTCATTGCATCCCACCTGTCCTTATTTGCCTGGCGCTGGTAGATGGTCAGAGAATAATCCTTGGATGGAATTGAACCTGTGAACATTTGTTAGTGTCCTGTCATTTTTTTGCACCATTAATTTTGCCTTCGATATTCTTCAGGGTTTTCCCCAGTGTACTGTCAGAGTCTTAAAGACACTTTCTAATCTTAACTATTAGAAAGCTGGGCCCAGTGGCACATGCCTGTATTCCCAGCTACTTGGGAGGCTTAGGCAGAAGGATCACTTGAGCTCAGGAGTTCAAGGTTAGGCTGGGCAACGTAGCGAGACCCTGTCTCAAAACAACAGCAACAACAAAAAACCTAACGAATAATTCTCAATATAATACATGATCAATTTTTAAAAAACAGATCAAGAATTTAAAGTGCGGTCAGGTGTGGACAGACTAAATTCTTTTCTGATGCTCAAACAGGAAAACTGCAATCTACCTGGATTAGAACCGTTGTGTCTCTTTGCTAAGCATGGAGTATTGGTTTGGCCAGCTTTGGTGCACAGGGGGATGCATTGTTATGTGAATGTATGAGTATCATGCTTTCATTTGGTTAATGTGTGGTTTTATGATAACTCTCTGTGATGGAGAAACATCAGTTTCTGAGTGTTAGTAGAGCAAACCCTCTCCCTTGCCAATACAGTCTGTCTTCTTTCAGGTGCTTCTTAACCTACCAGTCCTGCCAGAGTTTGATATATAGAAGGTGTTTGCTCCATGACAGCATTGCCCGGCATCCAGCTCCAGAAGGTGAGTGCTTTCCCTTACTTGGGAGGGTGGGTGGGTGGAACATGCTGGCAGAGGGCCAGCGCCCCAGAATAACAGTTCTAGTCACGCTCTACACTTCTTGGTATTGTGTTGTCGGGGGTGGGGGGTGGGGAGTAGGCCCCTGCTGCTCTTTACGGTGTTACTGTGAAGCCACAGCTAACTAAAACATGGCCATTGGAATATGTCATATTGAAGTGCTTACTGCATTTAGTATGTAAGTTTGTCTGCGTTGCTATTCTGTCACTGCAAACAAATTATTCATTCCAAAAAATGTCAGAGCTTGTTTCAGTAGATGACATAGATAGATTATATTTGAATGTAAACTCTGTGGATGATACTTTATACGAAGACATTATTGAACCAGTAATAGGATATTCACTTGGAGTCATTCTTCCAGTAGCCATGATGGGTTTTTTTCCTGGTTGGTCTATGTGCTCTTTCCTGATAGTTCTAATGTCATCCGTTTCTGAGATAACTACCTGGAAATAAGATTGTAGAGTGGGCAGGAATTAGTGATTTAATAATGACGCAAATGTCAGATTTTGTCCTGACGTTAATAATGCACTCTAACCAAGTGAGCTAACTAGGTACAGAATATACAATTTTATATGTATTTTGAGGGGAATATTCTATTCTCAGCTGAAACAAACAGCATTCTATATAAAACTACATAAATTCTTGAGCTTTGCTCTAAACTGGCAGAAGCTCTCTAATTCTCATAAGTTGGTATGTTGATACCTTGTGTTCTGTTGTAGCTTTTTATTAGGGAAACAACAATCATACACAAAAGGAAAGAGAAGGGTATAATAAACCACTGTGTGCCCATCACTTCAGAAATTATTGACTCATGGCCTTTTCTGTTTCATGTGTAGTTCCCTCACCCACCTCCCTCCTCCTGATGGATTATTTTGAAACACATTTTTGGGAACTTTTAAATTTTTACTGCAATTGATAATGGATATGCTGCTTAGGCAGGAAATCTGGAAGAGATTGAAACTTTAAAAATCTTACCCATTGACTTTGAGTCTAGCCATTTAAAGCTTTTGAGAAGAATGAGAAGCTACTGGATCTAAGAAGAGCACTGGAGTAGAGTTTTTCATAGATGAAAGACGAGGAGGATTTGACCAGTGTTGCCGCATTTTTATTTCTCAAGGGCATAGCATTTTTTAAAAATTCCTATTACTGTAATTTTATGAGAGAATATTTTAACATTAACAATGTATGAAGAACACATTCTCGGAATATACTCCTTTCTTTAAATTGAATAAATTTAGCTTTATGAAACATTCTTCATTACCCTTATTTTCCTGTTTCATTACATTTAACTTTGTGAACCACAAGTTTAGTCCAGCCTCATTTGGAATGATAGAAACCGAAGCCCAAAGAAGTGAAGTGCTTTGTCTAGGGATATGTAGCTGGTTTATTGCAGAGGTGGGACCAGAATGCCCGTCTCTCAACGCTACAGTCCGGTATTCATCCCTTTTGACTGTCTTTTCCGAAGCTAACAGTTGATACCACTTGTCCTCCTTTTGCAGATCCCGACTGGATTAAGAGGTTACTGCAAAGCCCCTGCCCTTTCTGTGATTCTCCTGTCTTCTAAATAATCAGTGACGGGAAGATGGAAGGGCATGATGAACTCTGCCATAGAAAACTTCCTCCAGCCTGAAGAGAAGGATGCACTGGAGGAAGCCGGACCCTCACGAGTGGAGAGAAGTCCTTGGTGATTGTAAAGAGGGCCCCTGGAGCTCATTTCTGAATCGCACTCTCCATTTCCAGAGACTAAAGGATGTCCTTTGAAATGGCTGGACTCAGAGAGTTGGAGTCGTTTTGAGATGAGCATTAGCCCCAGCTTTGTAACCAATGAGGAACACTTACTTATTTTTAAGTATCTTGACAGAAGCAATTTGAACACAGTGTCCCGTCATTTCTAGAAACAGAATGGTCTCTTCTAGAGAGCTTGGATAAGGACCTTGCTGGGTTGAGTTAGGTTTTAATCCTTGCTTTGGTTTGGAACTGCCTTCGGGCTCCAGAACTTAAATTGCTTGGTCCGTGGCATCTGATGTACCAACAGAGATTAAAAGTGTAAAGCAACACATGGGCTGATGTTTTGTTCTCAGAAAATAGCTGCTGGTCTGCATCCCTCCATTCTTGTTTTTTATGCATATGGAAAACATTTTCCTAAAACTCTATATTCTTAAGTTGAAGCCAAGACTAAAATTTAATGTGTCAAATGATCTGGTGACTATTATAATGAATAATTGTGACTTATTTTTCATTCTCTCCTGGGTCATCAGGTTTCCTGACCCAACTCCTTAATCCGTATAAAGATGTCAAATACTGTAGTTCACCCACGCCACAGCCCTGCTTCAGACTTAACTGTGGTAGCCTAGATGAGCTATTTGTACACAGAGGAAAAAAAGATATTTTCCTCTTTTAGTAATAAGACTTTCAGTATTTTTAATGTTGACATTTCCAGATGTTTCATTTAGTATCCAGGGGTCTGTCTGGAGACTTCTAGAGAGGGACAGCTCAGAAGTGAGACCCTTGAGCTCTGGTGCTGTAAGCTTGTGCAATTAAGTTGAACAGAGCCTGGGAATTTCTTTCCTCTGCACAGTCCCTTGATATTTGGAATCCAGGTTCTGCCCCCAACCCCTACCCACCCAGTGGTCTGTTAAGATGTCTCAGATGGGGCTGGGCTTGGTGGCTCATGCCTGTACTCTCAACACTTTGGGAAGCAAAGGCAGGCAGATCACAAGGTCAGGAGTTCAGCCTAACCAACATGGTGAAACCGTGTCTCTACTAAAAATACAAAAATTAGCCAGGCGTGGTGGTGCACACCTGTAATCCCAGCACTTTGGGAGGCCGAGGCAGACGGGTCACTTGAGGCCAGGAGTTCGAGACCAGCCTGGGCAATATGGCGAGACTCCGTCTCTACTACAAATACAAAAGTTAGCCTGGCATGGTGGCGCATGCCTGTAATCTCAGTTACTCAGGAGGCTGAGGCAGGAGCATCACTTCAACCCAGGAGGCAGAAGCTGCAGTCAGCCGAGGTGGCACCACTGCACTTCAGCCTGGGCAAGACTGGAGACTGCCTCAAAAAAAAAAGAAAAAAAATGTTGGTACTTAGATGATACCATGACGGCAACCTCCCCACCCCCACCCCGCATTGATAGGTAGTGCAGACCAGCCCTTGGAGGCACTTCTAAACAGTCTGCTCAGAAATGTTTTCTGTTTCCTATTCAAATTGCTGTTTTGTCTCCTATGTTTAATCATGTATTTGCTATTCTGCTTATTTTTCTCATTTGGTGGTAATTTCAAGAAGAGCGTTTATCCACTATTGATTTTCAAGAAAGAAACCAAGCAGCATTGAAATCATGAGTAACAGAATTCAGAACATTGTATGGTGGAAGTCATTTGTGTCTGCAGCTGTTTTTTCACTTTACAATAAATAAGAGTAAAAATTGAGATCATGTCAAAAAATTATTGCAGTTTTAATCATTATGGCATAGTTTCACTTCCCCTCCCCCCATTAGAATCAGTGGAGATTTGTTCTTACTAGGGAATTTTGGACTGCTGCCATTTAAAACTTAGGTTTTTATTTAAAGCAGTTGTGCATTTTTGAGAAAATGTATTGGGAGTAACTAGAGAGGATCTCCCAAATTTTTTTGTATGTCTCTCTAGGAGTAAACATGGCAACAGTTTTTCTAGAACGTGGACTCACTGCAGGGACTGGACCCAATGGCATTGTTAAGACCCTAAAATCTAGCCACCACCTGCCTCCCCCAGGTTTCCACACACCCAGTTGGAAGGCCTTTCCCTGCCCTTGTCCCTGTCTCACACCCATGGAGGTTAAGCTACAGAGCTGGGGAAACAGGAGATTTTGAGTTAATGGCAGCCTCACAAATAGTGCTTCTGAATTTCTCTGAGGGTCAGCATACCTCATGGGAGTGTGTTGCTCAGTGCAACCTTGGAAAAGTGGGAATGGCACCAGACGTTTTTCAGGTGCCTCTTGCAATTCAAACTTACATCCTCTATACCGTCCTAAAATTTGCCTGATCTTATTTGGTAGATTTCAAGTTGCTTTCAGCTGTGACCGTAATAACTGTTTCAGGAACTGGAGAAATAGTGGAAGTGCTATTGCCGCGCTGCATGTAAAGCACAGGAGCAAAGATTCGATACAATTAGACCCTTTAAGCTACAACGTGGTTGCATTTGGGGAGTCTGATACCCACATAGGTATCACATTTTCTCTGCCTGGGGTTAATTTGTTCTTATTATTCTAGGTAAGAAATTGATAGCTTGTTATGCTTGGTACTCATTCTGAAATCCCTGTGTGTCCACCAGGCAGACTTCAAGCAATCTCTACCTACTATTATATCTGCCAAAACTACCAATTATTTTTCAATGTCAGAAGTTATTAGAGCCACTGGCAAAGCTCATGGTTGAATATGACATTTTTCTGCTTTTCCCTCTAAGAAGTTTTTGAGAATGTTAATGTTGAAGTATGCAGGCTGGACCTACCAGCAAGTTTAACACGTTAATTAGGTTAAAAAGAATATTAAAAGGCAATAATTAAATATTTCAATTATTTTGTAATTATAATGGTATCAAATAAGATGCAAAAGAAGTTGATGCTTATTGGTGCTTAAGAGAATTACAATACTGGTTTTATGAGCATCTTTTCTCTGCAACAGTTAAACTGCCTCAGAGTTTGTGAATTGCTGCAATTCCTGGAATGGAAACAGGAATTAGGGTCACTGGTTGATTGGCACAGGATCTTTCCATCGTTTCTGCTCCTGACCTCTCTCTCTTGCCTTTCCTTCCCCCAGACACCCTCTTGGTTTCCATTCCTTTAGTTCCCTCTGCTTTAGAACACAGATTACATGTTGGAAAGAAAAATGGATTAATGGTAAAATTTCTAAAAGCTAAATTGTACAGTGGGGTCTCACTTCCTAGAAGAAACTATTGGTAATATTTCTTTCTAAAGGTAATAGTATTAATTGTATCTGGTTTTCTTCAAAACTTAACTATAATTTCCTTGTCAGGGTGCTCAGTAGCTCTTGGTTTGACTTTGGGCTAAGGGATGTGAAATTTTAGCTCCTTCCCACCACCTGTTTCCCCTCACTCCCACCCCCAGCCAATATTCTTCATAAGCAAAAATTATGGTTAAGCTAAGCTGAATGGGTTATATTCAAAGTAAGTACAGACGGCAAATAGGCAGACAAATACAGGAATGTCTTTACAATTAGCCCACCATGGACTGTTTTGAGTCTCTGCATGGTTTCCATAATTCATTATGATGTATCTTTATGCTCTTTCACTGCTCTTCTGTGCGTTGGAGTTTAGCAATTCAGTGAGACTGGGGAGTGTCTCAAGAATGGAACCTTTGCCTTCAAGGTTGGGTCATCAAAAATCCCTCTAAAGGATCTAACTGTAATGAACTGTTTTTATTTTTGCCATTAGTGCAAGTATCAACTGGCAGCCTCAAACAGCTTTAGACTATGTCTCAGGTCTCTCATAGTTATACTTAGAACTGCTCTTTCTTGAAGCTAAAAGAGGTTTTTGGAGTAAAGATCTGCTTCATGTCTGCTAGCATGGTATCTGCTGTTCAACCTAGTATAGAGCATGTGAAATGCAACTGTCCTTTAATGGAATTCAGCCAAACTCCAAAAATACTGAGTTGCTTCTAGTTATCTAAAGTAGTACAGAATCACTATCCCGATGAAGAAGTGGGGTTTTTCAGAAGATTGTAAACTCATTTCCATGGCACAGATACAAATCATCGTCAGGACTTGTTAGCCAGTCCATGTCTCATTGATAGGATGTAGCCTGCCATCTGCATAGATGGTTTAACATGGTGCTGTTTTTGAAAACTTGCTGTGGAAATAAATTTGACAGACGAGTAGTTATTTGTAAAGCTGTCCTAGAAAGAGGTTAATTCTTTTGGTATATGAATATTTCTCCTCCAATCCTTTTAATTAGGTGGTTCAGCTTATCTTGTATTTTCTGAGTCATAACTATACTCTAGGGCCAAGACCTACTATAAAATCTGGGGTCCTAACCAGAGAGTTGTTTAGATCAATATGATATGCTTTGCCAACATGATCTAAGAAGGTATTCATTCTTTCTGGGTTTGAGAAGAGTTGACGAAAGTGTAAGATTATACTCTCATGCTAAAATAAGGTATAGGCTAAGTGAAATACTGTAAATGGGTTGGTTAGAATTAAAGTTTAGAACTCTAAATCTTATGCTTATTTTTAAAGTAAAAAGTTGCCTCACTGTCATGAAATCCTGTTACTTTCATTAAAAAAAAAAATCCTGTAAAATGGTCAAATTGGATAATGTAAGAGATAATGATGGCTTTGAGGCATTTCATACTTTACCAGTTTACATTTGGCTAGCAGACTGGTAAGGTTTAGGGTTCTCTCCACTAATGGAAAATTAAATGCTAAACGTCCTAAGAATTATGTTGTTTTCAAGGCTTTGACTCAGATTTGTACTTTGATGTATGAAAGTGAATATCAAACTTGTTTATAGAAAAGACTATATAGAAAAATAAGTCTGTGTTGTGTATAGTGATACATGTTTTATGTTTACCCAATGCCTGTACTAAATCTTGTGCTTGGCTTTGAATTATATATGTGTTTACCTATGACTTTTTTTTGAAATAAACAGAACAGTCATCTAAAAACATAAGGTTTTGGAAAGGAGATGCTTTTTCAATTCTTACCATCTGATTAGGTGGAATGTTTTATAGACTTTTGGTGTTGAAAAAAAAAAGTTTGATAACAATGCATTTTGCTTGGAATACCCCCCAATCCAGAAAAGTTGGTGACTTCTCTCCATTGTATATATGTACATAGTTTTCATTACTAGATTGTAAGCTCCTCAAGGGCAGGAATTGTTTTATCTTTGTTGTTCCTGCAGCACCTAATGTAAAGTGCCTTGCACAGGGTAGGTGCTCATGACGTGTAGAATGAGTGAGTAACTTCCTGCCTCATCAGGATGAAATGTGGTTCACTTCCCCTGTGTTCAACACTACAAAGCTACTCCTGCCAGAAGAGGGCAGAGTTCTTTCTTGGGTTTGAACTGGCTTTTTTGGGTTGAACCAGATCATCCCACATCCTTAGCACTACTTAACCTTCTTTTCCTGAAGATTACATATCAGTGTCCTGCGTTTTTATCTAATATTAGAGCTGAGGTTCCTAGGAAAATTTTGAAGTGGGGAAGATTATGGAGAAAATGAAATGGAAATTTGGGGAGGGTGGTTTGTCAGTATAAGGCCCTGTGGGGTAATCATATTTTAGTTATTACTTGTTAAAAGGGTAACAGAACCTCTGTTTCTTTACCAAGTCGCTGGTTGGCCATTTCTCCAATTGATGAACTACCATTGGTTTTAGCTCTTTCTCATTTGGGATTCCCCTCAATTGCTTACATGATTCTGGTACTTAGAGTCTAATAGAGTTGCTGTGAATATGTAGTGCTGTACATAATGGCAGTTTTGTAAATGTGAGATAACCTTGAATATGTTGTGGTTTGTATACAGAGCCATTAGTATTGTTATTTTGGCCACTTTTTTATTCAAAATAAATAACATAATTATTTGTATAGTGCGTGTCTGTTTTATGGAGTTGCCACGGTTTATAGCAAAGCTTGGAAACCTCTGAAAGCCTGAGCACCCCCAACAAAGTTAAGTAATGCCCGGGCATGGGCAGACAAGGAGGAAAGAGCTCTGTGAGGGAAGTGTTAGGGAACTGGCCACTAGCAACTACCTCAGAACCAAGTCAGTAAGTCTTAGGTTGTCTATTCCAGAAAAAGGAGGAATGTAAGGGGAAGTAACAGAGGTTCAGTAATATGTTAGGCCACATGTTCTTAACAATGTCAATTAAATAGTATTTGGTGAGGAAAGTGACCCTGAAAAATATGATCTCTATAAGCATTATGTATTTGTGAAAAGATGAGAATATACCAGCATTTTTTGCAGATAGTCATCTGTGCTTTTATGGTAGAGGCAGTGTATCAATGGGTTCATCCATGTGCATCAGAAAGACTTGGAGGATTTGTTAAAACACTGGGTGGGGTGGGCTGGATGCAGTGGCTCACGCCTGTAATCCCAGCACTTTGGGAGGCTGAGGTGGGCGGATCACGAGGTCGGGAGATCGAGACCACGGTGAAACCCTGTCTCTACTAAAAATACAAAAAATTAGCCGGGCGTGATGGCAGACGCCTATAGTCCCAGCTACTCGGGAGGCTGAGGCAGGAGAATAGCGTAAACCTGGGAGGCGGAGCTTGCAGTGAGCTGAGATTGCGCCACTGCACTCCAGCCTAGGTGACAGAGCGAGACTCTGTCTCAAAAAAAACAAAAAAACAAAAAACAACAACAACAAAAAAAACAAAAAACACTGGGTGGGGTGAACCCCACCCCTAGAATTTCTGATTCAGTAGATTTGGGATAAAGCCTGAGAACTGCTATTTCTAGTGCATTCTTGGTTGCTGTTCACACTGCTGATCTGGGATCTGTGTTTTGAATACTGTTGGTCCACAAATGAACCCAAACACTGCTCCCTGCCTTGCTTCTATGGTGCCCACCAACAGTTCACATGGATTATTGGTTTGTACAAATCGTCAGTCTTACCTGAGATTCTCAGCATCACTACACCAGTTACTTTTAACTTTATTAAGACAAGATTTTTAATTTTATCCTTTCCTAAGGAGGACACATGGAATAGACCACTGTAGTGAATCCTTTCTCTCTTGCAAGTCTGGCTAATTTCAGTCTTCCTCTAAAATTCCCCTTCAGATGAATTGAAGCTAGTCCTCCCATCCATTGGTGTACTTGAGCTTAATCCAGCCCATCGTTTGAAGTTCATTGAATAAGAAACTTCAAAAAAAAAGCCAAAGTATTTGTGCTACTCCTATTGTGAGATAATTTAAATGAAATACTGATTGCAGGGATTTCAGCAGTGATAAATGTACAATTTAGACACATATTCCTGCTGAGAACAATCAGAAAAGCTAGTTTAAAATGTTGAAATATACATATGAAAGTGTTGGAGACTGAACCAGGCAGGAATTACAAGGCGAATATCTGGGAGAAGGAGGAGTCTCAGGCAAACCCAGCATTCAAGGTAGGTTTCTTCTCCTAGATGAGTCTGCCAGTTTCAGAAGAAAGAGATGAGAGGCTAAAAAGAGTAGCAGAGCTTTTGACATCATTGCATGACCATAACAGAAATTGGACAGCATTGCCCACCAAGAAAGGGGCTATCCTGGTAAGAAACCTCCACTTTTAGGATTGGGAATCCAAAAGAGCACACCTTCAGAGAAAAGGTGAACTGAAAACAGGCTAGTTTCCACAGAAACTGAAGCCCAGCTTCCCATCATTTCAATCCTTGAAGATGGGTTAAAGTGATCTAGGTTGGTCAGAGCTTCTCATGATCTTCTTTTGAAGGAAGAGGCTATCCCTAGGCCTCAAATCACAATGTTTGGCATTCAATCAATAATAGCCAGCCCCAAAAAGTAATAACTAGGCACACAAGACTATAAGACAACATGTTTTTCTTAAAACAGAAAAAAAAAGGTGATCCAAATTATGTTGTTATCATATATGAACTTTAATCATGTTTAATATTCTCAGAGAAATAAAAGATAAGTTTGAGAATTTTTACAGTTGTACAGGGCTACAAAAGAAGCAGCAGCAGCAACACAGGCCACACATGGCCCACAAAGCCTACAATATTCACTGTCTGGGCTTTTACAGAAAAAGCCAGAAGAAAATATCCAGAATGATGTGGGGAGAGAAAAACAAAACCCCCAAATGCAGGAAAAAGCATTAGAGATATGATGGGAGGATGTAAGGAAAATAAATGTAATAGGAATCCCAGAAGGAAAGGAGAAAGAAGATGGGGCAAAAGACATATTTGAAGAAATAATGGCTTGGAATTTTCCAAAACTTAACTAAAAAATTCATGAAGCCCTATAAACACCAAACAGGACAAAGAAAATGAAAAGCACATCTAATCTATCATAATAAAACTGCTAAAAATCAAAAACTAGAAAAGCTTTAAGTAACCAAGGACAAAAGACAAGTCACCTTAAAAGGAGCATCAATAAGACTTGACAGCTTACTTCTCAGTGGAAATAATGAATGTGAGAAGACAATGGAAAGGTGCCTTCAACATGCTGAAAGAAAATACCAACCTAGAATTCTGAACTCAGCAAAAGTATCCTGTCATAATGAAAGTAAAGATATTTTAACACAAAAATGAAAAATAATTTATTACAAACAAACCAGCACTGAAAGAAATTCTAAAGGGTATTATTAGGTAGAAGGAAATCCAGAGAAGCAGCAAATAAGAGCACGAAAAAGGGAAAATAGATGGGCAAAAACGATGACTATATAAAGCAAATAGGATGTTGTAAAAGTTGGTAGAATCAAAATGGGGTCACTAATATTAAAACATACAAAAAACCCAACAGTACCCTGACAAATAGAGCTGGGGGAGGGTCATAAAGACAGGATTCTCATGCTTGTATGCCTGATAACAAAAAGTATCATAAAATACTCAACAGAAACCACAACCTTGCACAAACTCCATTGCAACGTTATACAAAAAAATACTTATTCAAAGATATCTGCCCAGCAACTGCCTGTCCAACCTCAGACGTGCATTACGCTTATTATTGACCTTTGTAGCCAAGGATAATTATTTCAAAACAATTATGTAATCCTCATTTTTTCCTTAAAAATCTATGTCTTCCTTTACCTCCCTGAAAACACACTTAGTTTACTATGGTGCATGTATCCCCACTGCAATGCTCTATTCCCAAATATTTTTCTTTCAGAGAGCCTATCTCATATTTATGCTGACATATATGGTGTCAGAAGTGAGACCCAAAAAAAAGATCACTATCAGATCAGCGATTATGGGAACCAGTGTGCAGTACTCATGTGAGCCTTTTGTGCTCTCTGCTTCTGCAGCTCACCTTTTCTGCCCTGGTGAGTCTTTTCCCAGGCTGAGCCTCCCACTTTTTGGTAGAGGCTTTTAAAATATTATTTGGGATCTTGTTTAGATAAGGTCACCTTAATAAAGGACCATACATTCCCTCCTCAGATGATAAAAGACTTTTTGTCTTCTGGTAAGCCCTTTTTGGTATAAAGACAAGTGTCTCTCTGAACACTGAGCTTTGGGTACCCAACTCTATATTCTGCAGAATTTACATTCTGTCTGTGAGGTAGGTCTTTTCTGGTGAATATATTTTTAGTGTGGTCTGTGTACCTATTTTAATGTTTTGTTTGATCTGAATGCCTGGGTTAAAATTTTTATGAACACTCTTGTCTTGGTCTCTTTTGATTTGGTTTGACTCTCTTCCCTTGCTTGTTTCTGAAAATCTTCTGAGAGCCAAAATAAATTTCTAAATGGTGGGTATGGGATAGCTAATTAAAAACCACTAGGGAAGGCCGGGCATGATGGCTCACGCCTGTAATCCCAGCACTTTGGGAGGCCGAGGCATGCAGATCACGAGGTCAAGAGATCGAGACCATCCTGGCCAACATGGTAAAACCCCATCTCTACTAAAAATATAAAAATTAGCTGGGTGTGGTGGTGCGTGCCTGTAGTCCCAGTTACTCAGGAGGCTGAGGCAGGAGAATCACTTGAACCTGGGAAGCGGAGGTTGCAGTGAGCCAAGATCGTGCCACTGCATTCCAGCCTGGCAACAGAGCAAGACTTCGTCTAAAAAAAAAAAAAAAAACCCACTAGGGAAGTCACCACCATCTAAAACACTGGTGTAAATGCTTGACATTTCCTGACAGGATTTACAGGATTTTCTTTGCTCTTGAGAGATTGATAAGAAATAGAATGGCATTCTCAAACATTAAGGCATGCCAGCTTTTCTGGGACTCCAGCCAGCTACATATTATGGCCCATTCTTGTGCACATGTTTAAACTGATAGGCAAAATTATATCAAGGAAAATTCAGAGCTCAAATGGTCATGATTCAAAAAACCTGGAAGTATCGAAGTACCATGTAGAGTCTTCTAAATTCTTTTTTTCCCTGCCTCCGTTGAATCTGCTGACTGTGCTACTGATATTGATTTAAAACTCAGTTTATGGCATTCCAACCAAGATTTTTTTTAAATAAAAAAGGAAGTAATGGTCTTTTTTTTTTTTTTTTTTGAGATGGAGCTTCACTTTTGTTGCCCAGGCTAGAGTTTAATGGTGCGATCTTGGCTCACTGCAACCTCTGCCTCCCGGGTTCAAGTGATTCTCCTGCCTCAGCCTCCCAAGTAGCTGGGATTACAGGTGCCCGCCACCATGCCCAGCTAATTTTTTGTATTTTTAGTAGAGATGGGGCTTCACCATGTTGGCCAGGCTGGTTTTGAACTCCTGACCTCAGGTGATCTTCCCACTTCGGCCTCCCAAAGTGCTGGGATTACAGGTGTGAGCCACAGTGCCCAGCTGGAAGTAGTAGTCTTAAAGGGCTTTTAAATGAATGGCTTTACAAATTACATCAGTAATTTGTACTGGTGTACAAATTGTAACCTAGACACCTTTTAGAAATATACATTTAGATTTGACTGACTAGCAATTATGTGCAGTGATGGAACACTTAATTGAAAAATTAATAATCTGAAAATAAAAAGAACTAGGTAAATGTTTATAAAAGTTAGGCTCCTGGATCAAACGAGTCAAAATCTTGAGCTCTGAGCAATTATATGCAGTATCTCTGTCCAACATAAACATTTTGCTTTTTCTGCCATGCTGAAGCCAAAAAGAAACATCTGCTGGGTGGGGGAAAACTGCTAAAATTCTTCACCATCTGTGTTTACTAATAAAGCAAAGCAGACTGGCCAAAAAAAAAGATTTGTTACTAGTTCAAGGCTACTTGAAGATGTTTTCCTTATTCAATTCCATCAGTCCTAGCTAAAATGTAAACATTGAAAATTTACCCCTAACCTCATTTGAAACTGAAAAGTGGGGGTGAGGAAGGTGAAAGAGGTTTTTAAAAATTCAAACTGCCATGAAAACTGCTTTACCCCAAATTTTGGTCCACAGCTTTCATTAGATTATCTATTGGGAAAAATAAAGTTTAGTCATGTGAACAGATCCCAATTTTGTCAGAAATATGATTTAGCTCTAACTGTCTTTTATAAAGGAATAAATTTGTATTTCTAGCTCATGACTAATATTCTAAAATGAAAGCTCTAAGATGATTGTGTATGTGTACATGATGTGTATATGTGTTTAGGTGTGTTTACATACATGTGCATGTATTACATTTTATGTTGTGTCGACATATAAAAATCTAGTATAGTCAACCAAAAATCCCTTAAGGAATTATATTAAGATAAATGAATGCTAATATAAAATAGTAATTTACCCAAATGCTTTTTAGTTCACATGACTTCAGTAAATCTTTTTTTTTTTTATTTTTTGAGATGGAGTCTCGTTCTGTCACCTAGGCTGGAGTGCAGTGGCACAATCTCAGCTCACTGCAACCTCCGCCTCCCAGGTTCAAGTGATTCTCCTGCCTCAGCCTCCTGAATAGCTGGGTCACAGGCACGCACCACCACACCCAGCTAATTTTTGTATTTTTACTAGAGATGGGGTTTCACTGTGTTGGCCAGGCCGGTCTTGAACTCCTGACCTCAGGCGATCCACCCATCTTGGCCTCCCAAAGTGCTGGGATTACAGGCATGAACCACCATGCCCAGCCCATAAATCCTTAATAAATAAGTTGGTTTTAAAATTATTGGTAAAAGGAAAATACAAATGTCTTCAAAGTATCATATAAATGTCTACAAAGTTTATAAAACTGTAAACCCAGCCTAAAACAGAATGATCTTTATGTTAGTTTTTTATAAATAAGACTAATATTGTTGATTTAATGGAAACAAATGTATCTTCTGTATTATTGGCAAAACACACATATATTTAACTTTAAGGTTCTTACTTAGGTGAACATCTGATATTTATAGGCTATAAAAATGGTTAACAGGAAAAAGGTTGGGCGTGGTGGCTCTCGCCTGTAATCCCAGCACTTTGGGAGGCTAAGGCAGGCAGATCATGAGGTCAGCAGTTCGAGACCAGCCTGACCAACATGGCAAAACCCTGTCTCTCCTAAAAATACAAAAATTAGCTGGGCATGGTGGTGCACACCTGTAATCCCAGCTACTCAGGAGGCTGAGGCAGGAGAATCACTTGAACCCTGGAGGTAGAGGTTGCAGTGAGCCAAGACTGTGCCACTGCACTCCAGCCTGGGAAACAGAGCAAGACTCCATCTCAAAAAAAAAAAAAAAAAAAAAAAAAAAAAAAGGTTAACAGGAAAATAACTTGAAATAATGACTAGCTTTGTCTAATATCTCAGTTTTTACAAGCAATCTAGGTAAACTGTCAAAAACTAAACAAATTAGGTAAATGTAAATGGGATAAATGCTTATAAATGAACTTTTCATGTAATTTGAAATTTTAAATTACATTAACTTAAATAATAGATACTCATTAAATGTGTGGGTCATTTCCAAATTAGGTAAAAATGGAAACAAATTACTAAACATAAGTTTGTTTTTGGCTTCTTGAATGTTATAAATGGGCTAAGTGTGTTTGGATCTATTAATTCATTTAAATATTATATAATCAGATAACATATTTCTAAAAATTATAAAATGGTTCTCATCTATAAAATACTAATATGTGATAGATAATTCAAGATTTTTTGCTTCCTAGGTTTTCACTAAAATTTAAGGTTACTGAGAGTTAAAATTCTAATTAATATATACAATTCTCCATATAAAAGTGTCAAAAATAAGATTTTTTAGTAAAAAAATTAAAAAGGCATAAAAATGTGTTTATTGGAAAAAGAATAATTTTGTATAATTTGGAGGTCATTTAAAGGTTGTTTCAAAATATGGAACAAGATAGAAATAAGGAGAGAGATATGTGAGGAAAGTTATAATATGCATATAAAGATATATTTTTGGTTTTAAAAAATTAAAAAGAAAAATAATAACTTTATATGAGAAAGAATCTTCTTTGATACATTTTGTCCTAAAATTAAATGACTAGTTATTTAAGAAAGAGGTTGTATAGGACAAAGCAGAAAGTCCAAGCATGTCGTCAGTGGTCTGAGTAAAGGGTGATAAGATTTATGAAAAGGAAATTTATGAAAGAAATTTTGTGTATGATCAAGTTGGCTATAATTAGAAAGAAATTATTTATAAGTCTACAAAGATTGAGCTTTGATATTAAAAGTACACTAATCTAATACCAAACTAAAAAGTTTGGTTCCAGATGTTAGAACAACAAAGTCATCCTTTTTTTTTGAGACAGTCTTGCTCTGTCACCTAGACTGGAGTCTAGTGGCATGAACACAGCTCACTGCAGCCTCAACTTCCTGGGCTCAAGTGATTCCCCTTCCTCAGCCTCCTGAGTAGCTGGGACCACAAGTGCATGCCACTGTGCCGGGCTAATTTT
Source organism: Homo sapiens (assembly GCF_000001405.40). NCBI lineage: Eukaryota > Metazoa > Chordata > Mammalia > Primates > Hominidae > Homo > Homo sapiens. Next base: position 132,702,819 of record NC_000009.12, read on the forward strand.
TAATTTTTTGTAGAGACAGAGTCTCACCATGTTGCCCAAGGTGGTCTTGAACTCCTGGGCTCAAGCAGTCCTCCTGCTTCAGCCTCCTAAAGTGCTGGGATTACAGGTGTGAACCACCATGCCCAGCCAAGTCTTGAACTATTGATTTGTTCTTAGGAAAATTATAAGAGGTTTTATTTTTATTTCTTAAATATATTTAACATCCATCTTCTAAACTCCAGACAGTTTCTATTTCTGAGATCTATTTCATTTCCCTAGTTTCAGGTTGGAAATACTGTCTTTTCAATTCAGAATGGTAATTTCATTTCTCAAGGTAACATTTTTCTTTTTGAAACTTCTCAGATTTATATCTCAGAAGTTCAACTTTTGCTGTACCTCACTGCACATGATTTGCAGGTCATAAGCCATTTTCCTGGGTTCTTTCTCTCCTTGGAAAGTTCTATCCTTTTGCTTGGCTGGTGTGTTAACTCTCTCCCTAAACCTTTTCATCAACTCCTGCAACTTTTTATCTGGCTATAACTCTGCTGTTATGGCCTGATGTTGAAATGTTTACCTTGATGGACGAGAAAAGCAATATTTTCAGTATAACTTGATTCTGTACTTCTGGCTTTGACACGTCAGAATTATTTAATATAGCAAGGAAGCTTCCTGTGCTATTACTAAGAGCCATGTGTCCCTCTGCTCAAGGTTCTAGTTTTCTTGTTTACATTCCTCTGTAATAGAATGTACACTCATAACCTGGGACACACTCTTCCTGGGTCTGATTAAATTCAAGTACTCTTTCATCAGGTTTGACTTCTAGGTTATGTAAATGGGCTCTCCATGTGGAGAAACAATCACATACAGGGGTTTTTTTTCTTTTTCACCTTTTTGGTAACTGGCCTAATAAAGCCAAAGATTGTATAGGTTTTTGATTACTTAGAAAAACTGAGCTTTAAATTTTTTGTTTGAGACAGGATCTCATTCTGTTGCCCAGGCTGGAGTGCAATGGTATGATCATGGCTCACTGCAGCCTTGACTTCCCAGGCTCAAGCAAGCCTCCCACCTCAGCCTCCTGAATAGCTGGGATCACAAGTGTGTACTACAACACCCGGATAACTTTTTAAAAAACTTTTTGTAGAGACAGGGTATTCCTATGTAGTCCAGGCTACTCTCTAACTCCTGAGCTCAAGTGATCTTCCCTCCTCTGCCTCTCAAAGTGCTGGGATTACAGGGGTGAGCCACTGCACCCATCCATAACCAAGCTTTAAAAGGGCTAATTTTTTAACATCCATTTAACTTTCTTTCTCTCTCTTCCTCTCTCTCTCTCTTTCTCTCTCTCTCTTTTGAAGACAGAGCCTTGATCTGTTCCCCAGGTTGGAGTGCAGTGGCACAATCTCAGCTCACTGCAACCTCTGCCTCCTGGGTTCAAGTGATTCTCCTGTCTCAGTCTCCCAAGTAACTTGGACTACAGGCACCCATCACCACACCTGGCTAATTTTTGTATTTTAAGTAGAGATGGGGTTTCACTATGTTGACCAGGCTGGTCTCAAACTCCTGACCTCAAGTGATCTGCCCACCTTGGCCTCCCAAAGTGCTGGGATTACAGGCATGAGCCACTGCACCCAGCCTCCATCCATTTAACTTTCTATGTTGCTTTGGAACTCTTTTAATTATCACTCTGGTTAAGTAAATGACTATTATTTTACAGTGACCTGTGATTCTGTTTTGATCAAGTATTTCAAACTTTTTGACATCTTTGACAGGTTTCCCCAGGATCAAAATTCTAAATTAAGTCTTACTGACCTAAAGTTAACTTTGGGATTTTCCAGTTGGGCCCCTGGAGAGCCTCAAAGGATGTATTTCTTATCTTGTAGAGATGCTAAATGATTAAGCTGATGTGGTCATTGTCAAATGATAGTGAAACTAGATCTTCTTTCAGTTATATTTATTGGTGTATTATTGATGTAAATGTTCCAAAAATTATATAAAATCACAAAATCTGATTTTATCAGTCATAATTTTGGTTACATTAAATTTTTTCTAAAGTGATGTTTGTATGGATGTGTTATTAATGGGAGTATTCTAAAGACTACATGAAATTTATAGAAGTCTGATGCTTCTGATGTGATACTATCATAGTCAGGATTCTGGTTCTCTCACCTGTGGAGAAAGGGCCAAGTGGAAGCTCCTAAAACTTCTGCCACAGCCAAGATAGTAAAACAGAGCAGGCCGGGCATGGTGACTCATGCCTGTCATCCCAGTAATTTGGGAGGCAGAGGTGGGCGGATCACCTGACGTGAAGAGTATTGAGACCAGCCTGGCCAACATGGCAAAACCCCATCTCTACTAAAAATATGAAAATTAGCGGGGTGTGGTGGTGCACACCTGTAGTCCCAGCTACTTGGGAGGCTGAGGCAGGAGAATTGCTTGAACCTGGGAGGCGGAGGTTGCAGTGAGCCGAGATTGCACCACTGCACTCCAGCCTGGGTGATGAGAGTGAAACTCTGTCTCAAAAAATAAAATGAATAAATAAAACAGAGCAATGCTGTAACTCAGGTGGAATCCTAAAGATCAATGTCACCTGCAAAGATTTAAAGATCGGGGAGGTGGTGGCCTCCGTCACATCCCTGCTTAATGTGCCAGGCTGGTCCCTGTCCAACCTGACGGATCTGACAGAGGAGGGGGGCTACCATAAATGCAATCAAGCCGGGGCCCCACCTGCAGCTGTTGTGCCAGACATAAGGTCTTCACCAGAGTATACCCACAGCCCTGGCAACTGATGTGTGCTGCATTGATGAGGCAAAGGCATTATTTTCAATCCCCATCAGAGAACAGGATCAAAAACAGTTTGCAATCTCCTAGGAAAGACTGAAATTCACATTTGCTGTCTTGCCCCAGGGTTCTGTTAACTTGTGTGAAGAAACTGAGGCTAACCTGACCCTGCTGGGGGATGTTATAGGATGTACCAGACACACTGCAGGGGCGACTATAAGAGGCACTGGTAATGCAGCATGAAGACCAAAATGTCAGAGCCAGCGTGATAAAGAATTATGACAGTCAGGCTGGACGCGGTGGCTCACACCTGTAATCCCAGCATTTTGGGAGGTCAAGGTGGGGAGATCACTTGAGATCAGGAGTTCAAGACCAGCCTGGCCAACATGGTGAAACCTCATCTTTACTAAAAATGCAAAAATCAGCCAGGTGTGGTGGTGGTGCATGCCTGTAATCCCAGATACTCAGGCAGCTGAGGCAGGAGAATTGCTTGAACCCAGGAGGTGGAGGTTACAGTGAGATCGTGCCACTGCACTCCAGCCCGGGTAATGGAGTGAGACTCTGTCTCATAAATAAATAAATATATAAAGAAACACAGGATGTCAGAGCAAGCTCAACACAACTACTGACGCAAATTCAATATCTGCTACTGAAACTAGGATGTATAACAACTGTAGCTCCTCTTGATTCCACTTGAATAGAGCTAAAAATCCACTACAACTCATTAGCCACTTGCTGGCATTCAGGGTATTTTTTTGTTGATCAGTAATTACATTTGTTGATCATATATTTATAAATGGGTATGTTCCTTTGGATCTCGATTTCTTCCCCACCCAAACTCGTCTGCTCTTCATTACAATATAATCCAAAGACATTTGTCTTTCCGCTCCACAAAACATCATGCTGCTCTGTTATGTCGACGGCAGCATCCTAACTGGACTTGGGAAACAGGAAAGTGGCAACTGCTTGAATGTGGGGCATATGTGTGCCAGAAAGTCGATGAAAAATACTACAATGATTCTGGGTCCTGTAATCACAATGAAGTTTTTATGGATCCAGTGGTCCAAGGCATGCCATGGCATTGTCCTTAAGGCAAAAAACAAGTTCTTGCACCTTTTACTTCCTACCACTGAGAAAGAGGCAAAGAGCTTCTGGCAGCCTCTACCAGGGACCCAGCTCCGGCTCACTTACTGAATAACTCAAAAGGCTGGTAGCTTTGTGTGAGGTCCGTAGCAAGAGAGGACTCCAGGTCCAGGCTGGGATGCAAGCTGGCCTGTCACTTGGGCCATGTTACCCAGAAGACCCAGTGGAGCTAGACACATCTATTCTACTCGACATTGCACTATAGGTCCTGGTCATTCCAATAAGGCGAGAGAGAGAAAGGTATAAAGATTGGGGGAAAAGGGCCAGGCATCGTGGCTCATACCTGTAATCCCAGTGCTTTGTGAGACTGAGGCAGGAGCATCACTTGAGGCCAGGAGTTTGAGGCTGCAGTGAACCATGATCACACCACCTCCCTCCAGCCTGGGAGACTGAGCGAGACCCTGTCTCTTAGGAAAAAGAAAAAAAAAATTGGAAAAAAGATATCGTATTCTCAGTCAATATGATATGTAGCCTGGGCAACATAGGGAGATCCTATCTCCACAAAAAAAAAAAAAAAAAAAAAAAATTAGCCAGGCATAGTGGTCCATACCTGTAGTCCCAGCTACTTGAGAGGCTGAGGTGGAGGGTCACTTGAGTCCAGGAGCTCAGGCTGCAGTGAGCTACAGTGGCACCATTGCACTCCAGCCTGGGCGACAGAGCGAGACCCTGTCACAAACAAACAAAAAATATGATTGGGTATGAAAAAAGTATAAAAGAATCGACTGATAAGTTATTAGCATTAAGAGACATTAGCAAGGTTTCTGGATCCAAAACGAATACTCAAAAATAAATTGTGCAAATATTCATAGCAGTTTTAGTCACAATACTCAAAACCTAAAAACAACTCAAGTATCCATCAATAGGTGACTATAGAAACAAAATGTAGAATAGCTACACAACGGTGTGTGGCTCAGCTACAAAAAGGAACAAATCAATAATACACATGAGCCGCTTACTGATTGATTAACTTAGCTCCAGATTCACCCTTCAGTCCCCACCTGCTGTCATTGGCTGGACTCCATCCTTCTTGGCTGTGGGCACGATATTCAGCTTTGTCAAAAGAGGGTGCTCAGGCCAGGTGCGGTGGTTCTTACCTGTAATCCCAGCACTTTGGGAGGCCAAGGCGGGCGGATCACGAGGTCAGGAGTTCAAGACCAGCCTGGCCAACATGGTGAATGAAACCCCGTCTCTACTAAAAATACAAAAATTACTTGGGTGTGGTGGTGGGTGCCTGTAATCTCAGCTATTCGGGAGGCTGAGGCCGGAGAATTTATTGAACCCGGGAGGCGGAGGTTGCAGTGAGCCGAGATCGCGTCACTGCACTCCAGCCTGGGGACAGAGTGAGACACCGTCTCAAAAAAAAAAAAAAAAAAGAAAGAAAGAAAGAAAGAAAAAGCGGGCGCTGGAGGGAGCCTGCAGAAGGCAGGGGCTTGTGGATCTGCTGCCTTTTCCTTCCTTCCTCCCTTCTTCTTCCTCTAGCATCCATGTACGTAGAGGACCGCAACGGTGCCCTGCCCCAGGCTTGGCTGCATGTCTCCACCCTGAAAGTAGCTGGCCTGTGGTTCCAGGATCCGCTCACACTGGCAGGGTGTGACCAACTCATCCTGGCTCTCCCAGAACCGGCCTGCTTTGAAAAGTGGAATGCCCATGTCTGGGAGCTCCCTCGGTCCCAGGCAAACCGGGATGCTTAGTTTCACCACAGACCAGACTCCTCCAACACAGCTTTTAAAGGAAGAGGAAAGCCCAGAACTCCGAGCTCCTCTCCCCAGGTGCTGAAGGGCCATGTTCCCACCAGGACCACAGCCCAGCCCTCCACAGCTAACGACAGAGGTGGTTGTGTGTCCGTCTTCAGGTTTTGTTCCCTTTTCCTCCCTTCCCTCTTTTCTCCTAAAACATGCGAAGGAAACTGGGGATAAGAGGGAGGCTTTCGACAATATTAGGAACATCTCTGACGTTCTTTCTCGAGAAAACGTAACATCTACCACCCTGGGTCCCCCGCTTAGGATCCTCACCGAGGACATCGATTTCAATACGGCGCTCCGAGAGCCCCTGGAACACCCCGGGGAAGTACAAGAGGTAGCGGCGAGTCAATCCAGGGACTCCAGCTGGGACCCCCGGCGAGTCCCTCGGCTCCATGCCCCTCCTTGCTTGCAGCTTCATCCTTGGAAACTGTTTCTCAAAGTGGTGCCTCGGCCCGTCTGCACGTGGAAGGCAAGAATCTGGGGGCCTCAAAATCTGCAGGCTGAAGGAGCTCCTCTGGTGCCGCTGACGCACACCGTAGCGCACCTGCGGCGTCTCGTGGCTGGCCCGTTCCCAGGGCACGCAGCTGCACTTCACCAGATGACGCCGATTGTCTCCTAGAGTGGTGGTGCCTGGTCCACCTCATCACAGTCTTCATGAGTTCCCCTTGCTCCCCATTCTGTCAATAGTAGAAGCGGCCAGATTTGTCAAATTGTTGCCAGTCTCAGAGCAGTACCAGTATCTCATTAGAACCTGCATTTCCCTGATTACTAATGACGTGGAGCTTTTGTCATGTATTTTATTGGCTAATCATGTTTTCTTCTGTAAAATGCCCATTCATGGGCCAGGTGCAGTGGCTCACGCCTGTAATCCCAGCCCTTTGGGAGGCTAAGGTGGGAGGATCACTTGATCCCAGGTGTTTAAGACCCCATCTCTTAAAAAAAAATAGTTGGGTGCAGTGGTGCATACCTGTATTCCCAGCTGCTTGGGAGGCTAAGGCAGGAGAAGCACGTGAGCCCAGGAGTTTGAGGCTGCAGTGAGCTATGATCACACCACTGTACTCCAGCCTGGGTGACAGAGCGAAACCACCTCTAAAACACACCAAAAATCCCATTCATGTCTTTTAAATATTTTTCTCTTCAGTTGTGTGTGTATGTGTGTGTGTATTGCTACTTAAGCCTGTCTCAAATGTATTCAGTGGTTTCATTAACATATACCATGTACAATAAAGGCCACAAACTTAAGTGCACAGCTTAGGATTTGAGTGTAACCGCTACCTGGATCGATACAGAACCTTTACATCACCCTAGAGTCCTTGTGCCCCTTCTCAGGCATGTCCCTCTTAGAGATGATTGCTATTAACAGTGCTTAGTTTGATCTGTTCTTGAACCTCATATAAATCAAATCATAAAGTGTGTGCTCTTTTGTGTCTGGTTGCGAGATTCATCCCTATTGAGGCATTTATCAGGAGTTTTTTATTGTCATGTAATAGTTTATAGCATGAATAAACCATAATTGATAGACACTTGTGCCATTTCCAGTTTGGGGCTAACATGAATTAAACTGCTTTTAACATTCTTATTCATGTCCCTTTCTATACTTATGCACTCGTTTTGTATATGCTAGGAGAGGAATTGCTGGGTCACAAGGTAGGCATGTTTAGCCTTGGCAGATAATTTCTTAACAGTTTTCCAAAGCAGTTAAGCCAATTTCCACTCCCACCAGCACTGTACAAGAGTTCCCACTGCTGTACGTTCCCTCCAACACTTGGTATTGTCAATCCTTTTAAATTCTGGTGGTGGGTGTGCAGGCATATCTCATTGTGACTTTTAATTTGCAAAACTTGGATCGCCAATGAGGTTAAGCGTTTTTTGTGTAGTTAATTGACCATTTGTGTTTTCTCCTGTTAAATACCTGTTCGTGTATGTTTCCATTTGTTTATTTGAATGCTTTTGACTTGGTAATATTTAGGAGTTGTGCACATATTCTGGACACTAATACTGTTTGGGTAAATGCATTGCAAATCTTTCCTCCCAGTCTCTCTTTCTTCCCTGGGTGGGTGGGGGGACTCTGCGCTTTGCCTCCAGTGTTCCATGTGTGGACAATTTTAACTGAAGATCTGGGCCATCAGGCTCAACACACACTTGTACGGCAACTCCGGCTTCAGCCTTCACCCGTCTGTCTGGATTCCTGCGTTCATGTCCTTTTTGGCCCTGAATGTTTCCTGCTAGCTCAGTTATAGTTACCAGCCCCCAGCCCTGTCACCATATTTCATTCAGAATTTTTAGGGGTTTGTTTTAAGAGGCATAATCAGGATCTCTAAGCTGCAGGTTGTCAGAACTGGAAGTCACCAGTTACTTTTGAATTTTCTTTCTTTCTTCCTTCCTTCCCCCTTCCCCTTCCCTTCTGACAGTCTCGCTCTGTTGGCCAGGCTGGAGTGCAGTGGCACAATCTCGGCTCACTGCAACCTCCGCCTCCCAGGTTCAAGCAATTCTCTGCCTTAGCCTCCTGAGTAGCTGGAACTACAGGCACATGCCACAACATTTGGCTAATTTTTGTATTTTTTATAGAGACAGGGCTTTGCTATGTTGGCCAGGCTGGTCTTGAACTCCTGGCCTCAAGTGATCCATGTGCCTTGGCCTCCCAAAGTGCTGGAATTACAGGTGTGAGCCACCATGCTCAGCCATGTTTGAATTTTCATGTTCTAACTATAAGCATCCTCCACAAAAGGCAAAGATCCTCAAAGTTCAGGTCCGCAGACACTTGATCAACGGTGGGATGTTTGCTACAAAAACAGATTTCCAGGCCCCGCCCTGAACTTGTTAAATCAGAATCTCTGGGGATAGAGCCCAGGAGTCTTATTTTTTATTTAATTTATTTAAAATTTATTTATTTATTTATTTATTTATTTATTTATTTTAAGACAGAGTTGCCTAGGCTGGAGTGCAATGGTGCCATCTCAGCTCACTGCAACCTCCACCTCCTAGGTTTAAGTGATTCTCCTGTCTCAGCCTCCCGAGTAGCTGGGATTACAGGCACCTGCCATCATGCCCGGCTAATTTTTTTTTTGTATTTTTGTAGAGACAGAGTTTCACCATACTGCCAGGCTGGTCTCGAACTCCTGATCTCAGGTAATCTGCCCACCTCGGCCTTCCAAAGTGCTGGGATTACAGGTGTGAGCCACTGTGCCCAGCTGAGTCTTTTTTATTTTTTATTTATTTATTTATTTTTGAGACAAAGTCTTGCACTGTCACCCAGGCCGGAGTGCAATGGCGTAATCTCAGCTCACTGCAAACTCCGCCTCCCGGGTTCACGTGATTCTCCTGCCTCAGCCTCCTGAGTAGCTGGGATTACAGGCGCACACCACCATGCCTGGCTAATTTTTTGTATTTTTAGTAGAGATGGGGTTTCACTATGTTGGCCAGACTGGTCTTGAACTCCTGATCTCGTGATCTGCCCACCTCAGCCTCCCAAAGTGTTGGGATTACAGGCATGAGCCACCACGCCCGACCTGAGTCTTATTTTTTAAACAAGCATTCCAGATAATTCTTACCTGCTGAGCTATTGCCCTAGGGACAGCCTCTCCTGGAGAGCTGCTCAGAGACAAAATTACATGCTTTGAGTGGCTAGAATACCCATATGCAAAAGAATGAAGCTGGACTCCATCCTCACACCATACAGAAAGGTTAACTCATAATGGACCACAGACCTACATGTAAGGCTAGAACTATACAACTCTGAAGAAAACATAGGAGCAAATCTTTGTGACTCTGGGTTAGGCAAAGCCTTTGTAGACACCAAATGTACACGTGACAGAAAAAATAGATATGTTGGACTCAATCCAAATTAAAAACTTTTGTACTACAAACAGCATCATCAAGAAAGTGAAAAGACAACCCACGGAACGGGAGAAAGTATTTGCAAATCATATATCTGATACAGGACTTGTCTTTAGAATATATAAAGAACTCAGCTGGGCGTGGTGGCTCATGCCTGTAAATCCCAGCACTTTGGGAAGCCGAGGCAGGTGGATCACGAGATCAGGATATCGAGACCATTCTGGCTAACATGGTGAAACCCTGTCTCTACTAAAATACAAAAAAAAAAAAAAAAAAAATTAGCTGGGCCTGGTGGTGTATGCCTGTAGTACCACCTACTCGGGAGGCTGAGGCAGGGGAATTGCTTCAACCCAGGAGGCGGAGGTTGCAGTGAGCCAAGATCATGCCAGTGCACTCCAGTCTGGTGACGGAGCGAGACTCTATCTCAAAAAAAAAAAAAAAAAAAAAAAGGACTCATCACTCCATAATAAAAAGATAAACCATCCCATTTTAAAATGGGCAAAGGATCTGAACAGACATTTATCAAAAGAAGACAAACAAATGGCCAATAAGCATATGAAGAGTTGCTCGACATTCTTAGTCATCAGGAAAGTGAAAACCAATAAGATACCACTTCACACCCGTAGGGTGGTTATAGAGACAGATATGAACAAGTGTTGGCAACAATGTAGAGAAATTGGATGCTTCATGTACTGCTGCAGGAAATGTAAAGTCTTGCAGCTGTTTTAGCAACAGCCTGGTGGTTCCTCAGAAGGTTAAACAGAATTATCAAACAACCTAGCAATTCCATTCCTGGGCATATACTCGAGAAATTAAAACATCTGTCCACATTGACCAGGCGCGGTGGCTCATGCCTGTAATCCCAGCACTTTGGGAGGCCGAGGTGGGCGGGTCATGAGGTCAGGAGATCGAGACCATCCTCACTAACACGGTGAAACCCCATCTCTACTAAAAATACAGAAATTAGCCGGGCATGGTGGCGGGCACCTGTAGTCCCAGCTACTCGGGAGGCTGAGACAGGAGAATGGTGTGAACCCAGGAGGCGGAGCTTGCAGTGAGCCGAGATCACGCCACTGCACTCCAGCCTGGGCGAAAGAGCGAGACTCTGTCTCAAAAAAAAAAAAAAAAAAAATCTGTCCACACAAAAACTTATATACAAATGTTCACAGCAGCGTTATTCATAACAGTCCAAAAGTGGATACAACTGAAATGCATTCAGCTGATGAATGAGTAAACAAAACGGCGCATTTTCATACGATGGGGTATTACTCTGCAATAAACAGGAATGAAGGACTGATCCATGCTACAACGCGATGAACTTTGAAAGCATCAGAAAGAAACCAGACACGAAAGGCCACATGTCGTGTGATTCCATGTATGATTGTATGTGAAATGTTCAGAATAGGCAAATCCATGGAGACAGAAGGTAGAGGAGTGGTTGCCAGGAGACTGGGTGGGGAGAAGGAAATGGGGAGTGACGGCTAATGGGTACGGGGTTTCTTTGTGGGGTGATGAATTGTTCTTAAATTAATGGGAATGGTACAATTCTGTAGATATACTAAAAACCATTAAATTGTACACTTTTATTTTTATTTATTTATTTATTTTTTTATTTATTTTGAGACGGAGTCTCGCTCTGTCGCCCAGGCTGGAGGGCAGTGGCGCAACCTCGGCTCACTGCAACCTCCGCCTCCTGGTTTCAAGCAATTCTCCTGCTTCAGCCTCCCAAGTATCGGGATTACAGGTGCCCGCCACCACGCCTGGCTATTTTTTGTATTTTTAGTAGAGATGGGGTTTCACAATGTTGTCCAGGCTGGTCTCAAACTCCTGACCTCAGGTGATCCACCCGCCTCGGCCTCCCAAAGTGTTAAGATTACAGGCATGAGCCACCATGCTCAGCCTAAATTGTATACTTTTAATGGATGAATTTTATGTGTGAATTATTTCTCAATAAAATTGTTTTATATATATTATCATTGAATACATATACATATATATATATATATAAAAGTGGCAAGGAAGTTTGTTGTTATTCATTCCCCTCTATTACATACAATGATAGAATTTCCCCCTGCCAGTCTGTTATGTTTTGTAGAGTGCATAAAGTTATCTATCACTACAGATGAGATCCTGATGCTTGCCCAGCTTCAGGTACAACCTCCCCATGAATCTAAGGCAGCGGGCTCAGTGAATAGACATCTCCTACCTGGGCCCATAGAGAGGTCCACAGTTTTTGTTCTTCCTCTCCATCTGGAGATCAGTGGAGTATCTTGCTGTTTTTGAGAATAACCAACTGGTGCCCCAGTGGTCATATGTAAATTAGATGTCACTGTCCTCATTCTGGCTGCAGGGACCAAGAGCAATTGGAAAAGATTCTCAAAGGAAATAAGAGCTTGGCCTGTAATCCCAGCACTTTGGGAGGCCGAGGCGGCTGGATCACGAGGTCAGGAGATCAAGACCATCTTGGCTAACACAGTGAAACCCCGTCTCTACTAAAAAAAAAAAATATATATATATATATATATATAAAATTAGCCAGGCATGGTGGCGGGCGCCTGTAGTCCCAGCTACTCGGGAGAGGCTGAGGCAGGAGAATGGCATGAACCTGGGAGGTGGAGCTTGCAGTGAGCCGAGATCGCGCCACTGCACTCCAGCCTGGGAGACAGAGTGAGACTCTGTCTCAAAAAAAAAAAAAAAAAAAAGAAATATGAGCTTGATAGGAAAAACTGGAGTTTACCGTTTGGACATCACTAAAATACAAAAGTGATGGCTATGAAACTTGACCTCAGCCCTCTCATGCCAGGGAAGGAATGACCAGGCTGGTAGGTCTGTAGCTTGTTCGATGCTCCTGAGCTGTTGATAAAAAATAAAAATTAAAAATAGGCTGGGCGCGGTGGCTCACACCTGTAATCCCAGCACTTTGGGAGGCTGAGGCGGGCGGATCATCTGAGGTCAGGAGTTCAAGACCAGCCTGGCCAACATGGCAAAACCCCATCTCTACTAAAAACACAAAAATTAGCCTGGCATGTGCCTATAACCCCAGGTACTCAGGAGGCTGAGGCAGGAGAATTGCTTGAATCTGGGAGGCAGAGGTTGCAGTGAGCCGAGATGGTGCCACTGCCCTCCAGCCTGGGTGACAGAGCAAGACTGTGTCTCAAAATAATAATAATAATAATAATAATAATAATAATGATGAAATTGTTTTGCTAAAGGGCAAACTTTGTTGTTAGGTCCTAGAGCCTGGGCCCTGGCCCTTCTGCCCTTCTTGGTATCTGGAGCTGACCCTTGGAACCTCTGTGCGTGGATACAAGTGTAAAATTGGTCCAGTGCACAGTGCAGGGCTTTGTCTGTCTTATCACCTGCTATAGGCCCAGAAGAATGGGTGCTTCGGGCAGAATGGGTTTGTTTAATATTTGTGGAATGCATGAACCTAAGAACTGAAAAATTCATTAACTCAACTTTTTTTCTACTTTACTTGATGGAGACAGCTTTAATAATGACCTTGGTCTCCTCCGGTTAGAAGTGGACAAGGGACCCTTTATTATTATTATTATTATTATTATTATTTTATTTTTATTTATTTATTTTTCTTTTTGGAGATGGAGTCTCACTGTGTCCCCAGGCTGGAGTGCGGTGGCGCAATCTTGGCTCACTGCAACCTCTGCCTCCCAGGTGCAAGCGATTCTCCTGCCTCAGCCTCCTGAGTAGTGGGAATTACAGGCATCCACCACCATGCCGGGCTAATTTGTTGTATTTTTAGTAGAGACATGGGTCTCACTATGTTGGCTAGGCTAGTCTCCAACTCCTGACCTCAAGTGATCTGCCCACCTCAGCCTCCTAAAGTGGTGGGCTCACAGGCGTGAGCCACCTCACCCAGCCAAGGGACCCTTTTTAAATGCTCAAGGCTCTGGCCACAGAATCCTCAGTCTCCCCACCTGTAGAATGGGTATCACAGAAGGGACAAGTCCAGGGGAGGAAGAAGCCTTGGCCCTGGAGGCAGGAGACGTTGATTCCTTCCTGCTCGGGGCCTCTGTTTCTCCCTCTGTGGGAGGAATGAGTTGGGGGGATCTTGTTGGTTGCCTTTCTACAACCTCAGTGTTTGTTTGTTTGTTTGTTTTCCCAACCAAGTCCTCTTTTGGTTGAGATATTCACTCGTCCGGCACATGGCTAAGGCTCCAGGGCAGACTGAGCGTTTCCTAATTAGTCTAAGATGATCAGCACAGGGCACCCCCTGGTGAAGGCTGTGGACCCAGGCCTGGGCTTGGAACTGAGACAGAAGTGAAGCGCTCACAGCCCAGGTTTGGGAGAGTGGTCCCCATGTGCCCCTCGCGCTCACAGCCCAGGTTTGGGAGAGTGGTCCCCACGTGCCCCTCGCGCTCACAGCCCAGGTTTGGGAGAGTGGTCCCCACGTGCCCCTCGCGCTCACAGCCCAGGTTTGGGAGAGTGGTCCCCACGTGCCCCTCGCGCTCACAGCCCAGGTTTGGGAGAGTGGTCCCCACGTGCCCCTCGCGCTCACAGCCCAGGTTTGGGAGAGTGGTCCCCACGTGCCCCTCGCGCTCACAGCCCAGGTTTGGGAGAGTGGTCCCCATGTGCCCCTCGCTTCCCTTCCCTCCCTCTTTTTCGGTGAGGAGAACAATGGCTTTCCTGAAAGTTCTCATTGGCCAGAACTTTGTTCCATGGTCATCCTAGTTGCAGGAAAATCAGTAGTTTTAGGTGGTTACCTTAGTAGCCTGAACAAACTGTGCGTTCGATGGCATGGAGGAAGGGAATCCTCAAAGGAAGGCATCCATCCGTGTCTGCCTCACCAGTAAAGAACATTTAGGGGCTGGGCATGGTGACTCATGCCTGTAATCCCAGTACTTTGGGAGGCTGAGGCAGGAGGATCACTTGAGCCCAGGACTTCAAGACCAGTCTGGGCAATGTAGACAGAACCCCGTCTCTACCAAAAATAAAATTACCTGGGCACGGTGCTCTGCATGGCTGTGGTTCCAGCTACTTGGGAGGCTGAGGTGGGAGGATCACTTGAGCCTGGGAGGTCAAGGCTGCAGGGAGCTATGATTGTGTCACTGCACTCCAGGCTGGGACTGGACCATGTACCAAGAAAAAAGAAAAAAAAAGAAAGAACACTTAGGTTCTGTCTCTTCTTCCTCTATCATTCTGTTATGAAGTGTGGCAGTAAACATCCTTGAACGTGTCTACTTGTGCACGTATGAGTTCAAGGGTAGGAGCTGAGAAGTGTCATTGTCCCATGTTGAATGGGTGGAGTACGTTATGTGCATTTCACATTTTAGTAGATGCTGTCACGGTGCCCTACAAGGTGACTGAACCAACTCATATTTCTCCTGCAGTGGGACAGAATCTGTCTCCCCACTTTCATCAGTCAGTGCTGTCTCTCTAGGGCTGGATGGTGCGGCTACCTTGTTCACGAAACGTGGGGGAGTCAGTGACAGGCAGGACAGCACAGTGGGGTCACGTGCTCTAGGTCGGCCGCCAGCTGCCTGTGTGAGCTGAGGAAACCCCTGCCCTCTCTGAGCCACAGTTTTCTCGTCTGGACAATGGAGATCATAAGTTTTGTACTTTGCCAGGCTCTTGTGTGGATGAAATGAGCCCGTGTGTGCCAAGACCTCATCATGGGGCTGGCCCAGGACCGATGCACAGCACGTGGACTCCCGCCTATTTGCTGTCTGCAGAGCCCTCAGATGCCTTCTTTTCCAGATCAGGCCAAGGAGCGGTGAGGACTAAGCTCTGATTTTTTTAATCTTGCCCAAATTCCTTTCTAAGGGGTCTGGGAAGTCATGCCCTACAAACCATAAATTCTCATCAGATAGGTTTTATTTAACGCTGTATATCGTGACTTACTTTCCAATCTGACTCTGGCATAACAAGGGAAAAAGTCAACATCTTTTACTCCAAAATATATTTCCTTGCCATGAAATTCCTTCCTTGAAATGCCTTGGAATCGCCCTGCAAAGTCTCTTGTGGGAAAAATCCACATTCTATAGAGAATCCCCTTCCCCTTTGTTTTCCTTCCTTCCTTTCCAGATCCAGGAGAAAATCAGCTAAGAGCCAGGCACCCTTTTAAGTCCGATAAGAAACATTTTACAACCTGCTCTCTCTGAAGTCTGCTGTCTGAGAGCTTCCTCTGCACAATAAAACTTGATCTCCACAATCTTTTATCTTAACCTCAACATTTCCTTTCTATTAATCCCAGGTCTTCAGATAAACTCAACCAATGGTTGACGAGAAAATGTTTAAATTTACCTATAGCCTGGAGGCCCCCCACCCTTTGAGTTGTCACGCCTTTCTGAACCAAACCAATGTATTTCTTAAATGTATTTGATTGATGTCTCATGTCTCCCGAAAATATATAAAACCAAGCTTTATCCCAACCACCTGGAGCACATGTTCTCAGGACCTCCTGAGGTTTGTGTCACGGGCCATGGTTACTCATATTTGGCTCAGAATGAATCTCTTGGCTGGGTGCAGTGGCTCACACTTGTAATCCCAGCACTTTGGGAGGCTGAGGTGGGCGGATCATGAGGTTAGGAGATTGAGACCATACTGGCCAACATGGTGAAAATAAAAATACAAAAATTAGCTGGGCGTGGTGGCGGGCGCCTGTGGTCCCAGCTATGCGGGAGGCTGAGGCATGAGAATCACTTGAACCTGGGAGGCAGAGGTTGCAGTGAACTGAGATCGCACCACTGCACTCCAGCCTGGCGACAGAGAGAGACTCCATTTTAAAACAAACAAACAAACAAACAAACAAAAAACTCTTAAAATATTTTACAGAGTTTGACTCTTTTGTCAACAGGGAGTAGCACAGTTCCTCCCCTTTTAACTTCTGTCAACCACAATGATTAACATGGCAATCAGACCAGAGCTTTCACCACGGGATCACTGCCTGAAGAAACAAGGCTAAATGGAAGCAAGCATATGGATTAAAACTGAAAATGGGCCGGGCATGGTGGCTCATGCCGATAATCCCAGCACTTTGGGAGGCTGAGGCGAGAGGTTCACTTGAGCCCAGGAGTTACCAGCCTGGGCAACACGGCAAAACCCTGTTTCTTCAAAAACTACAGAAAGTAGCCAAGCATGATGGCGCATGCCTGTAGTCCCAGCTACTTGGGAGGCTGAGGTGGGAGGATGGATTGAACTGGGGAGGTCGAGAGAGGAAGCAGTAAGCCGAGATCACACCACTGCACTGCAGCCTGGGTGACAGAGCAAGACCCTGTCTCAAAGAAAAAAAAAAAACTGAAAATGGGGCACTTCTATACATATGTATTTTTTTTAGTTTTTTTTTTTTTTTGAGATGGAGTCTCGCTCTGTCGACCAGGCTGCAGTGCAGTGGCGCGATCTCAGCTCACTGCAACCTCCGCCTCCCGGGTTCAAGCGATTCTCCTGCCTCTGCCTCCCAAGTAGCTGGGACTACAGGTATCTGCCACCATGCCTGGCTAATTTTTTGTATTTTTAGTAGAGATGGGGTTTCACCATGTTGGCCAAGCTGGTCTCGAACTCATGACCTCAGGTGATTCACCCAACTTGGCCTCCCAAAGTGCTGGAATTACAGGCGTTAGCCACCATGCCCAGCCACTTCTATACATATTGAAATTAAAAGTTGACTACATTACACTACATGGTTGAATAACAAGGCAAGTTATCTGTGAGAGTTGAAATCAGGATCTCAAAGAGACTTCTGCACGCCGATGTCTCTTGCAGCATTATTCACAAGAGCCAGAATATGGAAACAACCTAAATGTCCATTTATCAATGAGCAGATGAAGAAATTGCAGTCTATGCATACAATGAATTGTTAGCCTGAAAAAAGGAAGGAAATCCTGCCATATGCTACAATATGGATGAACCTGGAGGACATTATGCTAAATGAAATAAGTCAGACAAAGGAGGACAAATACAGCATGATTCCACATATAGGAGGTTTCTAAAAATAGTCAAACTCACAGAAGCAGAGAGAAGAATGGTGGTTGCCAGGACCTGGGAGTGGGGTGGGGAGGAGGAGCTGGAGGGGAGCTGTTCAAGGAGTATAAAGTTTCAAGTTGTGCAAATGAATAGTTTTAGGGGTTTGCTGTGCAACATTGTGCTTCTGGGTAGCAATACGGGATCGTACACTTAATTTGTTAAGGGTATATATCTTATGTTAAGTGTTCTGTATTAGGCCTTTCTTGCGCTGCTATAAAGAAATATCTGAGGCCAGGTGCGGTGGCTCATGCCTGTAATCCCAGCACTTTGGGAGGCCGAGGCAGGCGGATCACCTGAGGTCAGGAGTTCAAGAGCAGCCTGGCCAACATGGTGAAACCCCGTCTCTACTAAAAATACAAAAATTAGCTGGGTGTGGTGGCGGACGCCTGTAGTCCCAGCTACTCGGGAGGCTGAGGCAGGAGAATTGATTGAACCCAGGAGGCGGAGGTTGCAGTGAGCCGAGATCAAGCCACTGCACTCCAGCCTGAGCGACAGAGTGAGTCTCCATCTTGAAAAAGAAAAAAAAAGTGCATTTAAAATGATACTTTTAAATGACCAGATCTAGAAAGAACTCACTCAGTATCATGAGGACAGTACCAAGGAGATGGTACTAAACCCTTCATGAGAAATACTGCCCCCACCATGATCCAGTCACCTCCCACCAGGCCCCACCACCAACACTGGGGATTACAATTGAATATGAGATTTGGGTGTGGACACAGATCCAAACCATAGCATGTTCTTACCTCTTATAAAGTAAATTACAGAGGCGTCTACACAATCCACTCCCATCAGTGTTTATGGGATTGTATTGAACATCCGTCCTCCCATCCACAGCAACTGACACACAAAACTTTTGACTGTGATCATCTCTAGTGAGTGACACTTAAGGGTTTATTGGAGTGGGGATGCGATGTTTCCTTCCTAGGTGAGGTGCATATGCTGTCTTGTTTGGATTTTTGTGTAAGAAAAGTTTTTCTTTCTGAGATGAAGTCTCGCTCTGTCAGCCAGGCTGGAGTGCAGTGGTGTGATCTCGGCTCACTGCAACCTCTGCCTCCTGGGTTCCAGCGATTCTCCTGCCTCAGCTTCCCGAGTAGCTGGGATTACAGGTGCCCGCCACCATGCCTGGCTGATTTCTGTATTTTTGGTAGAGACGGGGTTTCGCCATGTTGGCCAGGCTGGTCTCAAACTCCTCAGGTGATCCACCTGCCTTGGCCTCCCAAAGTGCTCGAATTAGAGGCGTGAGCCCCCATGCCTGGCCAGGAATATATTTTAACATTAAAAAAGTATTATAATAATATAGTTATGTTTCTATTTTTTAAATGGAAGCATATTCCATAGTCCAGTCATATGTCATGTTTTCTTTTTGTCACAGGATCCTTGGGGTGTTACTTCACCAGTCGAAAACCTCTATGGCTGGCGGCATCTTCTGCCTGAGTGTTGCTTGCGCCCACTGGGCTTGTTCTGCCTACTCTGCTTGCACTACCAGCCTGCCAAGGGCAAGCCAGGTGCAGAGCAGCGAGGGATGTGTGAGCGAGCAAGTGTGGCGTCTGGCCACTGCACATAGCCAAGCATGCTGGCTGTGGTGGGGTGAGCAGCTCCAGGGGCCTGTGCCGGCTCCGTGTGAGGCTGCGGTGGGACCAGGTGTACCACACGCAGCTTCTGCTGTGGGCACCCGCGTCTGGATGAGGGGAATGTGGTGGCTCCAGGAAGCTTGGAGACTCCAGGAACCACAGAGCCCCAGAGAAGGTGTCATAGCCTTGGCTTGGGGAGCCCCTTGGTCAGGGCTCCCTGAGGGGCCGCAGCTCTTCTCTCCTTCTTGTTGCCTGCAATGTGATGAGTGGGGGGCTGCGGGGTGGGGGGGACATGTTTCAGCCCTGTTTGTGTTACAGCTCTTTCAGTCCCGCCATTCGGCAGGTCCTGAGTTCTTGTCCTGCATCCAGGAAGAATGAGGTACAGGGACAACGGGAGGGTGAGCAAGGTGGAGAGAAGTTTCATTGAGCGACAGGACAGCTCTCAGGAGACCCGAAGTGGGTACCTCCTTTCTGCAGGCAGGTCGTCCCAACTCAGGAGACCTGAACTGGGTAGCTCCTTCCCACAGCTGGTCATCCCAATGTCTTGGTGAGTGTGACTGAGTCCCAGGTTTTATGGGCTTGGGCTTCAGAAGGGAAGAAGTAGATGCTGACTGATCCATGGGCAGCCATGGGTGGGTCTGGAAAAAGCACCCTAAGTTCTCACTCCAGGCCATGGACTCTACCAGAACTGAGCCTGGCCCACCACGCTTCAGGCCGTCCCTGGCTTGAAGGTGGGGCCTCACCAGGGACCTGCCCCTTTCCACCCAGGAGCCTGTCTGCCTCTTGCTGCCATTGATCATGTGCTCCATGGCACCCAGGCTCTTCCCGCTGAGGGGTGCCTACAGGCCAGTGCCCAGCTGCCCTCAGCTCCCCTCCAACCTCCCTCTCTGTGTTTCTAGGCAAAGTCCGAAGCAGCAGGGGGTTGGAGTGTCATTGTGCCCAGAGCACACACCCGGCCCTGGGTCGTGACAGCGCCCAGGCTTGGCCTCAACTTTGCCAGCTTCCGAGCCTGCGGTGGTGGTGATGTGGCTTCCCAGGCCCCAGGCAGGGATGCCTGGTCCGCGGCAGTTGCCTCCGTGGAAGGAGGCAGGGCTCCCACTGCTCCTTGGAGCCCACAGCCTCAGCCACACCTCCCCCACCGCCGCCAATGTCTTCGAAGCTGCAGCTCCAGATGGGCCACCGCGGCCATCATTTTCATGCCTCTGAACCCTCAAGTGTGCCTTAAAACTCAGCTCCCAAGTGACCTGCAACTCCTTAGGGGGGCTCCCGTGAGTCCTGATCTCATTTTAAATTCCCTCTCACCTCTCACCTGCTTTCCTGGGTGAGTCCTAACCTCTCTCTACGTTAGTCCTAATTGTACCACTGTGTTCTTAAAACTCATCTGACCCATCTCTAGGTTAGTCCTAACTGTACCACTGTACTCTTAAAACTCATCTGACCCCCAGGCTAAAGAGGTGAGCATGTTGGGAGAATAGAGGAATGTTTAATGGAACCCAAGGGCAGGGATGGATCTCAGGAATGATCAGAAATCAGATGTTCTGTCTGCTCTGTGAACTGTAAGCCTCTGGGGTTTGTTTTTTTGTTTGTTTTGTTTTGTTTTGAGATGGAGTCTCGCTCTGTCACCCAGGCTGGAGTTGGAGTGCAGAGGCGGGATCTCGGCTCACTGCAAGCTCCGCATCCCGGGTTCACGCCATTCTCCCACTTCAGCCTCCTGAGTAGCTGGGACTAAAGCATTTATTATCACTGAATAAATGATGTAATCACTAAGGATTTACATCCAAATGGCGTTTCATTTGAGATCCCTTCCAGGGACCAGGAATGCCAGGCAGAAGGGGAGAGCCACAGAGGGAAGTGACCAGAGCCAGGCCTGTGCTGGCCAGCTTTGAGGTCCGCTGTCTCCTCCAGCCTGGGGGCTGGTCCAAGGGGCAGAGCTTCATCACCCAGCATGGGGCATTTACAACCTGGATGTGCAGACTGTAACGGGGGCCTCCTGAGGCTGGATGGAGGCTTCCTGGTCAGGGGCACATTGTCAGAGAAAGTTCAGGGTACACACCCTCTTCCCCCCAGGGGTCTTTGGGAAGAACTGAGCCCTGGGCAGGGGAGGCCCCTGATGGAATTTCAGGAGGTGGTATCCAGTGGCTGAGCAGGGCAGGGAGGCAGTGTGGAGACTGAGCCGCCAGGCACAGGGAAGATGCAGGAGGCAGGACCTCTGGAGAAGGCCCCTCAGAGAGGGCCTGGGCTGGCCTGGCGTTCAGCCTGCCTGCAACCAGGGCAGAAGCAAAGGAGGTGGGCCCAGGAAGCTTGGCTCAGCTCATGGGAGCTGCTGGCTGGCCTGGTCCTTGGCTACCATGGTTGGTGCGAGGGTTAGATCTTTGCTGGAAGGGCTCTAGGCTACCCTAGATTAGAAGGGGCTTTAGCCATCAGGCCCAGACTCCCAAGCTTCCCACAGCCCCAGAGGCTAGAACCCAGGCTGGCCTGGGCTGCTGAGGCCAGGTAGGCAGAGCACAGGTGTTGCCCAGAGCACTGGGTTCAGGTCTAGCCTTGGATCCAGGTGACCTCAGGCATGGCACTTACCCTCTGTGGTCTCAGTGTCCTCGTGTCGCTGGGGGAACCCCCAAGCACCTACCTAATGAAGACCATTTGGAAGGTCAAAGGAAATAATGGGAGAAGAGGATCGATTGCTCCATCAGCCTAAGATGTCACTGTCGCTCTGGCGTCTGCTCCTGGGCCCTGTGTGCTCTGCAGACCCTAGAGAGACCATTTCTTTTCACTTCGTGGGACCTGAAGAAGCAAGTCTAAAGAAACAGCTACATCTGTCAAGAACTGTGCTATATCCATCAAACACTGCATTACATCTCTCTAGAGGCAGACAGCTACGCCTGTTATCTGGAGCCGCAAGTTGGCTATTTAAATTTGTGAAAATTAAATACAATGTTGAAACCATCCCCTCGGTTGCACTCGTCACTTTCAAGTGCCCAATAGCCACCCATGGCTAGTGGCTGCCACATTGGACAGGCAGATGGAGATCATGCTCTTCATTACCGAGAGCTGTGCTGGATGGCGCCGCCCAAGAGATGGGTGTTTCTTGGTTTTTTTGTTTTGTTTTGTTTTTTGAGATGGAGTCTCGCTCTGCCACCCAGGCTGGAGTGCAGTGGCGTAATCTTGGCTCACTGCAACCTCCGCCTCCCGGGTTCAAGCGATTCTCCTGCCTCAACCTCCTGAGTAACTGGGACTACAGGCTTGAGCCACCACGCCCAACTAATTTTTGTATTTTTAGTAGAGACGGGGTTTCACCATATTGGCCAGGCTGGTCTCGAACTCCTGACTTTGTGATCCACACGCCTCGGCCTCCTAAAGTGCTGGGATTATAGGCATGAGCCACTGCACCCGGCCAAGGTGGGTGTTTTAAAAGCTGTGTTTGTTGAGTGCTTCCAGAGCCCGGCACTGCGCTGAGATCTTCATCGGCATCACCACTCTTTATCCCACAGCCACCCTGCGAGGCGGCTACGGTTTTTAGCCTCAAGTTGGTTGTGAGAAGAGAGGCTCTGTGGGTTGGGACTCCAAGGACACACCATGCGTTGGTGCTGGAGCCACCATTTGTCCCAGGTCCGACTCCAGAGACCCGGCCTGCACTCCACTTTATCATCACTGTGGTCTTCACCTGTCCTGTGTCCCCAGACCCCTACACGAGGCCAACTTCCGGCCACCTCACCTTCAGGACGTACGAGACTGTATCCAGCAGGCTTTATTGGCTTTTTAGGGGAGCTGTGCCGAGGCTGGGGGGCTGGGGGCAGGGGATTAACTCTTTCCCTGGGGCAGCGCTCCTGGCTCTGAACCCATCAGGGGATTTTCTTGGGCAGGGGATTAATGATCCCACTCTCGATGTATTCGAAGACTGTGTATGGGTCCTGGTCCCCATTGAGGGTGATGGCCGACCCATACAACTGCTCCAAGTCAGCTGAGTTCCTGTAGAACAGGTCCATTTTCAGCTTGACCTGCTCTTCAGCATCCTTTGGGTTCTGCAGGAGGCGAGCCTGGATCTCCATGGTGGGAGGTGGCTTGTACATGAGGTGGTACCTGCAAGGGAGGAAGGAAAGCAGGTGACCCATGGCCTGGCCTGGAAGCAGGGGAGAAAGGGACCCTCTACTCTACTGTGGACCAATTTGGGGTGTCCTGGCCACCACCACCATCACCAGCCATTTACTACTGTGTACTGCTGTGTGCACACCTTTGACTGATGGGCCCTGGAGCTACAGAGAGATCCAAGATGTGCTCCCCGCTCAAGGGAGAGGGAGAGAGATCAGTGATAGGAGGACAGAATACAATCATATATGGGCAAATTCTTTCCTTCCTCCCTCCCTCCTTCCCTCCTTCCTTCCTTCCCTCCTTCCTTCCTATCTCCCCTCCCTCCCCTATCCTCCCTCTCTTCTCTCCCTCCCTCCCTCCCTTCCTTTCTCTTCTTCTTCCTTTTTCTTTTCTTTTTTGAGACAGGGTCTCACTCTCTTGCCCAGGCTGGAGTGCAGTGGCGCGATCTTCGCTCACCACAACCTCTGCCTCCCAGGCGTGCACCATTACTGCCCAGCTAATTTTTGTATTTTTAGTAGAGAAGGGGTTTCACCATGTTGGCCAAGCTGGTCTCAAACTCCTGACCTCAGGTGATCCACCTGCCTTGGCCTCCCAAAGTGCTGGGATTACAGGCGTGAGCCACCATGCCCGGCCTCTTGTTCCTTTTTCCTCCCTTCCATTCAATGTTTATCTGCACTGAGTCCTGTGTTAAATCTGCCACTGACAGTGCCATGGTAAGCAGGACAGGCGCTGGCTCTGTGCCTATGGAGCTCACAGTCAGATGAGGGAGTGGGACATTACAGCAACTGTGGAGATGGAAGGAAGTACTACAGCCGTTCACTGTTGGGAGAGACCGCAGGGACAGGGTGACATGAAGGCCACAGCACTTGAGATGGGAAAGCTAAAAACTCCCATGACAAATCAGGTCTACATTTTAGAAAAATCCCTGCACTTCCTTCCTGCCCGCCCCCCACCCCACTCCTGCGTCCCTACCAAGAAATGTGACCCTGACTGTCAGGAGAGATGACAACACCCGCCTCTTAGTGATTGTGGGGTTTCCATTGCATTTCAACATGAATGCAGTGATTGTATTTGGTCAGACTGCAGAATCAAACTCGGAATCTACCTCCTGTAACTATGGGAAGCCTCAAAGGCAACTTGTGCCCATGGGGATGTGTTTGTACAGCAACCACCACTGGGATGCATCGTGGCTCAAGGAAAGGCCAGTGAGGAAACAGGTGACGCCCACCCAAGGCTGCTGTTTCACATGCTGGGATTAAGCTGTTGATCCCAGGATAGAGTGGGTGAACATTTCACCATTGTGTTGCTTTAGACATAAATTTCCTGGTTATTCTTCCAGGCAAAGACGGTCAACAGATATTGCACAGAACAGCCAGTTGGATAAAGTCCATTTTGATAATCGTCCTTCAGTGGTCACCAGTGTTATCCCTGCAGTGTTTCCACCATGGCATTGGTCAGTCAGTTGGGTCTGGCCCCTGGCAGTCCCCAGACTGCCAACCACCAGGAACACAGCACAAACCTTTCCCCAGTGACTGGATCAATTCTTCTCAGAGTCAGCCGCTCCATGATGGAATCAAATGGCACATTCAGGAAAAACACCCTATAAGGAAATAAACCATATTAATAATGGTTTTTATTTCCTGTATTTTATGATGCTGTGACATCCTGGGGTCTTGAGAATCCTGGAGAGACTGCTCCTCCCAGGGCTGGCCGATTCCTAGAGCCAGCAAGCAATGTGCCTGCAAACCTGCCTTTCATGTACAACCCAACCACTCCAGAGCCTGTGTCCCCCCAACCGCCTCCTTCATCTGACTCTCACACCCCAAACCAATATTCTTCCTGCCCTAAATCACCTCAGGGCCGGGTGCCAGGCAACTAGAGACCATCCCTGTAGACCGAGCTTGGCAGAATTATTCAAACTGCCCAGTCCTATGCTCACTGTGACTTGTCTGCATTCTGGGACACGCTCTCCCCTCACTCCTGCTGCCACCTGACCAACCCTGGTGCCTCCCCAGGTCCTGCAGGGCATGGTGTGCCCCCCTTTTCCTGGGAGCTGTGAGTAACAAACTCTTCTTTCAGTGGGATTGACCTCTCTGTATCATCACCTGGTTACCTCTATACATTAGATTTTGGGTGCAATTAAGACAAGAACAAGCAGATGGTCATGGGGAGCAAACCCAGGCTGACTCTCGTCACCCCAGACGAGGGTGGGCATCATTTTCCACATGTGGGTGGAGCCACTGGAGCCACTGCTCAGGGCTCTGGGATACCACACTTGGAGGTCACCAGGGACAGATGCGGGACAGCAGGGCTCCCTGCAAGGACGCACTAGGCTCCCCTGGTTCAGGGATAGCTCTCAGCCCCCATCACTCCTGGGGTTGGGACTCCCGGGGATGGGGGTCATTGTTTGGGTGAGCTTTGGGGGAACATCTTGTTCTCTAGAGTCACACAGACTTGGGCTAGACTCTCACCTCCACTATGGACTTGCTGTGTGAGCTTGGGCCACTGACCCAGCCTCTGTCAGACTCAGTTACCCCAACTACAAAATGGGGCTAATTATAGTTCCCTGGTGTTGAAGATTTAACAAGATAAAGTGTGTGACAAACTCAGTGTGAGGTCTGCACAGACTCGGTACCCCAGCGTGGCAGCTGTTATAATTTAATCACCATTCCTAGATACCCTTCCTGGGAGTTCAGGCTCCCTGACTTCCCCTGTCCTCCTTGGAGAGGTGGAGGTTGGTTGTTCTCAGCTTTCTCACTTCCTCTTTCTCAAAGGAGCCCTGGACCCAAAGGAGCAGGACACTCCTGCTAATAAGCCCAAATCAGAACCCAGCAGAAGAGATGAAGGGCTCACTTCTCATGATTCTCAGACTGGGAGCACCAGGGAATTCATCTCTCAAACTCCTAGTTCCAATGGTTTCATCCCCACCCCCCTTTTTAGGGCAATGGAACACTTACTTTATATGAAACCTTTTTTTTTTTTCTTTTAGAGGCAGGGTCTCACATTGTTGCTCAGGCTGGAGTGCAGTGGAGTGACCTCCCAGGCTCAGTCAATCTGCCCATCTCAGCATCCTGAGTAGCTGGGACTACAGGTGTGCACCACCCCACCCAGATAAGTTTTGTTATCTATTTTTCAGAGATGGGGTCTCACTATGTTGCCCAGCTGTTCTGGAACTCCTGGGCTCAAGAAATCTGCCCCCTTCAGCCTCTCAAAGCGCTGGGATTACAGGCATGAGCCACCATATGTGGCCTATATAAGACCTTAGGAGAGTGGTTCTCCACCAGGGGTGATTTTGTTCCCCAGAAACCATCTGGCAAAATGTCTGGAGACATGTTTTATTTTCCCAGCTGGACAGTGATGCTGGAAAGCACCTTATAATGTACAGGACAGCACCCACCTCAAATAATGATCTGGCCCCAAATGTCAAGTGCATGGCTGAGGAGCCCTGCCTGGGACAGTGTGTGAACAAACAGAATGAGAAGAGGTGTGGCTGCTCTGGCTGGGAGAGGTGGGGCTGGGGATGAGCCAAGACCTAGGAGCTCCCACCCACAGAGCTAAGCCAGGTCTTCTAGCACTAAATCATCTGGTTCATTTTTAAAAAATAACTTCTAGAACATTCCATTGCTCACTATTTGCTCATTTGTCCTTTAATTCATTTATACATATATTTATCAAGTGCTGGCTGTGTCTCGGACACAGCAGGAAGTTCCAGTGTTTGCCAGCTCACCAGATGGAATTTAGGCACTAAATTTAAGAGTCTCCTCCTTGACGACATTGACAGGTCCTATGACTGGCATGTGCAGTTTCCACTGGGGCCAAAGTTGGTGACAACATCAACGACAACAACAAGAAAACATCAGTGACAACAAACACTCCCTGTGCACCCAAAGCCTTGTATTCATTTCACTTTCAAGAAAGTAAACTCAGGCCAGAAGCACCTCTACGTGCGGAGAAAACACACACAAATGAGACCTCCCTCCTTCCCTCCTAGCATGATCAAAAGACTAAATCAAAAGATTGATCGAAAGATTAAAATCCCAAATGTGGAGATCCTGAAAGCCGAATTCTGAGAGTCGTGTGTTTTCAGCGGTGCCCAGGCTAGCTGCGTCATGTTAGGCGGGACTATGACCTTGTTATTGTCTTGGAAACTAAATATGGTTTCAGGAGGGGCCTATGGGTGCCAAGCTGACAACACGGTGGGAGGCTTTTCTGTTCGTTTCAGACTGCCTCCTCCAAGTCAGTGAACAAAAGCAGCCTCTCACTGACATCCTTGGAATTCTCCAGATGTGTTGAGCGGGCTGCCAAGAGGCCGCGCTTTGGTAGGTCCAATGGGACACTGGTTCCCATGGGGCCCAGACCAGCCTTTGGGGCACAGGTGTCACCTGCTCTGTCCAGAGCAATAACAGCACGTGCCCAGGAAATGCGTGTGAAGGAATGAAGAAATGAACCAACCCATGGTATCCAGGCCTAGAATTCTTTTTAAAGTCTCTGCCCACTGCCTGTTTTTTTTTTTTTTTTCCATCCTTGCCAAAAAAACTCATCTAACTGGTAGAACAGAGAGTGATCTAAAACCCTAGGGTTGGGCGGGATCTTAGACATGTAATTCCCAGGGGCCAGTTGCATCAGAATCCCGTCAGGAGCCTTTGATGGTGGATGCCTATGCCCCTTGCCCAGAACTGCTCAGTCAGGGGCATTGGAGGGAGCCCAGTGTGGCCCTGGTCACTGGAATCCACTGCCTTGGAAAACACCTGGGTCAGGGATTCTGAGCCAGGCACCCCAAAGGTCCTGTGAGCCCCGGAAATTAGATACAAACTGCTGACTACATGGAGAATGTGTGCCCTACTGGGTGTTGGGTGGGCTCATCAGATTCTCAGAGGGGTGCTGGTCCTTAAACATCATTATGAATCTGAGCCAAAACCTCATGTTTTACAGTGAGATGAGGAACCTGGCCTCGGGAAAGCCGGGGCTGCCCCCGATCCTGCATGCTGTCCTCACACTCACTGTTCTCCTTGGCTTGTAGACGCCTTTTCATTCTCCTGATTCCCTCTGGGAGCCACCTTGGCCCCCTCGCCTCCCTGTGGCTTGGCTGGAACTACCGGGTATGGATCATAATCCTGAAAGACGGATCCCAAATGTCACAATCCCAAACGCCGAAATCCTGAAAGCTCAAAATCCCTAAAGTCTAAATTCTAATGTCTAAAATCCTGAAAATCACAATTTCAAAAGATTAAAATCCTAAATGTGGAAATCCTGAAAGCCGAATTCCGAGTGATTTGTGTGTTTTCAGCAGTGCCCAGGCTAGCTGCATCATCTTGGAAACTAAGTATGGTGTCAGGAGGTGGCTATGGGTGCCAAGTTGACAATAGGTGGACTTGTGGACTTAATTTTATGTGTCACCTTGACTGGATGAAGGAGCTCCTAGCAACGTGGTAAAGGATTCTTTTGGGCGTGTCTGTGCAGGTGTCTCCAGAGGAGAGGGCTGTGAGTCTGAGAGGGTGGGTGGGGAAGCCCTGCCCTGCCCTCAGTGTTGGCACACCCTGTGTAATCAGCCAGGGTTCTGGAGAGAACCAATACAGAAGGCGAACTGGTCTCTCTCTGAGGGCTGGACAGGCTGTGCTTCTGCTGCTGTGGACATCAGAAATTTGATTTCATGAAAGGGCTTATCACAAGGCTGAGTGTGTGTGAGCACTGCATATGGACATGGAAAGTTTAAAACTTCCTCAGTAAATGACGAGATGTCCTATTTATGCAACTGCATTTGAGAAGGATAAAGTTTCTTGAGAGCTCAGCTCTCTGGATGACTACATACGTGGTGCTGACCCATCTGGGTTTTTGGTCAATCCTGTCAAAAGACTCAGGTTGTGCTGAGGTGGGAGGATCCCTTGAGCCCAGGAGTTCAAGGCCAGCCTGGGCAACATTGCGAGACCCCGTCTCTGAAAAACAAAACAAAAAACAAAGGTAGGTGGTCTGTCATGGTATTTCAGATGACCACAGTTATAAAGCTGGGTTCCCACAATGACCAACCATAGTAATATGCATTTATATATTTCATTTTTAACCTATTTCTTTATGAAGATGGTTCATCTGCTCAAAACTGTAATACCCGTGTGATAGTTATTAGTGTACCTGAGTGTTTATGCTCAGTGTACCTGAGTTATTATGGCCAATTTTATTGTGTAAATTGGCCTACAAAGTGCTCTGTGGTGTTTTTAATATCTCAAAAAAAATCCCCTTTTCTATATGTAAATAAACATCATTTAAATAATTAAACAATGTTTTTTTCCACAATTATATTTTTGGGATTTTGATCTTTCAGCATTGTGATTTTCAGAATTTTAGACATTAGGGATTTCTGACCTTTCAGGGTTTTAACATTTGGGATTATGGCATTCAGGATTGTATCTTCTATGGCATTCAGGATTATATCTTCTATGGCATTCAGGATTATATCTTCTATGGCATTCAGGATTATATCTTTCAGGATTATGACCGGTTCCTGAACTAGTTTGCCCCAGGGCTGCAGGGCTGGGCCTGAGGGAGGCCCAGAGGTCACCAGTCTGAGTGCTGGCTCCTCCAGGCCACAGGAATTTGTTTAGAATGCAAGGCTGATCCAAGCCGGGTCTATGAGAAGCCACCCCAGGGCTTGCCGGAGAGAAATGAGCCTCATTTCTGATGAAGCTGAAAAGGCAATGAAGTGGAAGCCCGGGGTTCCCTGGGGCCTGCACCCAAAGAGAGCGTAACTGAGAATGAAGTTCACGCCACGAGAGCAGAAAGATGGTGAGAGACATTGTTTGGGGCCCTGGTTCAAGCTGTGCCTGTAGCCAGCCTCAGGCACATGAATATGTATATATTCATGTATGTATGAATATATACACCTCTTCTCTTGCCTAGGCTGGGTTTCCTGCAACTGTTACCCAAAGGACACATCATATATCCAGTTTTTCCAGTGCCACTTGCTTCTAGAAAATGTGTGAACTTAAAACAACTATGAGTCCCTGAGCCACAATCTCTTTCTCCTTCGAGGCCAGCTTCTCCCGTGGCCTTGCTTCTCTCTCTCTCACTTTGCCCATGCTGTTCGCTGAGCTTTGCTTCTGCCCAGTCGCCAGGAAGCTCCTCACTGGTGCCTGATGAAAACTGCAGCTGCCCCTCCAGGAAGCGAGCCCAACTGTTTCCCCAGCAGCCTGGAGCGGCTGGGAGCCATGAAAAGCCCATGAAAAGCCACGTCCTCCTTGCACATGTGCTTGATAATGACTTCCATTCACAACGTGCTGCAAAATAACAGCCACTAAAAAAAAAAAACATGCGAGATCGGGGAGTGTGTAAACACAGGGAGTGCAGGTGTCGCAGCGGCTTTCATCCCTGACGCTGTGAACACGCGGCCCCCCTTGCACCCCCGGTACTGCAAGGCCCAACGGCAACACCAAAACACGGCTGTCACGGCGGCTGGCGGCTCTGGATGCCGACGCCAGTAGAAAGGAAGCCGGTTTGGAAATCCCTGATAATTGAAGCTGCTTCATAAACAAGCCCCATTTGAAAGACTTTTAACCCAGCGTACCAAGACTGCTTGTCGTCATTCAAGGGAATGGCTTGTGAAAGGCTGGCAAGATGTGACGCACAAGGACACCAAATGGGTGCTTGGAGCACGCTGCTGGGGACAGCCTCGCTGCGGAGGGCCCTGCTCCATGCTGGAAGCTTCTGATTATCCTGGCTCATTGCGCCCAATGTGAGGGCCAGGTGGCAGGGTGCAGGGGCAGCCCAGGCCACGCTGCTGAGAGCTACTGCTCTGTGCATGCCACCAGCCACTGGTTTTTTGTTTTCTGCTGTTTATTACAGAGCCAGGAAAGGGAGAAAGGTGAAAGCAAAGAATACTCAAAACAGGGTGTGCTGGGCAGACCCTCCTGGTGTGGGTGAGGGTAGTGGGTGCCTGGACTGGCCAGGGGCGGGCACTCTACCTGCCCCTGGGATTGCAGAACTTCAGGCTGGTGGATGCTTCCGGAAGGGAGGTGGAAGGTGTTTTGGGAGGCCTCTAATCCCTGCTCCAGGTGGGCACCCTGGATCAGCTGCCTCAGCACCTCCCCAGAGCTTATTAACGACACAGATCTCAAGCCCCACTGCCCACCCACTGGAGTCCATGTTTTAACAAGATCCTCAGTGATTTGTAGGCACATTAAGGTTGGAGAAGGGCCACTCTGACCCGTGCTTCCAAGATTTGTCTGGTGTTGAGAATTATCTGGAAGGCTTGCGTAAAATACAGATTGCAGGCACCCCTTCCCCCAAGAGCTACTGAACCAAAACCTCCAGGTGAGGGGCTGGGAGACCTGCATTCGTAAGTCAGAAGCTCGGGTGATGTTCATGCCCAGGCAGGTATGGGAGCCATGGCTCTAATCCATGGTCTCATCCTTGGCCGCACCCTGAAGCCAACAAGAGCTTTGAGCGTACTGAGGCCTGGGCACCACTCCCGGAGATTCTGGTATACTTGGTCCAGGGTGAGGCCTGAAAATGGGATTTTTACAAGCTCCTCACTGGGTATGGTACTCACGCCTGTAACCCCAGCACTGTGGAAGGCTGACACAGGAGCATCGCTTGAGCTCAGGAGTTCAAGACCAACCTGGGCAACACAGTGAGACCCCATCTCTACAAAAAGTTTTTAAAAATTAGCCCAGTGTGGTGGCGCACCGATAGTTCTGGCTACTTGGGAGGCTGAGGTGGGAGTGTCGCTTGAGCCCAGGAGTTTGAGGCTGCAGTGAGCTACAATCACACCACTGTACTCCGGCCTGGGTGACAGAGAAAGACCCTGTCTAAATACATAAATAGGTTGGGCACGGTGGCTCACACCTGTAATCCCAATAGTTTGGCAGGCTGAGATGGACGGATCACCTGAGGTCAAGAGTTTGAGACCAGACTGGCCAGCATGGTGAAACCCCATCTCTACTAAAAAATACAAAAATTAGCTAGGCATGGTGGCATGCGCCTGTAGTCCCAGCTACTCAGGAGACTGAAGCACGAGAATCGCTTGAACCCGAGAGGTGGAGGTTGCAGTGAGTGGAGATCGCGCCACTGCACTCCAGCCTGGGCGACAAAGCAAGACTCCATCTCTAAATAACTAACTAAATGAAAGCTCCTTGGGTGGCTGCAATGTGCAGCCAGGGTTGAGCACCACTGCCCTGATTCAATCTACTTAGTCTACTGGGTCCCAGAGAGCTGAGGGGTTCATACTCTGTCACTCTGAGCATTGGTGTCAGGTATCCAATGACAACTGGGATCCCCTGACCCACCCTGGTAACGCCCACTCTAGCCACACTGCCTGAGATTCTGTTTGAAGAACACAGGAAGCCTCCTTCCTCAATGACCTTGAAGCTCATCCCCTGCTTTCATCACTAGAAACTGAGGGTGAAATTTACTCTGGATCCATGGACGGATTGGGTAAGTTGAGAGATACGATGTACAATAACTGACTGCAAATATGATGCCCGGTTCTGCCCAGAGGCAGGGGCCTGACTGTGTTGGCTTCTTGATCTTAACCAATAAGCCTCCATGATTGCAAAACCCTACACAAAGCAATATGACATAACCACAGGGAGATACTACTTCACACTCAGTAGAATGACTATTACACATTTAAAAAAAAAACCCATAAAGTAAGTGTTGGCTAGACTGTAGAGAGATTGGAGCTCTTGCACATTGCTGCTGGAAATATAGCATGGTGCACCTCCTGTGGAAAATGCTATGCTGGCTCCTCGAAAAATTAAACATAGACCCAGCAGTACCACTTCGGAGGATATAACCAAAAGAACCGAAAGCAGGGACTTGAACAGATATTTGTACACCAGTGTTCTTAGCAGCATGATTCGCAACAGCCAAAAGGTGAAAACAACCCAACTGTTCATCAATAGATGAATGGATAAACAAAATGTGGTCTATACAGTCATGCGTTGCTTAATAACAGGGACACGTTCTGAGAAATGTGTTGTTTTGTGAACACCATGGAGTGCACTTACTCATACCTAGTTGGTATAGCCTACCACACAACTAGGCTGCAGTCCTGTACAGCATGTTACCGCACTGAATACTGTAGGCAATTATAATGCAATGGTAAGTACTTGTGTATCCACACATACCTAAACATAGAAAAGGCACAGTAAAAATAGGGTATCAGAATCTTATGGGACCACCATTGTATGTGTGGTCTGTCATTGACCAAAATGTCGTTATGCAGTGCATGACTGTACATACGATGAAATACTATTCAGTCTTTTTTTTTTTTTTTTTGAGACGAAGTCTCGCTCTTGTCCCCTAGTCTGGAGTGGAATGGCGCAATCTTGGCTCACTGCAACCTCCGCCTCCCGGATTCAAGCAATTCTCCTGCCTCAGCCTCCCGAGTAGCTGGGATTACAGGTGTGTACCACCATGCCCAGCTAATTTTTTGTATTTTTAGTAGAGACGGGGATCCACCATGTTGGCCAGGCTGGTCTCAAACTCCTGACCTCAGGTGATCCGCCCACCTCGGCCTCCCAAAGTGTTGGGGTTACAGGCGTGAGCCACTGTGCCTGGCCAATCAGTCTTAAAAAGGAATAAAATTTGGGCTGGGCGCGGTGGCTCACACCTGTAATCCCAGCACTTTGGGAGGCCGAGGTGGGCGGATCACAAGCTCAGGAGATCGAGACCACAGTGAAACCCCGTCTCTACTAAAAATACAAAACATTAGCCAGGCATGGTGGTGGGCGCCCGTAGTCCCAGCTACTCCGGAGGCTGAAGCAGGAGAATGGCGTGAACCCGGGAGGCGAAGCTTGAAGTGAGCAGAGGTTGCGCCACTGCACTCCAGCCTGGGTGACAGAGTGAGAATCCATCTCAAAAAAAAAAAAAAAAAAGGCATAAAATTTTGACACATGCTAAAACCTGGATGAACCTTGAAGACATTATGCTAAGTAAAATAAGACAGATACAAAAGGACAAACATTGTATGACTCCACTTTTTGAGGTCCCTAGGGTAGTCAAATTCATACAGACAGAAAGTAGAATGGGGCTTCCAGGGGCAGGGGGAAGGGGAAATTGGGAATTAGTGTTTTAATGAGTCTAGAGTTTCAGTTTGGGATGACAAAAAAGTTCTGGAGATGAGCGGTGGTGATGTTTGTACAACAATGTGAAGGTACTTAATGCTACTAAACTTACACTTAAAGATGGTCAAAATAGTAAACTTTATGTTATATATATTTAACACACACACACACACAAACACAAGTAGTTAGTAGACATTACAATGAAGGCAACTGGGGGAGAGAAGTTCTCTGACCTTGAATAAACTTACAATTTAATGAGGTTCTGAATACATGCATGTATACATATAAACAGATGGACAAAACAATGAACCATATGACAGTATTAATTCTACACAAACTATAATGCAAATACTACATAAACTCTTTCAGAAAATAGAGGAAGGAATACTGATTTTATTCGTCAGCTTTTCCTTGATACCAAAAACCAGACAAAGACATTAAAACTACAGACCAACATCCCTCATAAACACAAATGCAAAAATCCTCAGCAGAATATTAGGAAATTTAATTAATCTAGCATTACATAAAAAGAATAATACATCACAACCAAGTGGGATTCAGCCTGTGAATGGAAAGCTAACATTCAAAAGTCAATCAATAAGTAATTGACTGTATCATTAGAAGAAAAAGTTTATAATCATCTCAACAGATGTGGAAAAAGATCTGACAAAATTTTACACCAATTCCTAACAAAAACTCTCAGCAAACTAGAAATAGAAGGGAAAGTCCTCAACCCAATAAAGGGCATTTACTTAAAAACTATAGTTAAGATCATACTTAATGCCCAAAGACTAAACACTTTCTCCCTAAAATTGAGAACAAGGCAAGAATGTCCACTCTCACTTCTACTAGTCATCATCAAACTGTGAGTCCTGGATTGTACAATAAGACCAGAAAAGGATACAACAAGCAAATAAATTGAAAACACTCCACCTCTGAGTACCCTGGGTGTGGGCGGTCTGAGCACAGGTGCTGGGACAGCCTTGTGGGCGCTGAGTCCTTCATTCCTGGCATGTGCTAAGTGCTAAATAAATATTTAGCACAAGATTTCCCATTGCTGAATTACTTTTTTTTTTTTTTGAGACAGAGTCTCACTCTGTCGCCCAGGCTGCAGTGCAGTGGCACAATCTCGGCTCACTGCAACCTCCGCCTCCCGGGTTCAAGTGATTCTCCTGCCTCAGCCTCCCGAGTAGCTGTGACTACAGGCGTGTGCCACCACGCCCGGCTAATTTTTTGTATTTTTAGTAGAGATGAGGTTTTACTGTGTTAGCCAGGATGATCTCGATTTCCTGACCTCGTGATCTGCCCGCCTCAGCCTCCCAAAGTGCTGGGATTACAGACGTGAGCCACCGCACCTGGCCTAAGTATCTTAACATGGGCAGTTTTCACATCTTCAAGTTTATTCCCAATGACTGTTCAACTCTTCTTTTTTTTTAATTTAAAAAAGTTTTAAAACCAAGTGCCTCCTTTTCTGTTGATCGGTACAATTTGATCACAATAAATATGTCCTTTATAGCTCAGGGTAAATTCAAACATTCATAAGAATGCAAATAATACTTTGTTCAGACCACAGTTTGCTGCTCTAATGAAACTATTGTCCATTTCTAGCTAGACTGGGATGGGAGGGGAAGTTCAGGGATGTTTCCCTTGGGCAACATCTCGTTTGAGGCAAGGATAGTTTCCAAAGGAAGTAATCCAGGAGATACACTTGGTCATTGGTGGACACTATTACAACAAACAACGCAGAAATATGTTCATGACTTTTTTTTTTTTTTTTTTTGAGACAGGGTCTCACTCTGCCCCCCCAGGCTGGAGTGCAGTGGAGCCATCATGACTGGCTGCAGCCTCTATCTCCCGGGCTCAAGTGATCCTTCCATTTCAGTCCCCCAAGTAGCTGGGACCACAGGTTTGTGTACCACACCCAGCTAATTTTTTAATTTTTAATTTTGTAGAGACTTTTCTTATGTTGCCCAGGCTGGTCTTGAATTCCTGGGCTGAAGTGACCCTCCAACCTCAGCCTCCCAAAGTGCTGGGATTATAGGCATGAGCCACCATGCCTGGCCTGACATATTGTTAATTTAAAAAATCAGGTTATATATCAGGTAATACTGTTTGATCCCACTAAAAAAATGTATAGAAAAGAAAAAGACTGCAACATTAAGAATGATTATTTCTGGGCTGGGCGTGGTGGCTCATACCTATAATCCCAGCACTTTGGGAGGCCGAGGCAGGTGGATTACCTGAGATTAGGAGTTTGAGACCAGCCTGGCCAAGACGGTGAGACCCCGTCTCTACTAAAGATAAGCCAGGTGTGATGGCAGATGCCTGTAATCCCAGCTACTTGGGAGACTGAGGCAGGAGAATCGCTTGAACCTGGGAAGCAGAGGTTGCGGTGAGCTGAGATCATGTCACTGCATTCCAGCCTGGGCAACAGAGAGTGACTCTGTCTCAAAAAAAAAAAAAAAAAAAAAAAAAAAAAAAAAAAAAAAAGATTGTTCCTGCTTATCTTTCTCTTTTTAGCTCCATATATTTAAAAAACTTTTTACAACATATATGATTTTTGTAAAGAGAAATAAGCCAGAGTTGTTTTTGTTTTGTTTTGTTTTTTAAGTCAACTTCAAGCCAGGCACAGTGGCTCATGCCTATAATCCCAGCTACTTGGGAGGCTGAGGCAGGAGGGCTTCTTGAGGCCAGAAGTTTGAGGCCAGCCTGAGCAACACAGTGAGACCCTCTCACTAAAAACAATTAAAATAAAATAAAAAGTCAACTTCTACTAACATGGAAGTCAGGAAGAAAAGAGAAATGCTCTGTGTACCAACAGCAACAGCCCTGCCTTCTATAAACTAGGTCCAGGCCCCAAGGGGGAGGAAGGCAGGTTGATTGGGGGCGGGGGTGTTATAAAGTAGTGGCAGAACAAGGCCCTTACCTTGTGGGGCAAAGTACGCATTCTTGTTCTGTTCCCACACAGTGGCATGCTGGTAAACCAGCTTTTAGCAGTGAGGAGGGACGACCCCTGATTTGTAGCATTTGCCAATATCCCCATCTAGTAAATTTCAAGCTGCCAACATGGCGTCCTTAAATGCGGAAGAGAAGTGCACATTCAGACCTCAGCAGCTGGTGCAGCCCAGTTCTAGCACGCCCCTGCCACAGCAGCCCCCTAAGGCGGAGCACGGATTACTGTTCCCATTTTACCAACACGGGTACTGGTCAGACAGCCACTTTTTATCAGGCACTGTGTTTAAAGCCAGGTGATGTAAATGTCTGGTTTTATGTAATCCTCACAACACCCAAATGAGGTCTGGGTACTGGATTATGCTTACTTTTCACATCAGCAAACAAATGAGGCCTAGAAAGATCACATGCCTGCACAAGGTTATTTGGCTAAAAAGAGGCAGAGACTTGAACCCAGGACTGTCTGCTCCCAAGTTCGTGCCCATAACCACATGGGGGTACCAGTTCTCTCCATCACGGAGCTCATCTTGCACTTAGTGGCCGTGTGTGGTGGGCTGAGTTACTTGCTTTGAGCCTTCTCCAGAGGTGTGAGACATGGAATAGACATTTCTAGGGAGGTGAGAGGGAAGAAGTAAGGTTCCCGACTACGCAGTGGAATGAGCAGCTGGAATGGGTGGGACTTGGCTCTGGTCGGCTCCCCGTTTGGATTTGGGGATGATGAACAGAGACCTGTGCACCTCTGGCCTCCTCCAGTCTTAGAGCTGAGCACCCCCCCGCCCCACTCTGGGGCTGCATCCCTCACCTGCACGGTGGGCCCAGGCGAGGAACCCACCCAGGCCTTGGAAAGTACAGTTGATGAACGGTCATCTTCATCTCCAGGGCTGCACTCCTCATCAGATGCATTTGGCTCCTTCGCTGATGGATGGGGATGCAGAAGAGTTGACCAATCCTAGTGTCCAGAAGACTTCTTTGAGGTGGCATCTGGTGTGTTTGTCCTACTCTCAGAAGATGGTGGGCCTGGGGGTCCTATCCCCAGTCAGGACCCTCGCTATCATCTGCCTGTTCCCAAGTGGCACCTGGCCACCCAGCCTTCCTGCCACATGGTGGGAGTGCCTTTTCCCCCCATTTCCTGGGGGCACCCTGGGCAAGCTGAATCACCCACGGCAAGCCCAGCCAGTCTGTGCCAGGTCACGGCACCATCTGCACCAGCAGCTCTCAGGTGCAGGTATGGGGCACAGGAGCACACTTTAAAAACTCTGGCCGAGTCTTTTTCCTGGTTCCAGGCAGGGCCTGTGTCCGAATCCCCCCGACACTGCTCCTTCATGCCTGTGCACACTTGGAAGTTAGCAGTCAGTGCAGACAAAGTTCCCGCATGCTCCTGGAAACCCACCATCTTCACTGGGCACTGCACCACGCCTTCTACCTGGTACTCCGAGCTCTAACAAGCACTTAGCTTGACAGTGGGAACACTGATCAACACTGAAGTCGCTCTGTTTGGACGCCAGTCAAGATCCATTGGTCAGCAACAGCCCCCCAAAAACAGCTGGGTTGGTGAACATTTCCTCCGTGTCCTGAGGTGTGGCCGATGCCAAGAGGCCCCACTCAGATCCCCCTTCCAGAAAGAGCTCAGCTGTAAGGGGTGGGTCACCGCAGCCTCCAACTGAAGCATCGTGAGGGTCTTGAGCCCTAGTTTTCGTTTTTGTTTTTGTTTTGACATCTTTACTGAGCTATAATTCACCCCTGTAATGAGTCTAATTCAATGGATTTAGTATATTCAGAGTTGTGCCATCATCAACACAATCTAAGTATGGAACATTTTCATCACTCCAAAAGGCAACCCTGTACCCATGAACAGTCACTTCCCCTTCCCCAGCTCCCAGCCCTAAGCAAGCACTGATGGACTTTCTGTCTCTACGGATTTTCCTATTCTGCACATTTCACAAGACATGGCTCTCCAAGTCTCCACCTAGGATAAAAAGAAAGAGGACTTCACAAGATTGTCTTAAGGATTAAATGAGATGACCCATAGAAAGCACTTAACACATAATTACATAGAATATCCACGAGGGCCAATGTGCCAGGCTGCTTTCACTCAGCCTGATGTTTTCAAGGTTCATCCAGACTGTCGCATGGATCAGAACTTCATTCCTCGTGCAGCCAAACAGTGCTCCATTCTTTGGATCTATCACATTTTGTTTATGCATCCACGAGTTGATGGACTTGGACTTTTTTTTTTTTTTTTTTTGAGAGAGATAGAGTCTCATTCTGTTGCTCAGGCTGGAGTGTAATGACACAATCACAGCTCACTGCAGCTTCGACCTTCCGGGCTCAAGCGATCCTCCCACTTCAGCCTCCCTAACAGCTAGGACTACAGCACATGCCACTACTCCCAGCTAATTTTTAAAAACATTTTTTGTAGAGACAGGGTCTCACCATATTGCCCAGGTTGGTCTTTTGGGCTCAAGTAATCCACCCACCGTGGCCTCCCAAAGTACTGGGATTACAGGCGTGAGCCACGGTGCTAGCCAACCAATGGATTTTTAACCCAAGCTTTTGAACCAAGGTCACACTCTGGGGTGACCTTTGGCCAAAAACTAAGCATGACAGGGGTACCAGCACCTGGCATTTCTGCCCCTCGCAGCCCTCTGAGGGGCTGTGCCAGGTCTGCGTCATGATCCATGGCTCCTCACCCACCTTACTTTGGGCTCTTTTCCTGGTACAGGTGTGCCTTCCCCATTAACTCCTCTTCACTCCTGACCCTGTCTCAGCATCTGCTTCCCGAGATTGCATCCTGACAAGACACTTAATATGTAATAACAACACAGAACCCACGTGGGCCCACACACCAGCACTCTTCTATTAGCCTCCGTGAGGCCACTTCATCCTCATCACAAGCTTGAGAGGCGGGGGTGTCATTAGAACAGATGAGGGAACCGAGGGACAGAGGAGTTCAGCAACCAATCCAAGTTCCCCCGCCAGAAGCGATGGAGCCACGACTCAACCCAGGTGAATTCTCCAGTGTCGGTGCCCTTGGTCACAGCACTCCATTGTGATTCCGCTGAAGGAACAAGGGGAGGAGGGGGGCCTGGCCTCCCACTGCTCAGCTCAAGCCACAAGCCCTGGCTGCGTGTGTAGCTTTAGCTCCCCGGGGCTGTGCTG
This sequence comes from Homo sapiens, assembly GCF_000001405.40. NCBI lineage: Eukaryota > Metazoa > Chordata > Mammalia > Primates > Hominidae > Homo > Homo sapiens. The sequence goes on from NC_000009.12 coordinate 132,743,103, forward strand.
TGAGGCCCAGGTTCAGAGCCAGCTGCAGTCAATGTCATCTTTCTCCACCTGCAACAGATCAGCTGGAAGAGATTCGAGGCAGGAAACACAGCAGATGCTCTGCCATGGGGGCCCACCCACGTGCCTCTGCTCGCGACCTGACCTGCCGTCGGGCGGCCCCACAGGCACGGGTCTGAGAGCAGGGTGTGCAGATCCAGGATCCCTGGGTCACCTGGGGGACAAGTGCATCTCCTCGTCACTGGTCACTGGAAACAGGGCAGTGGAGACACGGGTAGGTGTGCTAATTTTGAGGTTTCCTTTCTCAGAGTCAGTCTCCATCAGTGACAACTGCTGCTTTAAAATCTGTCTCTGGTGAAAAGTTACATAAGCACATTCCAGTGTTCCTCTGCCACAGCACTGTCGCTACCCACCGCCAGATTCCCCAGCCTTGACTTCTCTGCTATGTATGTACCTATCTATATAAACGTGCTGCAGAGAAACCTGTCTTTTAACCTTTTCTGCAGCTGGAGCTTTTCCATGAATCCCTCTGTCTACAAGTGTTTTACTTCTTGGTTTTAATTTTAATCCTTTGCCTTCCATTAATCAGCACCAAAACTGTTTTATTGATATTTCCTACCTGCCGGGCACTGGTAGTAAGCACGTTACATGCACGTGCTATCTTATTTAATCCTCGTGAGAAGTACACGACCCCGGTACTGTGATCGTGCCCATTTCGAGGGTGCAAAGACTCGGGCTCTGAGAGGTGAAGTGTTGCCTCCAGGCTGGACTCCAGGGCCATCTGAATCTAGGACACTCCGTTGCTGCTCCGCTAAGTTCTCAGATGTAAAATAATCGTGCTTTGTTCCCTGAAGTTGGCGGAGCCTTCCTGAAATCTCCAGTGAGGATCAGGAGAGGGACAGTGAACCTGCCGGAACTCAAGCCAGCTAGCGGGAGGGACGGGGGTTGACCCTGCTTATGTGCCCCCACTCTCCCGGTGTGCTAGACCCCACCTCAGACTCCTCTGTGTCCCCCGTTACGTAGGGGGTGTGCCGGCTCACACCCTCCAGTGTGCCTCACTAAGGACACAGGGCACAGCTGCCTCTCAGGACTAAAGATAAATTCCACAGATTCCAAAAGACCCTTCGTCCCCAATCACAGCTGCCTTGCCTAAAGAATCCACCACCGTGGTTGTTAAACCCACACTTTAATTACTCCAAAATTATGTTAAATCCTTGCATAAATATTGCAGTGGCATCTTCTGAAGAATTTCATTACAGTAAGTTGGGTTGCTGCCAGAGCTCTCCACTAAAAAGTAACAGGAGAATAGACACGTGCCAAAAAAAAAAAAAAAAGGATAGATGCTGTTTTCAAAATAAAAAGGCAAGGAGGTCATCCTCGGTCAGATCACGCAGGTGTCAAAGAGAAACGGTCTCATGATAGCAGAAATCTCCCATTTTACAGACCGAAGGGGAAAAACATACCCTTTAGCCCTCTAATCTAATAGGATTCACTTCTGGAAAAACCTAAATCTGATTAAATATTAATAACCAGTGGTATTAATTAAGGGGGAAAAGTCCATCAAGAGAACCCCAATATGTTTACAGTGTCCCCAGGAAACTGGGAAAATTCACAATCAAGTGTGTAAATGTTCTAAGAAAGGGTCCTGAATATTTTATGAATATTTGTCATAAAACAGAAATAATAACCACTGTGCAGAGCTATTAGAATTAATATTTATGCTGCCCGCCATGAAATATTCATGGGGACAGAGAAAGGGGGGCCGTAAGACAAGAATTAATTTACACTGGGCTCGGTTTACCCGCTGGCTTGATGTTTAAAGACGGTTGACAAGCCTCCATATGAATCCGCCAGTCACTTCCCGCAGTCTGCGGAGTGGAGGGGGTGGAGACGGGTCCGGGCTGCTGACAGCTCACAGATTGAGTTTCTGACAGCCCTTAAAAAACCTAAACGGCCCCCACCTATTTCCCCTTCTTCCATTGCCCAAAGCGCTCTGTTCTGCCACCGTTCATCCGATCTCCCCTTCCATCTGCTGAAATTAACGAATTAATGAGCGAGATACGCTTTACGGTGGGGCCTTATGAATGTTTACAGGCGATTAAATTATAATGCGGGGCGGCTGTATAATTCATGAACCAATTAAAGGAAGTGTTAGTTGATTTGATGGGATGAGGACGTACAAAATGCATTTAACTAATGGGGAACCGCGGGCTGCCCAGGGCCGGCTCCCTCTCTCGGATTACGCGGCTAATTGCTCGACTTTACGGGGCTGTCACAGATAGCCATGCATATTTCATTGTTCTCAAATACTTCAATTGTGTGCGTCCGTGTCGCGGCTGTAATGTGGAGAAGGCGGGCCAAACTTGGGTGTAGTTACAGTACCCGAGCTGGGCCCCGGCAGAAACCTGAGCTCCAGAGTCGGGTGTCTGGGCCATTAGGTGATTAAAAAGGCTCAGCATGCGATCGCCTTTTGTTTTACTATGTTCTCTTCGGGACACTAATTCCGGATGCTGACTTCATGACCGTGGTGACACTGGGGCCCTGATCCCTTTCTTTCCGGGTAGTGGAGGGGAGGTCCACAGCCCCCTGTATTGTTCACACCCTGTGTGCCCTCGAAGCCCAATGTCCCCAGTGCAAGGGTCCCTCAAGACAGTCCACCTGAGACAATCCCCAAGCTAAGGGTTTCCCTCAGGCCTGACTTTGTCCATCCGTACAAGGTGGCCACCAGGAGCTTCTTTAAATGCGGTCTAAACTTGGACCCAAACTTGAAGCTGTCATCAGCTCCTTGAAGTATGTTTGGAAGGAAATCAGCAGAGAAGAGCAAATGCACCCTCCCCAAGGAGTAAAATGATCCTGGTGCTCAGGAAGAGAGAGGATGCTTCCAGAATTCTGTGAGCCGAAGGACAGAGGAGACAAAGGTGGCTGACTTCCCAGCTGGAGCAACGGGGATGTCGAGTTTAGGGAGACGCTGCCTTCATCCAGCAATCCTAGTGCACTCTGTGGGGAGCAGGGTGAGACCATCGGAGCCGCGCAGCCAACCAGTCAGTCCTCTGAGATGGTTCTATTCTCTCCTCTCGCTTCCAAGCCAGTCTGGCATTCACCTGAGCCAAGCACATGCATGCACACACACACATAGACACACACACGAAACAAATTAGAAGCCCTGTGGTTACCACCTTCAGTCCTCCTGTGGATACCTATGAAAGAATGTATTTTACTCCCACTTTTGCGAGTAGGGCCTGGGCAGCAGCCAGAGCTGGGGCTCTGGGGTCTGCACTCTCAGGATCAAGGCTCATACCCTTCTGCAGACACCAGGAATGCATGGCCAAGGGCAGCCCCAGGTTCCCCATCTAAGGGGACAGGGATGGCAACAGGTGAGGAGGATTAAAGGCACTAACCCGTGGCCTTAGCATCGAGGCTGATATGTGATAATCACCCAATTTAGTTAGCCAATACTATTATCACATGCTAATAGAGATTCCGACTTGCGCAACAGGGAGGCTCTATCCATCACTTTCCTCTTCCACAAACGCACATGACAGTCGGGGTTGGCTTCCACCCCTTAATTGCGCAGTGGACAGTGTGCTGTCAAATGGAGCAACCAGTGAGGTCTACAAGAATGCCTTACGGAGGCAGCAAAATAGATCCAGGTGGAAAAGTTGCAGGAACCCCCGGGCCACACGTGAGGCGAGCACTCAGTCTCTGCCTCGAGGATGAAAGAAGGGCCAACTGCACATTAAAAGAAAGTAAGTTCACTTGGTCTAAAATATTTAATTGGGGCCTAATTGAAAATGAAGTATCAATTAGTAGTCAAGCTGGGTTTAATGCATTCTGGTTTAAAATAAAACCAAACTATCATTCATCAAATACAACTGCCTTAAATATTTTACAGTTGTTACTTTATATCATCTTGCAAAGTAAACAGTATTCTCAATGCATATATGCGGCAACTGAGGCTCAGGGTAGCCAAGTATCTTGGTTCAGAAATTTATTTTAAGCAAATATTTGTGCAAGTGTAAAGATATATGGACAAGATTTCTCATTGCTGAATTACTTCTTTGAGACAGAGTCTCGCTCTGTTGCCAGGCTGGAGTGCAGTGGTGCAATCTCGGCTCACTGCAACCTCCATCTCCTGGGTTCAAGCGATTCTCCTGCCTCAGCCTCCTGAGTAGCTGGGACTACAGGCGTGTGCCACCACACCCAGCTAATTTTTGTATTTTTAGTAGAGATGGGGTTTCACCATGTTGGTTTCACCATGTTGGCCACGATGGTCTCAATCTCTTGACCTCATGATCTCCCCACCTTGGCCTCCCAAAGTGCTGGGATTACAGGCATAAGGCACTGCACCCAGCATTTTTTTTTTTCTGAGATGGAGTCTGGTTCTGTCACACAGGCTGGAGTGCAGTGGTGCAATCTTGGCTCACTGCAACCTCCGCATCCCAGGTTCAAGCGATTCTCATGCCTCAACCTGTAGCTGGGATTACACCATGCCTGGCTAATTTTTTGTATTTTGTAGAGAGGGGGTTTCATCATGTTGGCCTGGCTGGTCTTGAACTCCTGACCTCTAGTGATCTGTCTGCCTCGGCCTCCCAAAGTGCTGGGATTACAGGTGTGAGCCACCATGCCTGGCCTTACTTTATATGTCTGGTTTTAATTTTTTAATTTTAATTTTTTTTTTTACAATGAGACTGTACTATTTCTACAATTAAGAAAAACACTAATTATAAAATCACAGGCTGGGCGTGGTGGCTCACACCTGTAATCCCAGCACTTTGGGAGGCCGAGGCAGGGGAGTTCGAGACCAGCCTGGCCAACATAATGAAATCCCATCTCTACTAAAAATACAAAAATTAGCCGAGCATGGTGATGGGCGCCTGTAGTCTCAGCTACTTGGGAGGCTGAGGCAGGAGAATCGCTTGAACCCAAGAGGTGGAGGTTGCAGTGAGCTGAGACGGTGCCATTGCACTCCAGCCTGGGCAACAAGAGTGAAACTCTGTCTCAGAAATAAATAAATAAATAAATAAACAAAATCACAAGAACAGGTTTATTGTTAAAGACGGAAAAGTGTGCATTTTCAGCTACAGGACCAACATAATGGTGATAACACGTAGATAACCGTAAGACTGGACCGGAAGTTCTTATGCGCAGATCATAAAACACACAGATTTAAAGCTTCATGTGTCTGAGCAGTGCTCTCAGTCTCTTATCAAACCCCCCATATCACTGTGGAATCAGAACTTCATTTCAATAAGAGTGGGCAGAATGGGGACAAGGACACAGCAGATGCTGGCCACTGAGAAGGACAAAGAGTGGGACGACCTTTCACCCAGGTGCCAGCCTCCCAGGTGCTCAGGTGCGAGAGGGCTCAGGTGAGGAAGTGTGAATAGCTCAGTGCAAATCAATGCCTCTGGTTTAAGAAAATCAAAAGATGTTCATTCATTCATTCAACAAATATTTACCCAGTGCTTCCTAGATGCTAGTTGCTGGCTGCCCTAGGAACTACAGATCTAGTGGTGAATGAGCCAGGCACATTCCTGGCCTCCCACAGCTTTTACCACGTGTGTTTAGATACACACAGACACCATCTGCCCGTGGTACTTGGGGTTGATCTCGATATTAAAAGATGCAAATATGTACTATGAAAAGACCAGTTTGCAATCGGCAAAGGGATGAGATCCACAAGTTGTTTGCTAAATATGGTTTGGACAAGGAGGGTGAAGTACACACTAATTTCTTGGATGGATAATTTTTCTGATGAAGTGGCTAAGTTGTGTTTGTTTGTTTGTTTGTTTTGAGACTAAGTCTCACTCTTGACCCCAGGCTGGAGTGCAATGGCGCGATCTCGGCTCACTGCAACCTCCGCCTCCCGGGTTCAAGCGATTCTCTTGCCTCAGCCTCCTGAGTAGCTGGGATTACAGGTACCTGCCACCAAGCCCGGCTAATTTTTGTATTTTTAGTAGAGACGGGTTTCACCATGTTGGCCAGGCTGGTCTCGAACTCCTGACCTCAGGTGATCTGCCCATCTTGGCCTCCCAAAGTGCTGGGATTACCGGCGTGAGCCACTGCGCCCAGTAAATATTTACAATGTTTTTCACGAACTAAGCATGCTACATAACATAATTTCACGCAATCTTCTCTTTGTAGGAGTTAGGCACAACCACCATCCCCTATTTGATAGGTGTGGGAACTGGGTCTCAGGGAAGTTATGCAGCTTCTCAAGGTCCCATCCCTAGTAAAGGCAGGCTCTGGGTTCAGGTGCTGGACGCTCTGGCCTGCCATAACCACTGGGCACTACCGCCTCCCTGGATGCTCTTGTGCGAGGCCCCTCGTAAGGTGTGCTGGCTCTTCAGGTGCCCCGTGCCCGGCACTCTGTGAGGATGCACAGGATACCTCTCACTGCGTCTTCATGGCAAGCCCGGGACGTAGGTGTAACTGTCACCCCCATCTTATGGATGAGGCAGCTTGCCCCGATATCGGCTGGTGAGTGACCCAGAAGAACTCGCGACTCACAGCTGCTGGACTCTAACATCCAGGGTGGGAGCCACTGGGCTGTGTTGCTGTTTCCCAAATGCAGGAAGTCTCTTAAGTGCTTCATTTACTCTGTTTTTTTTTTTTCTTGAGACAGATTTGTTCATCGATAATTTTTATTTTTTAAATCGATATGAAAATCCTCTTGCAGGGGTGGACTGGAGCTGAGGGCACTTGAAGGGGTGAGTGGGAAAGCCCACAGCCAGGAGCCACCAGAACCGGCGCAGAGAACAGACGCTGCTGCAGGAGGCCATGGGGCTGGTGTTGGGGTGGGCGTGCACTTGCCATCCTTTTATTTCTTCCCCAACCTCCTTCCTCTGTCTTCCTTACCTCGAGATACTGACAGCACACTCCTAGAGATACTGACAGCACACTCTTGGAGATACTGACAGCACACTTATATTGAGTTTCTGCCATGTGTACGCATCTTGGGGAGGCCTGGGAGGCCCTGATGCATCAGGCTTCTTGGCCTCTCTGTGCCCACCCCTGAACCAGCCTCTCTTCCTTCACCTCTTCTCATGGGCTCTGTCATGCAGGCTGGAGTGCAATGGTGCGATCTCGGCTCACTGCAACCTCCGCCTCCTGGGTTCAAGCGATTCTCCTGCCTCAGCCTCCCGAGTAGCTGGGATTACAGGCATGTGCCACCACACCCGGCTAATTTTTGTACTTTTAGTAGAGATGGGGTTTCACCATGTTGGCCAGGCTGGTGTCCAAATCCTGACCTCAAGTGAGCCACCCGCCTTGGCCTCTCAAACTGCTGGGATTACAGGTGTGAGCCACCGCGCCCGGCTCCTCTTCATTTCTTCTACACATCTTTCTGTCCGGCATCGGGGCAGCAGTGGCCAACAGAAGACATACCTCTGTGGCCTTCCCAGCACAATTCCAAGGACTTCCCTGAATATTCCAACTCTGGGACATCCCCTCTGAGCTTTCATTCCAGGAAAACCACGCTTTCTTCTCAAATTTCTAAATAGGATTGGAAGCTCTTACTTGTGGACTAGCAAAGATAAGGGTTCAGATTCTAGCGCTTCAAAGGACTCCATCCGGTGAATCCCACCAGGGCGCGAGCTCCCCCATGAGAGCAACTTCAGAGAGAAGCTCCCTTAGGCTCCCTCCCCTCCCAAATCTGCACCTAACGTCAGGCTGCATCCAGAGATACCAATGGAAATTAGGTACAAATTGTACCCTGGACTTGACTTTGCAATCGGAAGAAACCTCGATTTGTGGGGGTAAAGGTCACCGCCTGGAAGGCCTAACCCAGAGGCCAGCCCTGTGGCTTGGCCAGGCCAAGAGAAGCCTCCCCTAACTGCCTATGGAAAAGAACCCAGGGTTAAACTGTTTATCTGGGTTATGCTCCCAGGTTAAACTTCTTAAGTGAACCGACCCAAGGAGGTGAAACCTGAATTTCTAGATAAAGCTTTTCCACGTCTTTGGCCAGGTACACAGAACTGCAATTTAAAACTTCTGGGTTTTATGCCGGGTGCCGTGGCTCACGCCTGTAATCCCAGCACTTTGAGAGGCCAAGGCAGGCCGATCATTTGAGGTCAGGAGTTCAAGACCAGCCCGGCCAACATGGTGAAACCCCATGTCTACTAAAAATACAAAAATTAGCCGGGCGTGGTGGTGCACGCCTGTAATCCCAGCTACTCAGGAGGCTGAGGCAGGAGAATCGCTTGAACCCGGGAGGCAGAGGTTGCAGTGAGCCGAGATCATGTCACTGCCCTCCAGCCAGGATGACAGAGTGAGACTCCAAAAAAAAAAAAAAAAAACAAAAAAAACCAACTTCTGGGTTTTGCTAGTTGTCTGCGAATTAAGTCTATGATTCCAGCTGAGAAGCCTGCAACATCCTGGTGGTTGCAGTGAGCCGAGATCATGCCACTGCACTCTAGCCACGATGACAGAGTGAGACTCCAAAAAAAAAAAAAACAACTTCTGGGTTTTGTTAGTTGTCTGTGAATTAAGTCTATGATTCCAGCCGAGAAGCCTGTGACATCCTGGTGGCATCTCCCCCAAGGGCCATCAACTTGTGATAATCCTGGTCCTTGTGTGACGGCTGACGAGCACAAATGCTCTCAAAGAAGTACTGTGCAGCCACTGACGGTGAGGCTGGGGACAGTGTTTGTGAACACGGGTTCATGGTATATTCCATAGAGGAAAGGGCTGTGATATAATGTGTGCAATTAAGACCCTGTTTTCATTTTTATTATTTATTTTCTTATTTTTTTATTTTTGAGAAGGAGTCTCGCTCTGTCGCCCAGGCTGGAGTGCAGTGGCGCGATCTGGGCTCTGCAACATCTGCCTCCTGGGTTCAAGTGATTTTCCTGCCTCAGCCTCCTGAGTAGCTGGGACTATAGGCATGCAGCACCACACCTGACTAATTTTTTTTGTATTTTTAGTAGAGATGGGGTTTCATCATGTTGGTCAGGCTGGTCTCGAACTCCTGACCTCAAATGATCCACGCGCCTCGACCTCCCAAAGCACTGAGATTATAGGTGCGAGCCACCGTGCCCAGCCAAGACCTGTTTAGAGTAGTTTTTAAAATATTGGAATAGACATACACCCAAATGTCAACATTAGTTATCTTTGGATATTGGAAATATTTTTACTTAGCTACATTTTCTAACTTTTTTTTTTTTTTTTTTGAGACGGAGTCTCGCTGTCGCCCAGGCTGGAGTGCAGTGGCGTGATCTCTGCTCACTGCAGGCTCCACCAGCTGGGTTCACGCCATTCTCCTGCCTCTGCCTCCCGAGCAGCTGGGACTATAGGCGCCCGCCACCACGCCTGGCTAATTTTTTGTATTTTTAGTAGAGATGGGGTTTTACCATGTTAGCCAGGATGGTCTCGATCTCCTGACCTCGTGATCTGCCCGCCTCAGCCTCCCAAAGTGCTGGGATTACAGGCGTGAGCCACTGCACCCGGCCTACATTTTCTAACTTTTCTACAATAAGTAGATGCCCTGTGTAATCAAATGTTTGAAATAACCACCTTCGCCACACCCTGCCCCCACCTTGTTCCTCCAGTGGCTTCCCTTCCCCCAGCTCTCCTGGAATGGGCCTGGCTGTCCCTGGCCCAGGACATGGACGCTGGCTGCCCCCCACCCACCCCACCTGCAGAACTCTTCCTCCCCTCCTCCTGCAGCTGGCTCCTTCCTTCCATTCAAGTCTGAGCTTAAACCAGCCCTCCTCAGAGGCACCTTCCCCCACCAGCGCATCCAAACCAGTCAGCTTGCCCCTACTCCATCATGCCATGGCATTTTAATCCCACATAAAGCACTTGGTCCTAGCAGGTATTTCTGCTCTGTTTATTTGTCTAACGTCGCCTCCTCCCATGGGAATGTTTTGCTTGTTTCTGTGGCCCCAGCGTCTGGAACGGTGCCTGGCAAAGAGAAGCCTACAATAAATACTTCTGGAGCGAACAAATTGAAGTGTAAGTCCTTCCCTTACTACTAGGAATAGCAGCTGCCACAACTGGGCTCCGAGCTGATCATTCTACACTGGGGAATCACGCCGCATTCCCAGGAGGAAGGAGCCAGGCCACTGTTGACCTCCTTTTGTCCTGGGGAATCTGAGGATCAGAGACATAAAGTAACCTCCCTGTCACCCCCCTAGTAAGCCAGCTGGTTCTGGGCTCTCTCATCTTGCCGCTCCACTGCCAAGAACAACCTCCATCCTATGCTAGGGGCTGGGCCTGGCCCTGCAGGATGTGGGCCTGGCTGGCAGGCAGCCCTGACCCTCTGCCTGGCCCCAGTGGCAGGGTCCCCACAACTCCTATCTGGGAAGGGCTTAGGGGCAGCAGCCCAGTTAGAACTGCTCATTGGACATGTTCACAAAGCTGCACACACTGTTTACTGAGACGATGGCTTTATTTGGGGTGGCTGGGGCAGAGAGAGCTCATGAGTGTGGGGGCTGAAGCCATCCCTGGACTAATCCCCAGGTACTCACATCCTGGTAGGGAAGGGCCCCTGGCACAGGCTCAGGCTGGTGGCTTTAAGCCAGTTTCCTTGCTGGAGGGTATGGGTCATCCCCAGGGTGGCCCAGCTGGGGCGGAAGGGCACCCTCGCAGTGAGGGGATCCCCGCTGTGGAGAGCATGAAGCCCCTCCATGTTCTCTAGGGAAGGAGACAAGTGGGCAGGAGACAAGTGCTCTCACGCCCCATCCCTGCAGCCTCCTGGAGTGGCACGCAGGTGACAATGGGGACTGCAGGGAGCATGCACGAAGGTCTCCTCTTCGTATTTACTCATCCAGTCTTTCCACTGCCGTCTGAATTAGGTCCCATCATTGCCTCCATTTTATGATGCAGAAGGAGCCCTCCAGGTGGGATAAGTCATTCAGACAGCGCAACTCACAGAGGGCACTGGAGCCCGGAGTGCGGTTCCAGAAGGCAGCTCTTTGCCGTCACACCACACTGTCTGTCTCTAAAGGACCCACTGCAGGGTGACTTGGTTAACAGCTGAGAACCCACTGAGGTCAGCAGAAACTCCAGGGGAAGAAGAAGAGGGCACATGGCCGCCTAGGATCTCTGCAACAACATGCTACCAGGAGACGGCACAACACGCAAGGTCGGGAAAGGGGAAGCAGATGATACTCTTTGATGTTTCTGAAGTACCTCCGCCACAAGCAAGCACAGAGATGTATTTCAGTTTGGGATAGAAATGGCTATTTGCATTTCATCATCTTTGAGCAGGACTGCAGACATAAATGGGACCCATGATGGAGCCAAATCAGCATATTGCAGTGTGAGCCCGAGGTGATATCCAGCAGGCCTTTGAGAGGTGTGGGCACCCAGCGTGTAACACTGGCATTAATCACCAGTGACTCTGAATGTTCGTGGAAGATCAGTAAGCATGCAAATGAGAGAACAGGATCGGCCCCATCCCCATCTGATTGGAAACATATCAGGCCGCCCCCTTTCATATCAAGTTTCCATTGTAAAGAGTAAAACTTTCAATGGCCATTCCTCTTGCCGCTGCCCTCTCTGTGATGCTGGTGCTTCCTCCTGCTGCTGTTCCCGGGAGGACAGTTGAGCCAAGGGCAGCTTCTCCTCCTCTCCCTCCCCTAGCCATGCCTATCACACATAAGGAACCAACAGTTTCCAATTTGATTCCATTTTTCTCCAACTACTTAAAGAAAAAGGCCTTACAGCCAAAACATTACCACTGATTTTTGTTTTTTGGTTTTTTTTTTTTTTTTGAGACAGAGTTTTGCTCTTGTTGCCGAGGCTGGAGTACAATGGTGCAATCTTGGCTCATTGCAACCTCCACCTCCTGGATTCAAGCACTTTTCCTGCCTCAGCCTCCCAAGTACCTGGGATTACAGGCATGTGCCACCACGCCAGGCTAATTTTGTATTTTTAGTAGAGATGGGGTTTCACCATGTTGGCCAGGCTGGTCTCGAACTCCTGACCTCAGGTAATCTGCCCGCCTCGGCCTCCTAAAGTGATGGGATTACAGGCATGAGCCACCGTGCCCCACCTTGCTAATATTTTTATCAGCATCTTCCCTTCTTTTAGCTGACAGGAGCAAGCACTTGCTGTCATGCCAGAATATTTGGATTACAACTTGGTTATCTAAAAGATTTGGCAGGTTTTCATATTTTCCATGTGTCAGAGACCTGGAACACTACTGTGTCCTGGCACCCCCTCAGCCGCTTTCTTGCCTATGGTATCTCCCAGGTGCCAGGTGCCCCCTACCCTGCACACCAAGAGCCACGCTGGGAGAGAGTGCTGCCAGCCGAGCACCCGAGCGCCTCGACCCGTCCCACCTGATTGCACCGGCTCTAAGGCAAACCTCAAAGAATGCGCTCACTGTGAAGGACAGTAGTTAGCTGTGTCCAAATCTGTCTGTTCTGCTAGAGGGAAGCTCCTGGGAGAGGGACCATGGAGGGCAGGACTGCGCCTCACTCCCACCTTTGCATCTTCAGAGCCTGCACCGTGTGCACATAGCCCCTCATCACAGGGCTTAATCGGTTTGCTGAATGAATACATGATCTTCCTATTTGCTGAGAGCCATAAATCACCAGCTATAGAAGTGGTGGCCCCAGTAGCCGTTGCATTATAGCATCCCAGGGCCAAAGAGAACACCAGAAGACCCTTAATTTTACAGGCAGAGTTGCCTCAGGCCAATGACTGGCTCCAACTCTCAGATTTTTTTTTTTTTTTTGAGACGGAGTTTCGCTCTTGTTTCCCAGGCTGGAGTGTAATGGTGCGATCTCTGCTCACTGCAACCTTCGCCCTCTGGGTTCAAGTGATTCTCCTGCCTCAGCCTCCCCAGTAGCTGGGATCACAGGCATGCGCCACCATGCCTGGCTAATTTTGTATTTTTAGTAGAGACGGGGTTTCACCATGTTGGCCAGGCTGGTCTCAAACTCCTGACCTCAAGTGATCCACCTGCCTTGGCCTCTCAAAGTGCTGGGATTACAGGCATGAGCCACCACACCTAGACTCAAAGACTTTTTTAAAATGAGGTGTATTCCTCAGCTGCCCTTAGCTTTCCTCCCATTGCCACCTTTACAGACACTAAAGAATTTTGTCCAGACTCTTCCTGGTGTACATAAATTCCACTTCCCTTTGTTTTCCTCTCACAGGAAGTACAAAAACAGCAGCTCATTCTTGCATAGAAAAGAATTCTCCTCCCAAAAAAGAAGCTCCCAGGTTCTAGAGAGAAAGCTTTGAGGCCCTCAGTTTAAGCCATTCTGCCTTCTGCAGTGTCTGGGGAAAGCTGCTGTCGGGCCCAACTCTCTCCTAGAGGCACCTTGAGGTGTGGAGCTTGGCTCCGAAGCCAGGCGGGGAGCCAGAGGGAGGGCGCCTGCAACCTGCGAAGCAGTTTCTTAAGTGATCATTTGCATACCTAAAAATTCACTGTTCATGGTAACAAATTCCTTTTAAACCACCTTCTGCACTGATAACAAATCTATGTTTTGCCAAGGTGAGGGGAGAGGCGATCAGCTGCCGGGGGCCACACTCCGAAGTGCGAACAGAATCTGAAGCACCCTCTCACGGGAAATGCCGGCATCTCACTGACCTGATTCTGAGCAAGCAAGAGGGCGCTGGATTGTCCCACTCTTTGAAGCTCAAAATGGGCTTCTGTAAGCACCGAACGCACGTCACCTAATTTATCTCTCATCACACCCTGTGAGCAGGTGCCATTGTCATCATCCCCCCTTTAGAGACAGGCGAATTCCGCACCCCCATAAAACGACTCACTCAAGGTCATTATCAGCCCTACATCTATAACTCACGGACTCGTGTCTAGAGAGTTCTGCCTGGCTGATTTTCTCTGTTCTTCTAACTACTCCACAACTAAATGTTTCACAAAGCCATTTCCCCCCCAAATATTTATGTTCTCAAATGTTTATTGCCTCTCTATCATGATCAAGATTTTATGAGCACTCTATATCAGTTGTGAATTAAATACATAATTTCGGAATCATCGCATTCCAGTTTGGTGCTACATTTGTCTCTATTACACCGCAGCAGTTGCCGTGGGCACCCGACAGATGACAACGGAATGCGTGTGTCCAGGGGCAGCCAGAGTGACTGACATTTCAATCCAGAAGCTGCCACGGGGACCTGGTGATTCCCACCGTTAGCGGGAGAGAAGCTTCCACAGCTCACCGGGATGGTCAGAGGGTTCCGGAGCAGGACAAGGCTAGGATGGGCTCCCCCCGTCACCCTCACTGCACCAACGAGGCCGTGTCCAACCCGCTGGCCTCTGGGGAAGGAGGGCCCGCCATCTCACGGCAGGTGAAGAAGACAAGGAGAAAAAGAGGCCATTTTTTTCCTCTGATGAGCAGTACCCACTCTCTTATAGAACAATCCGGGCTATGCCTGGGGGCCTACTGGTTAATCCCATCCTGTATGGGAAATACAGAAAGAATATCGAGCCTGGAACAAAACTGCTACAATTTATTACTCCCTCACATTTACCTGTATGCACTACCTGACTGACCCTCACAGCAACTTCACACAATGTGGACTGCTAATTCCACTTTGCAAGTGAAGAAACTGAGGCTCCGAAAGGCGGCAACCGCAGAGGTGGATCTGGTTCCTGTTTCCAGGCCTTTGCCCCTTCTGTTCCCTCTTGTGGCCAGCCCCCCGAAACACTAAAAATGGAAATAACTGTCATTACTGAAATACTCTATCTGTCTATCAAAATAGAACTGCCGTGGGTAATATAGCCATTCCTGAAAGAAAACATTTAGGGATATTTTAAATCCATCATTGATCCTAAGGGAGGGAAAAAAAAGGTCCCTAAACCTTAAGTTTCATGATGATAAACACTTCCACAGCTTGAGCACGAGGAGGGCAATTCCACTGAACTGGGCCACTAACTTGGGCAGGGCTGCAGTTTTGATGGCTCTGGGGGCTGTCCCTCACATCGCTGTCCTGATGTCCTCATGGTCTGCCATGTGGCATCACCCAGCTTAGATGAAGCCTTTGTTTCTTGGACGTTTCCGTCATTTCCAAAGCATCCATCACTTTCAGTCATCCAATTCTTTATTGCCACCAGTAGAATTATGAGCTCTTGGGCACTTTGGTGGCACCCATTGAAAACAGAAGTGCAACTACAGTTCCCTTCCAGGCTTTTAATCTGGAGAAACAGTCACACGAATACGCGGAGCCACACATACGGCATGTTTATTACAGAACCATTTGCAAAGGGAAAGAAAGAAAAAAGTCTAAATGCTCTTCAGCAGGGCTTCCTACTCATCCATATCCTCATCAGTACTTGGTTTGGACAGACTTAATGTTTGACAAGCTGGCAGGAACAAAACAATGTACCATTATGATTTAAATTCGTATTTTCCATTTTCTTTTTTTTTGTTTGTTTGTTTATGTTTTTTGAGACAGGGTCTGGCTCTGTCACCCAGGCTGGAGTGCAATGGTGCGATCTCGGCTCACTGCAACCTCTGCTTCCCTGGTTCAAATGATTCTCTTGCCTCAGCTTCCCAGGTAGCTGGGATTACAGGCCTGTGCCACCAGGCCTGGCTAATTTTTTTTTTTTCTGCATTTTTAGTAGAGATGGTTTTTCGCCATGTTGCCTAGTCTGGTCTCTAACTCCTGAGCTCAAGTGATCCGCCTGCCTCAGCTTCCCAAAGTGTGGGGATTACAGGCATGAGCCACCGCATTTTCCATTTTCTAATGAGGTTTAGCAACTTTTTCTGTTTTTTGGCCCTTGTGTTTTTTCTTTTGTGAAATCCATGTTCACGTCTTAAAAAAATAAAACAAAACAGCCTTACTGAGATATAATTCACACACCATAAAATTCACTTATTTACAGTGTACAGTTCCAGCCGGGCATGACAGCGCATGCCTGTAATCCCAGGACTTTGGGAGGCTGAGGTGGGAGGATCGCTTGAGCCCCAGAGTTCAAGACCAGGCTTGGCAAAACGGCAAAACCCTGTCTCTACAAAAAAATACAAAAATTAGCCTGGTGTGGTGGTGTGTTGTAGTCCCAGCTATTACGGAGGCCAAGGTGGGAGGACTGCTTGAACCTGGGAGGTCGAGGCTGCAATGAGCTGTGATCACGCCACTGCACTCCAGCCTGAGGGACACAGTGAGACCTGGTCTCAAAAAAAAAAAAAAAAAAAAATAGAAATGTACAATTCCACAGGTTTTAGCACACTCCCAGAATTCTATGATCTGTTCCTGATTTTTCTGCCCATTTTTATATTAAGCATACTTTATCTCATTCATTTATAGGAGCTCTTTATAAATTCTGGATACTAACTCTGTTTTGGTTGCAACTAGCCTATCCCAGATTGAGTCTTTTCATTCTTCAGATGAATGCCTTTGGCTGAATAAAAGTTCTCAATTTTAATGTAGTCAAATTTATTTATTTTCTTTTGTTGTTTACGCTCTTTGGGTCTTATTTTAGGAAGACTTCTGTATCCCAAGATCATAAGATAGTTTCGTATATGTTCTTCTACAAGGTTTTACAGTTTTGTCTTTCACATTTAAGCTTTTAAACTACCTGGAATTGATTGTTACATATATGGGGCAAGTAGCTGTCGAAGGTAATTTTTTCCCACATGGGTACCCAGTTGCGCAGCATCATTTATTGGAAAGTCCATCTCTTCCCCCTGATCCGTGGTGCCACCCCTGTCATTATCAAGTGTGAGTGTTTCCGGGCTCTGTGTTCTGTGTCACTGGTTAGTAGATCTAATTTAGTGCTAACACCTCAATGTCCTAATGGTTTTAAAATAAATAGATATTTGAGAGGGCAAGTCCTCCCACTTTGTCTTTCTTCGGGAATAACTTGATAAATTTTTAACTCTTTGCTCTTCTATGTAAATGCAGAATGAGCACAGCAAGTTGCATCAAAAAGAACCACTACCAACAATTTGGAATTTTAATTCTGATTCCACTGGATCTATGATCAATTTGGGAAGGGGTGACATCTTTATAATATTAGCGTCCCTAACCATGAACGAGACATTGCCTCCCTCTTAGGGATTCTTACATGCCTTTTAATAAACTTACACAGTTTTTCCAATAAAGGGCTTATACATCTTTCATTGTGTTTATTTCAGTGTACACTTTTCTTCTGCTATACGTTGTTAATTTTTTTTTTTTTGGAGATGGGGTCTTGCTGTGTTGCCCAGGCTGCAGTGCAGTGGAATGATTATAGCTCACTGCAGCCCTGACTCCTGGGTTTAAGTGATCCTCCCACCTCAGTCTCCCAGTAGCTGAGATTACAGGCTCAAGCTGCTGTGCCTGGCCATTGTTGTTGATTATTATCTTAGTTTTACATTTTCCAACTCTCTGTTGCCAAAGAAAGTGTAAATAATCTTTGGATCTTTAATTATTGATCTTTTAGTTGGTAACCTTGCTAAACTCTCACTAAAACTATTATGTACTCCATAAATTCTTTGGGGCTTTCTTAATGTAGATAATCATAACACCTGCCAATAATGACTTTTGGTCCTTCCATCCCAAGTCCTAGAGGTTTTATTTACTTTTCTTGTCTTTACTGCACTGTTTAATAATGTTTCATAGAAATGATGATGGGGGAATCCTTGTCTTATGCTTGATTTTAAAGGGCATGCTTCTAACATTTCACCACTAAGACCTATGGTTGCTATAGTTTGGGAAGGTATCTTTTATCAGGTTAAGGAAATTCCCTTCAGTTTATAGCTAAGAATTTTAAAATCATGAATAGATATTTAATTTTATCCAATGCTTTGTCTTCATCTATTGAAATAGCTATATCTCTTTTTCTTTAATTTCTTATTATTGTGAATTCAAGTAATAGCTTTTCTAAAGTTGAATCATCCTTGAATACCCTAATACACAATTGGATTGGATTTGCTAATATTTTGTTTAGGATTGTGGCAACTATATTTACGAATAACATTGGCCTGTAATTTTTCTTATTTATATTATCTTTGGGTTTCACATTAAGACTTTATTAATCTTATGAAATGTATTGTGATGTGTTCCCTCTTTTTCTTTTTCTGTTTTCTGAAAAGAGTTTGTTCACAATGGGAATAATCAATTCCTTGAATACTGTGGTAGATTTCACCTGTAAAAGGCATCTGGGCCTAGTGTTTAAGGGAGGGGAACAATTCATTTTTATTATTCAATTTATTTAATAGTTATGGGACTTTGGATTTTCTATTTCTTTTTTCTTTTCTTTTCTTTTCTTTTTTTTTTTTTTTGAGACAGGGTCTCACTCAGTCACCCAGGCTGGAGTGCAGTGGCACAATCTTGGCTGCCACCTCTGCCTCCCGGGTTCAAGCAATTCTCATGCCTCAGCCACTCGAGTAGCTGGGATTAGAGGCATGTGCCACCATGCTCGGCTAATTTTGGTATTTTTAGTAGAGACAGGGTTTCGCCATGTTGGCAAGTCTGGTCTCAAACTCCTGGCTTCACGTATCTGCCCACCTCAGCTTCCCAAAGTGCTGGGATTACAAGCATGAGCCGCTGCACCTGGCCTCTATTTCTTCTTATGTCACTATTCATAAGATTTTTTTTCCTATGAATGTATCTGTTTTATCTATGTTTCCAAATGTATTGCCATAAAGTTGTTTGTAATATTTTTCCTATCCTTGTAATCTGTTATATTTATGTTACTATATTTATTATCAAAATGTGTTTCATCCTCTTTTTCATTTCAAATATGTCAATCTGTTCTTTCTTTCCTTTCTTTCTTCCTCCCTTTTTCTCTTCTTCCCTCCCTCCCTCCTTCTCTCTCTCTCCCTCTCTCTCTCTTTCTTTCTTCTTTTCTTTTCTTCCTCTCTCTCTCTCTTTTGTTTTCTTTAGAGACAGAGTCTTGTTCTGTAGCTCAGGCTGGAGTGCAGTGGTGCAATCTCAGCTCACTGCAACCTTCACCTCCCCAGTTCAAGCAATTCTTGTGTCTCAGCCTCCCGAGTAGCTGAGACTACAGCTGCATGCCACCATACCTGGCTAATTTTTGTATTTTTAGTAGAAATGGGGTTTTACCATGTTGGCCAGGCTGGTCTCGAACTCCTGGCCATAAGTGATCTGCCCACCTTGGCCTCCCAAAGTGCTAGGATTACAGGAATGAGCCACTGCGCCTGGCCATTCTTTCTTTTTTAATTGATCAATATTGCTAGAGATTTGTCGGTTTATTAATTTTGCCAAGGAATCCACTTTTGCTCTACCCAAGCTCTGTTAACTATTCCATTGGTTTCTGTTCTCTCTCCAGCTACTCTTTGAGTTTAGTAATTTTTTAACCTAGGTCAGCGGCTTAGATCATTAATTTTCAACTGTTCTTCTTTTGAGATTTATTTTTCACTGAATACCATTTATGTTCCTTCAATGTGTGACTCCTTTCAATTAAAAAATCAAAGTAGATGATGTTGGAGTGACCCCAGGAAGATGACTAGCTAGAGGCCTCTAGTCAGCTCTCCCTTCCACAAAGACGGCCAAACAGTGAATAAACAACTATATTTAAATGAAAATAAATACAGGAGTGAGTCCTGGAGTTCATCAAAGGAGTAACAGAAACCCTGGTGAGCAAAGAAACTCTGGATAGCCACATAGAAAACGGAAGGAAACAATCCCAGCACTTTGGGAGGCTGAGGCGGGCGGATCACCTGAGGTCAGGAGTTCCAGACCAGCCTGGCCAATATGGAGAAACCCTGTCTCTACTAAAAATACAAAAATTAGTCAGGGGTGGTGGTGCATGTCTGTAATTCCAGCTACTTGCACCCAGGAGGCGAAGTTTGCATGAGCTGAGATTGTGCCACTGCACTCCAGCCTGGGTGACAGAGCGAGACTCTATCTCAAAAGAAAAAGAAAAAGAAAAGAAAAAGGAAGGAAACAACAGGACTCCACTGCCCATCCTCCAGCCAGAGTCAGCCAGGAACCAGGAGGAACGTCTTCCTACAGCGAAAAGGTAGAAAAGAGGATTCCAGCAGCTCCCACCACCCTTTGGACACCTGCTCACCACTGGGGTCCTCACAGGCCCTATGCCCATGCAGAGAGCTGTCTAGTATCTACACAGCTGTGCTCCCCTAGAGAAGGAGGTGACACAGTACCCTGCCACTGTGGCCAGCCGGCTGCTGTATGACACCATCTTGAAGCTGGAGCTACCGCTGGAGTGTGCCTTGCTTTTGGGGGAAAGTCACAACAAATTTTAAAGAATTGATATCATATCAAGTACCTTTTGTGACCACAATGGCATAAAACTAGAAATCAATAACAAGAGGAACTTTTGAAACTGTACAAATACATGCAGATTAAACAACATGCTCCTGAATGACCAATGGGTCAATGAAGAAATTAAGGAGGAAATTAAAAAATTTCTTGAAACAAAGGAAAATAGAAACACACACTCTTCAATTAAGTTTAGCCTAAGGCTGCCATCTTACATATTTTAAGTTTGGCCTAAAGGTTGCTTTATACACAGTAAGCTGTAATCTAACTAGATGCGTAAACAGACTGTAACTTATTTTTGTACCTATCACCAAGTTTTGGCCAACTAAGGCAGCCAACTGTTCAAACCGTATTCAAATAAGGCAAATGCCAAGCTATAATCAATCCAGTTGTTTTTGTACCTCGTTTCCATCTTCTGTATGTCACATCATTTTCCTTTTTCTGTCTACAAATCCACTCCACCCACTTGGCAGCGCTGGTGTCATTCTGAGCCTGTTCTGGTTTGGGGGGCTGCCCAATTCATGAATTGTTCTTTGCTTAATTAAAGTCTGCTGAATTTAATTTGTCTAAAGTTTTTCTTTTAACAATCCCAAAGCCTACAGGGTACAGCAAATGCAGTATTAAAAGGGAAGTTTATAGTGATAAACACCAACATCAAAAAAAGTAGGAAGATTTCAAATAACCTAATGATGCATTTCAAGGAACTAGAAAAGCAAAAACTAACCCAACCCCACATGAGTACAAGAAAATAAATAATAAAGATCAGAGCAGGCTAGGAGCAATGGCTCATGCCTGCAATCCTGTCCTAGCATTTTGGGAGGCCAAGGTGGGTGGGTTGCTTGAGTCCAAAAGTTTAAGACCAGCCTAGGCAACATGGTGAAACCCTGTCTCTACTAAAAAATAATTTAAAAAATTATCTGGGTGTGTTGGTGTGCACCTATAGTCCTAGCTACTCAGGAGGCTGTGGTGGGACAATCACTTGAGCCTGGGAGGTAGACGTTGCAGTGAGCTGAGATCACACCACTGCACTCCAGCCTGGACAACAGAGCAAGACTCTGTCTCAAAAACACAAAAACAAAAACAAAAAACAAAAAAACAAGATCAGGGCAGAAATAAAACTAAAAGAAAAATACAAAGATCAACAAAATTAAGTCAGTTTTTAACAAAATCAATTAGCTTGATTAACAAGAAAAAAACAGAAAAGACCCAAATAAATCAGCAACAAAAAAGGACACATTACAACTGGTACCACAGATATACAAAGGCTCATTAGAGACTATTATGAACAACTATGCACCAACAAACTGGAAAATCTAACAGAAATGAATAAATTCCTGGACACATACAACCTACCAAGATAGAATCAGAAGAAATAGTAAAACTGAACAAACCAATTATGAGTGACAAGATTGAATCAGTAATAAAAAGTCTCCCATCACAGAAAAGCCCAGGACTTGATGGCTTCACTGCTGAATTCTACCAGACATTTAAAGAAGAGCTAACTGATAGTAATGGCCAAAACCACAATTCCTTTTGCACCAACCTAATACCATTTCTTCTCAAACTTTTCTACAAAATAGAAGAGGAGGTAATTCATCCAAATGCATTCTATGAGGCCAGCATTACTCTAATACCAAGGCCAGACAAAGATACAGCAAAAAAAGAAAACTATAGGCCAACATCCTTGATGGACACAGAAGCAAAAATCCTCGACAAAATACTAACAAACTGAATCCAGCAGCACATTAAAAAGATCATTCACCAGCTGGGCGTGGTGGCTCACGTCTGTAATCCCAGCACTTTGGGAGGCCAAGGCGGGCAGATTGCCTGAGTTCAGGAGTTTGAGACCAGCCTGGGCAACACGGTGAAACCGCATCTCTACTAAAATGCAAAAAATTAGCTGGGCGTGGTGGCACGCACTTGTAGTCCCAGCTACTCGGGAGGCTGAGGCGGGAGAGTTGCTTGAGCCCAGGGGGCGGAGGTTGTAGTGAGCCAAGATCATGCCACTGCATTCCAGCCTGGGCAACAGAGCGAGACTCCATTTCAAAAAAAAAAAAAAAAAAAAAAGAGAATTCACCATAATCATGTGGTGCATCTCAGGGATGCAAAGATGGTTCGATATATGCAAATCAATAAATGCAATAGATCACACCAACAGAATGAAAGACAGAAACCACACGATCATCTTAATAGATGCAGAAAAATCATTTGATAAAATTCAACATCCCTTCTTGATAAAAACCCTTAACAAGCTGGGGACAGTGGTGCACACCTGTAGCCCCAGCTACTCGGGAGGCTGAGGTGGGAGGATCACTTGAGCCCTGGAGTTCAAGACCAGCATGGCCAACATAGCAAGATGAGACCCTGTCTCTAAAATAAACAAGCAAAACAACAACAACAAAACCCTCAACGAACAATGTATAGAAGGAGTATATACCTTAACACAATAAAGCTCATATATATGGCAAACCGATATCTAACTTTATACTGAATAGGAAAAAGTTGAAAGCTTTTCCTCTAATAACTGGAATAAAACAAGTATGCCCACTCTCATCGCTCTTATTCAATACATTACTGTAAGTCCTTGCCAGAGCAATTAGACACAAAAAAGAAATAAAGGTCATCCAAATTGGAAAGGAGGAAGTCAAATTATCCCTGTTTGCAGATAGCATGATTTTGCATATAGGAAACCCTAAAATGCTCTACCAAAAAACTCTTTGAACTGATAAACACATTTAATAAAGTTGCAAAAGACAAAATTAACATACAAAAAATTAGTAGCATTTCTATACACCAAGAATAAACTGGTGGAAAAAGAAATCAAGAAAGCAATCCCAATTACCATTGTTACAAAACAATACCTAAGAATAAATTTTCTTTTTGAGACAGGATCTTGCTCTGTTGCTGAAGCTGGAGTGCAGTGGTGTGATCATGGCAAACTGCAGTCTTAACCTCCCAGGTTCAAGCAATCCTCCCACCTCAGCCTCCTGAGTAGCTGGAACAACAAATGTGCTCCAACATGCCTGGCTGATTTATTTTTATTTTTAGTGGAGATGAGGTCTCTCTGTGTTGCCCAGACTGGTCTCAAACTCCTGGGCTCAAGCAATCCTCCTGCCTTGGCCTCCCAAAATGTTGGAATTACAGGTGTGATCCACTGTGCCTGACCTCCTAAGAATAAATTTAACCAAGGAAGTAAAAGGTCTCTACAAGGAAAGCTATAAAACACTGGTGAAAGAAATTAAAGAGGTCATACACACAAAAATTGGAAAGACATTCCATGTTCATGGATTGGAAGAATTAATATTGTGAAAGTGACCATACTACCAAAAGCAATCTACAGATTCAACATAATCCCTATCAAAATACCAATGAAATTCTTCACAGAAATAGAAAAAAAAAACTTAAAATTTATATGAACTATGGAACATTCCAAATAGCCAAAACAATTTTGAGCAAAAAGAACAAAGCTGGAGGCATCAAATATACTACAAAGCTATAGTAACCAAAATAGTATGGTACTGTCATAAAAACAGACACATAGACCAGTGGAACAGAATAGAAATCCATAAATAAGTCCATGTATTTATAGCCACTGACTTTTGACAAAGGTGCTAAGAACATTCAGTGGAGAAGGGGCAGTCTCTTCAATAAATGGAGCTGGGAAAACTGGATATATCTGCATGCAGAAAAATGAAACTAGATCTCTATCTCTCCTCATAGACAAAAATCAAATCAAAATAGATTGAAGACTTAAACAAAAGGCCCAAACCTATAAAACTACTAAAAGAAAACATGAGGAAACACTTCAGGACATTGGTCTGGGCAAATATTTTTTTGGTAAGAGCTTAAAGGACAGGCAACAAAAACAAAAATAGACAAATGGGGCTTACATCAAGCTAAAAAGCTTCTGCATAGCGAAGGAAACAACAGAGTGAAGAGACAACCTATGGAATCAAAGGAAGTATTTGTAAACTATCCATCCAGACAGAGATTAGCAGTCAGAATACACAGGAACTCAATAGCAAAGCCAATTAAAAAATGGGCAAATGATCTGAATAAACATTTCTCAAAAGAAGATATACGAATGGCCAACAGGCATATGAAAATAAATGTTCAACATCACAAATATCATGGAAATGCAAATTAAAACCACAATTAGATATCATCTCACCCCAGTTAAAATAGCTATTAGCAAAAATTGAAAAAAAAAAGATGCTGGTGAAGATGTGGAGAAAGTGGAATGCTAGTACTTTGTTAGCGGGGCTGTAAATTAGTGCAGCTACTTCGGAAAACAGTATGGAGGTTCTGCAAAAACTAAAAATAGATCTGTCATGTGATCCCACAATTCCACTGTGGGATGTGTATCAAAAAGAAAGAAACTTAGTATATCTAAGAGATATCTGCATGCCCATGTTTACTGCAGCACTACTCACAATAGCCAAGATATGGAATCAACCTAAGTGTCCATCCACGAATTAATGGATAAAGAAAATGTGGTATATATACACAATGAAGTACTATTCAGCCATAAAAAGAATGAAATTCTGTCATTTACAGTAACACAGATGAAACCAGAGGTCATTATGGTAAGTGAAATAAGCCAGGCACAGAAAGAAAAATATGGCATGTTCTCACTCATATGTGGGAGCTAAAAAAGTTGATCTCATGGAGGTAGAGAGTGGAATGATGGTTACCAGAGGCTGGGAGGGGCCAGGGGAGGTGAAGAGAGGTTGGTTACTGGGCAAGAAAATACAGTTAGATAGAAGGAATAAGTTCCAGTGTTTGATAGCACAGTAGGGGGACTATGGTTAACAATAATTTATTGCATATTTCAAAATAGCCAGAAGAGATTTGAAATGTTCCCAAAATAAAGAAATGATAGATGTTTAAGGTGACGGACATCTTAAATATCCTAACATGATCATCGCACGTTATATGCATGTACCGAAATATCACATGTACCCTCATGAATATGTACCATTATTATCTACCAATAAAAAATCAAAATCATTAACTTTTTAATTTTTTTTTTTTTTTGAGACGGAGTTTCGCTCTTGTTGCCCAGGCTGAAGTGCAATGGCGCCATCTCAGCTCATTGCAACCTCCGCCTCCTGGGTTCAAGTGATGCTCCTGCCTCAGTCTCCCAAGTAGCTGGGATTACAGGCATGCGCCACCATGCCCAGCTAATTTTGTATTTTTAGTAGAGACGGGGTTTCTCCATGTTTGTCAGGCTGATCTCAAACTACTGACCTCAGGTGATCTGCCCACCTCAGCCTCCCCAAGTGCTGGGATTACAGGCGTGAGCCACCGTGCCGGCCAACTTTTTAATTGTTTATGCCTTTTGGATCAGCAATTCCATTTCTATGAATTTTCCCCAAGGAAATGATCAAAACATATGCAAAAACAAATACAAATGCATATGTGTGTGTATATATATGAATGCTAGTTGTTGCATTGTAATAGAAAAAACAGGAAACACATGTCTGCTAACAGAGGGTATTTAAATACATTATAATACATCTGGACAGTCTCATGCTATGCAAACACCTAGTGAGCTGTATCTTTATGCAGTGATAGGGAAAGATGTCCATAATATTTTATTAAGTGAAAAAGCAAGTTACAGAAGGATATATGCAAGATTTTATTTGTCGTTAAAAATCTCCATGTTTTAAAACCCACTGGAAGATGAGTCCCAGCCACACCACTGCAAGGCTTCCTTAATTGGTCCAATCATCTATTTATTAGAGTGAGTGCAATACAGTTCCTGCCCGCATGGGGGGAAACAGGCTGGGAGGAGGGCCAGGGGCAAGTAAGTGCTAGGAGGGGAAATGGGAGGGGGCTGGGCGGGCACTGTGGGGAGGGGCAGGGGTTCCCAAGGCAACGTCGAAATCTCCAAATACAGTGGGCCTGACGGGGATGACAGAGAGGCTGAAGAGACAGAGCCGTCCTGCACAGTCCAGGCACCACCCTGCCCTGCCACTGCCTGGCGGGCATCTTGAGCTCCAGACCCTTAGCCTCTCCGGGCCCCCCAGTTTTTTCCGGGTAAGAGACTCGAACTGATGCTCTCTAAGGATTCTTCAAGCTCTGAAATTCTCTGCTGACATTTGCCAGCAGCAAGGTTGACTCGAATCTGAAACCTCTGGGGAAAGTGGGGGCCTCTCCCAGAATGGAACCCTCTCTGAACACTTTCCCGGGAGGGACCTTAGACTGTGCTGCCTGTTGCCAGCGTCGCAGGCAGGAGGAGCGCAGTCACTATGGGTGGGGTGAGTGCATGGGGGAGGGAGTGAAAGAGCAAATGTCCAAGGAAGGGCATAAGAGAAGGGCTCCAGCAAGAATGCAAAGGAAGATTTGTCTAAAATGGCTTTTCAAGGCGGTCATGAGCTTGCCTCTAACCCAGCAAAGCGTGTGGAAGAAACATCGGCAGTGAGGGCTCCCATCTCTCATTTCTCAAAGAGCCGAGACTTTCAGCGAGGCCACTTGCCATTCCTGGTAGGTAATCAGATCGCTGTTAATTAATAAAGCTGTCAGGTGGCTCGTCCTCTCTGGTCATTAGTATCCTTTCAGAAAGAGAATCCTGCCATCACCGCCTTGTCCGCCCCTCCGCTTGCCAGCAATTAACTTAATGCTATGCAAATGAGAGGCTCTTCTCATCATTAGCTTATAGCCACGAATGTTAATCGCATAATTGGGTCTTCAACAGGGTAATTAGACACGATTTCCTCCATTAGTCTTACAAGGCTAATTATTGTTGAGCGGAGAGGGGGACTGCTCCCAGGGCTCCAGGCGAAGAGGGGCATCTGGTTAAAGCGAATTCGGGCGCATCGTCCGCCAGGTAAAAACAGCAGTCGCGATCCATTGTCACAGCCCACTGTCCCCACCCATCGTGGGGACCGGGCTAGGGAGGGAAACGGAACCAGGGGAAGGCCTGGGGGGGTCACACTCGTGCCCCTTGCCTGGGTCCTGGGATGCAGACAACGTGGCATTTAAAAGTGAAAGCGGAAACAAACAGCAGCCCCGCCAGCCCGGGCCCGGAGGCCCAGCCCCGCGCCAAGGGCCACCCCTCGGCGCGCTCAGCTTCCCTGGGCCTCTGCTGCTTCCTCAGTGCCATGAGGACCGCGCTCGATGGCGTCCAGGGGCCTCTGGGTTTGACTTTCATGGCTATGAATCTCGGAATGAATAAAGAGCCCAGAACGCTGGCTGGGGTAGGGGGTGGGGCAGGGGCGAGGGGACACCCTGTGGAGGAGCGGGCTGGGAGCGCGGGGGATGCCCCTCGCCCTGCACGCGCGCCCTGCCCCTGGCTGTAACCTGAGCAGCCCGCGTGAGGGTCAGTGGTGACTTCCGGGATTGAATTGGCTGGGAAGCCGGTCCCATTTCAACAGAGACCTGGGGCAGCGCGGTGGGCAGCGGGCTGGGCCGAGATCGAGACCGGGACAAGGCAGGGAAGAGCGGGATGGGTCGGCCCCTTCAAGGGGAGCCCTGGGGCGCAGTGTGGGGCGGTCTTGCTCCCTGTTGACCCCCATTCCCCCTCCCCTGGATCCAGGAACCCAGTGGGCTCTGGAAGCAGCTGCTGAGTGCACGGCAGACCCCCTGGCATGGGGTTACACCTTCTCTCAGGCCCAGCGGTGTGGGCCTCCCCAGTCAGGGAGATGCTTCCCCCATCTCATCTCAGTGGGGAGGGAGCAGCTGGTGGCCTCGGCAAACGCAGCACAGGAGATGGGAGGGTCTGGCTGAGCAGGGGGCCTCAGGAGGCCTCTGGGAAGCCAGCAGGGCAGGTGTGGACTTAGTGCCAGGGTGACCTGAAGACTCTGCGCTCAGCGGCTCAGAGCACAGGAGTCCAGGGACTCCGTCTCAGTCCGAGTCCGTCTCCACTGCCATGATGTGCTGTGTGATGAGGGCAAGACACTCAGCCTCTTGGAGCCTCAGTTTCCTCAGCTGAAAGGTTCGGGTGATGCACCCTTTCCTGGTCTTGCTGGAAGGACTAGGAGGGAAGAGGTAGGCCAGGTGCACAGCCCAGGGCCTGGCCCTCCTGCCCACAGGAGACAAGAGACTATGGAGGAAAGTGCTATGGCAGATGGTGGTCAGGCTTACACTGTGAGAATTATGTCCCTGTCAACAGAACGGGCCAGGAATCATGCACATGGCAGCCCTCTCTGGATGTTTTTACGAGATTCTGTTTATGAAAATGTGTCGCCTTCCCTGGATCGTACAATCCTCCATCTTTATATGCTTAAGCCCCTACCACAGGCTCTCAATAAGGCCATTAAGGGGTCCTTCATGGACTGAAAGGGCGCCTCTTGTAAAGAAACAAACCCCAAGGTGTCACTTGATTGAAATGTGAAGGCAGAATGAAGGTAAGCTGGAGAGTACTGGGTCTCCATCCATCTAGCATGTTCTGACTGCAATTCCCTTCAAAAGGCTCAAGGCTCCCACCTTGTTATGGCGGTGTGGCTCCATTATGAATGGCCAGGGCCATTGACAAGCAGCGTCGTGTGGTGTGAGGTCACCAGAGGGGAAAGGCTAGGACGGAGCTTCCTTTCAGAGCCTGTGTATCAGTCTGTTTTCACGCTGCTAATAAAAACACACCTGAGACTGGGTAATTTATACAGGAAAGAGGATTAATGGACTGACAGTTCCACATGGCTGGGGAGGCCTCACAATCATGGCGTAAGGCAAGGAGGAGCAAGTCACATCTTATATGGATGGCAGCAGGCAAAGCGAGAGAACTTGTGCAGGGGAACTCCCCCTTAAAAAAACCATCAGATCTCATGAGACTTATTCACTATCACAACAACAGCATGGGAAGGACCTGCCCCCATGATTCAATTACCTCCCACCAGGTCCCTCCCACAACACGTGGGAATTCAAGATGAGATTTGGGTGGGGACACAGCCAAACCATATCACCCCAGAATGCTCCTGCCACCACCATCAATGAGAGGAGTTGCTCTTTGAGAGCTCACTGGGTGTTAGACTCTGGTGATTCCCAAATTTTTCTTCCTGAACTACCAGACTCATAGCCCGCTGCAGATGTTGTTAGGGTTGAATTGTGTTCCACAAAATTCACCTGTGAAGCCCTCACCCCCAGAACCTCAGAAGGTGACTGTATTTGAACACAGGGCCTTTAAAGAGGTGGTTAAGTTAAAAGGGCCCTAAAAGGTGGGCCCCAATCCAATCTGACTGGAGTCCTTCTAAGAGGAGGAAATGTGGACACGCAGAGAGGCACCCAGGGCACACGTGCCATGTGAGGATGCAGTGAGAGGCCTCAGAAGAAACCAAACCTGCTGGCACCTTGATCTTGGGCTTCCAGCCTCCAGGACTCTGAAGAAATAAACTTCTGTTAAGATACCTCATCTATGGTACATTGCTGTGGCAGCCCCAGCAAACCAGTAGATTTCTAAGAGGCATCTCAAGCTTATCATGCCCAAAACTGAGCTAGTGGTCCCTCCTCAACCCCATTCCTCCAGCCTCCTCCTCTGGTCATCACAAGGCCAGTCCATTCTTCCTGCTGCCCCAGCAAGCACCTGAGCTCTCTGCAACGCCTCTCTCTCTCACATGTCCTACATCCAGTGTGATAGCAAATCAATGGTACCAATTCTACCTTCAAAAGACTTCTCACCACCTCCACAGCTACCACCCTGGTCCAGGCCTCTGGCACCTCTCACCTGGATTACTGCCAACAGCCCTATACCTGGCCTCCCAGCTGCTACCTTGTCCCCCTGCCTACAGCCCTTTCTCCACCCACTAGGTATCTTTTTACAACATCAGCGGGATCCCATCTGTCATTTGCTCAAGCCCCACACAGTGGCTCCCACATCACTCCAAGGAAAAGCCGAATTCCTTCAAGGTCTATGGTCTCCTGTGACCTCTGACACCTCACCTGCGAGTCTCTCCCTGATCTATGGCCAATGGCCTCCTTGATGTTGCTCAGAGTTGCCAGGCACATTCCTAACTCAGGGCCTTTGCACTGTAGTTCCAGGCCTGGACCACTCTTCCCTACATCTGTCCATGGCTCATTCCCTCACTCCATATAAGCCTCTGCTCAAGCATCATCAGAAAGGCCTTCCCTGATGGCCCTCTATAAACATACCACCCTGTCCTCTCCAGCCTTCCTGGATGGCCCTCTATAAACACACCACCCTGTCCTCTCCCTTCCAGCTGCCCGTCTTCCCTATTCCCCTTTATCCTGTTTTATTCTCCATAGCACACAACATATTATGCATCTGGTGTTTATAGACTTTCTCACTCCAACCAGAATGTAAGACACCTGAAGCGTCTTAGGTTTTGTTTCCTTTTGAGTCCCAAGAACTCAAGTAGTGCCTGCATGCAATCGATGTTCCACAAATATTTGTTGCCTAACTGAATAAAGTCATTGCCATGTTACATGGGAGGAAACCATAGTTCAGAGTGACAAATACCCTGACCAGCATCACACAGCCCATAGATGGCAAAGCCAGGATTCCAACCCAGTTGCTGACTTCAGAACCTCTTTCTTAACCACTGTCCTATTATGCTGCTTCCCATCACGAGAAAAATATGTAAAGTCTTATGGAGGTGCAGGGCAAGAAGAGGCATCAGGGGAGGCTTCCTGGAGCAGGTGGCATTTGAGCTAAGACTTGTAAAAAGATAAGATTTGTATGAAATCCCATGGTGTTCTGAAAGAAGAAACACCATGAGTAAAAACTCCGTGTTTAGGAAACAGGAAGTGGGTAGGTGTGCTAAGGTGTAGGGGGGAGACGGGAGTGGTAGATAGGAAAGAGAGGAAGCATGGGGCCCCCCTCTTCCCTTGGCTTCTGGATGCTCCCCATTTCTCCTTCTCCCCACTCCACCTTCTACTCTGGGAGGGGCTCCTGGCCTGGCAGACCTTATTGGGATGCATGAAGCCTTGCCCTATGACCTAGAATCCACGCTCCTGAGACAGGCCCAGGAGAGAAAAGGAGGCACAATGCCAGCGCCCCTGGATGGACACTGTCTCGTGGCCAGAATGGGGTGGGGGTGGCTCTGACCCTCCTGCTCATGGGGGGGTTGGGGGTGGTCTGGAATCTGCAGAAATCTCAAAGCCAACAAGGAGGCGATGCCTGGAGTCTTACAATCTCATAAAAAGTAAGGCTGCACTTCTATTTGTGGAAGACTTTTCTTAAAAGTTTTTTTATATATTAAATAATTTCTGTGATATTTAGGAAGAAGAGCTTCAAGCTTTTAGACATCTGCCACCTGAATCTGGCAGAGGCTCAAGCTTTTAAAGCACAGTGCCGGGTTCAGCAGTTCAGCACTTTAGTTATGCCTGTAAGGAAGATGGAAAATTGAAGTACACTCTGATGTCTCCCGAAGTCCCCTATGGGTAAAGAAAAACAAATATGATTTCTCCAAGTCATCTTGGTGTCTCTGTCCTCTTGCCTTTCTCTGGGAAATAAATTTAAGTGAACGGTCGAGCATCGCGCCTGCCAAAAATGGGGGCGTCTCCATCAGAGCTCGATTCAAATGCCAACTACCCCGGGCTCTGTTCTGTTAAAGGTCACCTGTCATTGTCCACCCGAGGCATGGAGATTGCTTTGGAGCTCTGATTTCCATGGCGGGGAAGGCATGTTTATCTTCTCCAATGTCTTATTCACCGCTGGCTTAGGCCGAACTGTTACCGGTTGAGTACAACCCACTGGGCCCCTAATAAGAGCTTGGAATCCACAGGAGGGAAAGAAATTGAGATGCGCTTTGCCAATGAAGAGTTGTAAACCTTAAAGGTAGGCAAAGAGAAGTCTTTTCAGGAGGGGAAATTTCCTGCCTGTGAAGGTTCTCAGACACTACAGCAGGAAATGGAGAACAGTCATCCCTTTGTCTCCAAAGGACATGTTTACCCAGAATGCTGTGCTGAGAGCAGGGGATGGCAAAGGGACCCTGGAAACCTCTCCCTGACCTCCAAGAGTCAGCAGGAAAGTTGAACCAGCAATGCAGGCTGGACTGGGGGGCTCTTAGAAAGCTCTTAGGAAAAAATGTTAAGTGGTAAATAAACTGAGTTTCAGTATACTGCAGTGAGACTGTTTGTGTCTGTTTATTTTATTTTTATTTCCTTTTTTATTTTTTTGAGACGGAGTCTCACTATCACCCATGCTGGAGTGCAGTGGCGCAACCTTGGCTCACTGCAATTTCCACCTCCTGGATTCAAGCGATTCTCCTGCCTCAGCCTCCCAAGTAGCTGGAATTACAGGCGTGCACCACCATGCCCGGCTAATTTTTGTATTTTTAGTACAGATGGGGTTTTGCCATGTTGGCCAGTCTGGTCTCGAACCACTGACCTCAAGTGATCTGCCCGCCTCAGCCTCCGCCTCCCAAAGTGCTGGGATTACAGGCATGAGCCACTGTGCCTGGCCTCATGTCTGTTTTAAACTAGCAAAATTACTCACCAAGAAAAGACCACACAGAGCCCTTGCTATATGGCATGACCCCATCTCTTCCTCAAGATTAAGCTCCCTGATAGAACAGGCCATCTCTCCATGGCTCCCTGGAAGCTTCTTCCCACCTACCCCAGGTACCATGCAATGCTCCCTCCCAATCCTCGGCTGCCTCTTGGGGACAGCACAGCCATGCCTGCGGTTGCCTAGGCACTCTCTCTGCAGAAATTCACTGTATTTTTATACTCAGAAAAATCCATGAGGCTGCAGGCAGAGTTCACAGGTTATGTACATTTTTTGATGTCACTGCTTCAAAAGTAATTGCTCTTATGCTCTCAAACACAGACAACACACCTAGCAACAGGCTGTCATAAACTAAGTTTTAACCCGAGAAAGCAGCAGCACCGGCCTCTCCTGCATTTGCCCACATCATCCTCACTGGACTGCCTCTTACACAAACATTGGAAATAAGTGGTAAAATGTCAATGGTCCCCAGGCAGGAAAATAATGGGAGAACTTTCCTTTTTCCACTCCAGTTCTGAGTTTATTTACTGAGAGATTAAAATGCTACAACTCTAGGGGTGGTGGGCTGCTGGCCTATCACCACCATTACTGGCCACAACCTTGGGCTCGAGCCCAGGGGTGCACCTCCTTCTTAACTGCAGGCCGGATGACCCAGCCACCGCCTCCCTTCTGACCTCAAAGGAGGCTCAGGGAGCACCCTGCAGGCCTGGGCCAAATTCCGCCCACAGGGTAGCACTCGCTTTTGCTACAACAAAGCACGAGGCCTGCTCTGAGAGTCCCGAGAGTCCTGTTGGTCAGAGTGTGCTGATGCTGAGTGCAAGTGGCTGTGAGAAGGGTGGTGGTGACCAAGCTGGTGGCACAGGAAGGCAGCCTGCTGTGGGGGCGGTGGATCCAAAAGCATGGATGAGGCCGTCCCTCAAACAGCTGTGCCAGCAGAGCTCTGAGAGTGCTGCGGGGCCGCCACGCTGCAGGATGGAAGGGCTGGAGGATGGAGGACCTTTGCTTGAGCTTTAATCTCTTCAAGGCCACCTCCATGAGTGTGCCTCGATCCCAAAAGATGAAGAGCTCAGAGTTAGGACAGGCCAGTGCCTTCTCATCCCACCCCAAGACAGGAGAAGACGATTCACAGGGCTCTCTTCCCCCAGCTTTGAAGTCATGGCTAAAAACTCTTGATTCCCCTTCACGGGCAATTTACTAAGCCCCCACCAACCACTTCCTTATCCGGCTTCCACAGGCCATACTTGGGGCCAAGTTCTAGACAACCTGGGACAGCCTCTGTGCTCTGGAGCCTCCAAAATTATTTAAATTAGCCACATTAGACCCCTGGTTCCATGGGGGTCTCAGATATGAGTCTGATTTCATCCTTGTCTCCTTGCAAGATCATCCTCCTGCCCCGCGTGTCACCTGGTGGATAAGGAACTGCCTTTCTCCAACTCTACCCCGCAAAGCCAGCCCAGGGGAAGCAGGCTGCTCAGAGGGGCCAGCCACAGCCACAAAATCTTGCGACTGGTATTTTGGTGAGGAATTGGGTTGAACGTACTTCTCAGAAGCTCTGATCTCCACAGAAAGGCACAGAGCCCTCAAAATATTAGGAATAAATATGGTCACACGGGTGGAGCCCCTATTGGTGCCAGTTGTGCCCAGTGCCTCCCCGCATCATCCCATTGAATCCTCTCACCTGATGCCCCAAATCCCACTGTCCCTGATTTTTAGTCAAGGAAACGGAGGTGCAGAGAAGCTAAGAACTTGCCCAAGTAGAAGTAGATCAGAGACGAGCTGCTTGGACTCCACACCGGTGTTCCTTGCCCCTGCTGCCTCCCTGGCTACAGACTGAGCCTGGCTCTCTAGCAAACTCAGATTTCAACTTTGAATCTGTTGACAACATTATCTCAGTTGTACAGAGTATTTTCCAATTCATCATTCCCACCCATACATATTTTCCCAGCAAATATGTCCATTAGCCCAGCAAATGGTGGGCGGGGCTACTACTCCCTTTGATGGTTAAGGAGACTTGAGGCTTAGAAAGGGTAAGTAGCCGCCTGTAGACAACTTGGCCAGTAAAGCAGTCAAGCAGGGCTGAGGGAAACAGTTGTGAACTATCAGGAAGCTCTGCGAGCAAGGAAGGAAACTTGGGGTGCAAGAGAGATCGCTGCCAAATGTTTAAAGAAAGAGAAGAGCCCAGAAAAGGCAAGGCTGTGGGTCCCACCCCCAACACACGCCCCACTTTCTTTTTCACCCTTGTCCACCGACACTGTGGAAACAATGGCCATTCCACCAAAGCTGCCCGATTTGAGGCAAAAACCTCAATCCCCAAGTGGACCTCTGTCTCGAGGTGCGAAGGAGCGCAGCAGGCCTTTGCTGCATCACGGCCCATGCGACAAAATCAGAATGATGTCAGGTCCTGTTGCAGTCAGCTGCATGGGGGCTTCCGTTAGGATGGGCCTTCTGTTAGGCGGAGGCTCGCAGCAAACCCGTCTTTAAGAAAGAGCTTTCTTCCAAGAGAAAAGGCACCATGGCGCACACAGTCAATGATATGTATTCCAGCCCATGTCTGGTAAACTCTCGGATGATGGCAGCAAGGCAGGGTCACCCGGGTTCTATTAGCTCAATTAATGAGGAGTAAGATAAGGCTAACACCCTGCTCGTCGGGAGGCTCAGGCCCAGAGCTGCAGTAATGGAGTTATTAACCTTCGTCAGCCACTGGATTTTGCTGCTGATTCCAACTCCATTTCCTAGTTCAGGCCTCCATTAATGGGCTGTTTATTATCCATAGTCCGCATAAGGATCAGCTGCAGAAATAGTGCTTCCTGGAAGGACCCGTGATAATGAAAGAGAGAGAGAGTGGGGCGGGCAAGAAACCCTCTCTACTTTGCATTTTAATTTTTCTTTGGTCCTACTGCTGTCCTCTTAAGAAATTACAGCATCCTTCTCACTTTGGACCATGTTAGAAATGACAAAGTCATTATCCAAGGGTTTCAATGTGTTGTCCCCCAAAAGAAATTGTCATACGGAAATAAATTACATCAAATTAGGGAGCTCTGGCCTATAAACTATATGCCAATCTGGTTTTTAATTTCATAATGTACCACCATATTCCATCGTTTAAAATTGGACATAATTGAAACAAAAAAATCAAAACCACATTTAGCAGAATAATTTTATAAACATTGGTAAATGCCCTGATTAAAAATTTCCAGTTTGCTTCAGTTTGAATTGAAAAAAAAAAAATTTCCAGTTTTCTTGGCTCGATGGGGTCCTGAACAAAAGGGCAATTTTGTCTTTGACTATTTTGGGGTCATTCGCCGCATGTGTTACCAGAAGAACAGGCTACCTTCCCCACTTCCAAGCCAATGAGAAGAACAGGCTACCTTCCCCACTTCCAAGCCAATGAGTGTCTTTAAAATGTCTTCCATAGATAAGGAAAGCAAGCAGGTCACCATTAGAGAAAAAATATTTTTAAAATTATTTGTACCAACCCATAGTGAGTAGATGCAGCAAATACTCTTTGAGGGTCATCCCTTCAATATTTGCCATCTTAGCCTCTTTGTATTGAGCAGGAATTCAGCGTCACATGGGGAAGTGTCATAGTAAATGTGTTTACACTTCTTAACATATAGACAAATCTGTAGCATCCTATTTGGGGGCTGTGTGTGCTTTATTTATTTATGTATTTATTCATTTTCGGAGAGACAAGGTCTCCTTCTGTCACCCAGGCTGGAGTGCAGGGGCACGATCATAGCTCACTGCAGCCTCTGATTCCTGGGCTCAAGCAATCCTCCTACCTCAGCCTCCCAAGTAGCTGGAACTACAGGTGTGCACCACCATGCGCGGCTTAGCGTGTAACTTGTTATGTGAGAACAGGCGAGAAGACAAACTCTCCCCTACACATTTGAATAAGAGTCGGCCCTGACAGGAGGTACTCTGGGCACTCACGTGCAGAGCAGGTCATAGCCATTCACAGTATCCGTACAGCTCTTTCAAGCTATCAACCACATGCACACATCCTCCATCTACTCTCCAGAGCAGTAGTGCTGTGAGGTTAAAAGAGTAGAGATTATTGTCCCATTTAACAGATAAGGAAATTGACGTTAAATGTGTCTTCTTCAAACCAGCTAGCCAACAGAGAAGGATAAATGCAATCCCATTGCATAAAGGATAGAATTTAACAGTTCAGAGCAAAGAGTTGGGTTCAGGGCTGGCCCCTTCCATGGATCTTACCTGGCTATGTGGCCTGGAGCAAGGACATGGCTTCTCTAACGCTGACTGCCTTTTACCTGAGCAAACCTCCTTTACTGGGCTGTTGAATGGATGGAATCACATAGGAAACAACTGCATAATCAGCACTCAGTAAAGACCAGATATCATCATTATTACTCTTGTTGTCAAGATAATGCTGATTATGAAGGAGGAGGGGGCAGAAGAGAGAAGGAGGAGGGAAAGGGAAGAAGTGTCCTCAATGGACGTGATCTGGGAACAAAGTGGGAGGGGCTGTTTCACGGCAGTCAGAGAATAAAAGGAGAATGAACTGAAAGATGAAGAAGGAGAAAGAGAAAAGCAGAGAGGAAGTTGAGAAAGGCAGAGCAGAGATGCCCTGTGCAAAGCCATGGCAGTTTTGTCCTCGGAAATCTAAGAAGAAAGCTTCCAGACCTGAGGGGACAGGCTTGGCCCCAGCAGACTGCGCTGAGTGCGGAAGTGACAGCCCCTTGTGCCTGGGGGTGGGTGTCTGCCAGCCTCCCTCCCCTCGGCAGCTCTGTTCTCTCTGGCTTTCTGGAGGAAATGTCTGTGTGGAAGGTCTGTTTAGCAAAAGCCAACAACAACAACTACAAACCCAGCACCAACGGGGAGCCATATGCAATGAGAAGAGACCTGTCACTGCCTTTCCAGGGACAACTGAAACCCTCTGGGCTCCTCTGGATGTGGGACACACATACCCATCTTATTTAAACAACAATAATACATAAAAATTCAGAAACCACCACATCCTCAAAGGAACCTATATAGCAGTTTCCAGTTTGCACAAAATGACCTGGCACCCAAATGAGCTAATCAGAAATCTCATTCTTGGGTGGTTTCCTGAGAGTCCTAAAATGCAGTCCAATGAAGAGAGAAAAAGATACTCCAGAAAACAACACCAAGATTAAAACTCCCTGCTACCATTTTGCTGAATGTCATTGCCACTGACTCATCTAGAACCCTCCTTTTACATCCTTTTCCGGGGATTTCTGAGATAGCATGACCAAGACCTTGTGGGGGAGGGTTAAGGTCACAGCTTGCCCTGCCCCCTCCCTCCTTGCAGCACGGAGGGAAAGGAGGATGCAAAAAAACAGTGGGTCTCATACACGGCAAACTTCCCAACATCAATCAGAATCCTATACTCTTTCTCTGTAGTAAGCATTAATTTTAAAAGAAAATACTGTGCTACAAGCTTGCAGCATGAAATGAATTATTTTACAGCCAGGCAGAGGGCAGGTTTCTGGATGCAGCCATGAACATAGTTCTTTCTTTGTTTCTTTCTTTCTTTCTTTTTTTTTACTATTATTATTACGTTTTAACAAACTTTATAGCCCA
The DNA here is from genome assembly GCF_000001405.40 of Homo sapiens. NCBI lineage: Eukaryota > Metazoa > Chordata > Mammalia > Primates > Hominidae > Homo > Homo sapiens. Next base: position 132,781,222 of record NC_000009.12, read on the forward strand.
TTTTATTTGTTCTGAAATAACTTTTTTTCCTTCTTTTCGACAGATCAATTACTTGGTTTGTTTCCCTTACTGTATGATGTTGGAATCAAGAGATTGATACTGCTCAGTGGAATATAATTTAGTATTATGTGCCATGGGTTTATGAGGTAGGAGTCAGACAAAACATTGCATTTGAACACTACCCATTTATTAGCTCTAAGAAGAGATTTATATTTGACAAGGAGACAATAGCTTTGTTTTCTGATAAGCCAAAGAGGTCTATTTTTGTGTCCAATACACTGAGTAGCTTACCCTTCCCCGATAACTCTATTTACTAGTGTGAATATATTTTAATAATAAAATTGATATATATGTAAATTTATTTTAATCTAATTTCATTGAACCTTCCTTAAAAAAAGAGCCTTTGTAGATTTTCATATCTGAATTATAGATTTCTGTATCGTATTCCCAGATTGATTTCTAGGCTATAATTCTGTCAAGATTTCCTCCTGGTGTCAAAAACAGCAACACCACAGCTAGAGTGTTTTATAATTGGCATCACAACCGAACCAGAATTACAGTCCTGATAGTCATCCTGGTGCTAGGTGGATTCATTTTAGAATATTTCTCTCTTTCTTAGCCTGTATCTGAACTTGAAGGTTTACGGCTAAGATTACTTTCTGAGTTAATCATAAAAATGTTTAACTGAAAGCTAAGGTGCTGGAGATGGAAGAGACAGAGATGAGAAAGGAGGAAGGAAAATATACCTTCAATGACTACGAAAGGATGATCAACAGCAGCATATGATTAAATCTACATTGTAAATCAAGATTTTTTGTTCCTGCCTGTCCTTCGCCCTAGGGTCAAATAAATTAAATTGGCATTCTTTACTAAGTCTTTAGAACGTGATTTTCACTCCGTGGTGAACGGAAGAGTGTTTCCTTGCAACCCTGCCCTAAATCAAATCGGTTCTTGAATATTCCTCCTGTGTGCTTTTCCTCCCTGTGTTGGTCCTGTAGTACTGGTGCTTGGGCTCGGTAAGTAAAACAGTCATTTTTCCCCCCAGGCTTCAGAAAACCAGCACAGGATTCTCTCCCCTGACCTGTTAATGACACCCTGCCCCTGCCTTCTTTAAAGTGATTGTTCTGCATTTTCCCCAGTGCGTTTCATCTTCACATAGCTGATGCGCTCACAAAGAAGCTATGCAGGCTGGGAGCAGTGGCTCACGCCTGTAATCCCAACACTTTGGGAGCCCAGGGCGGGTGGATCACCTGAGGTCAGGAGTTTGACACCAGCCTGACCAACATGGTGAAACCCCGTCTCTACTAAAAATACAAAATTAGCTGGGCATGGTGGCACGCGCCTGTAATCCTAGCTACTTGGGAGGCTGAGGCAGGAGAATCACTTGAATCCGGAAGGCGGAGGTTGTAGTGAGCCAAGATCGTGCCATTGCACTCCAGCCTGGGCAACAAGAGCGAAATTCCGTCTCAAAAAAAAAAACAAAAACAGAAGCTATGCAACTGATGCTGTGACATTAACCACGTCTGTGGCATTAACTATGTTAGGAAGAACAGAGGGTGGACACTTAGCCTTTGGGTACTTTGGTCCCTGGAATTTCACAGGAATAACGGCAGTAAAACAGGATGCTCAGGTTAACACTATCAGATCCCCGCTGCCCTGGGCCTAAACAGGTTTCAGTCTTCCAATGGGAAGCTCTGTAGCCCAAACTCTAGGGATATAATTCAGAGTTGAGGAGATTCTAACTTTGGGAAAGGCAGAATAATGCCTGCCCCCAACTCCAAGATGTTCACCTCTTAATTCCCAGATTCTGTGAATAGGTTATCTTACCAGGAACAAGGAACTTTGCAGATTGGATTAAGTTAAGGACTGTGTTGATATGGTAAGATTATCTCAGGTTATCTGGGTAGGCCCAATCTAATCACATGGCTCCTTAAAATCTGAGACCCTTTCCCGGCGCTGGTCTCAGGGAGACATGAGTACAGAGGAAGGATGGGAGTTGCACTACGGCCTCTGAAGATGGTGGGAGGGGTTGTGAGCCAAGGAATGTGGAAGCCTCTAGAAGGTGGAAGAGGCAAGGAAACGGATTTTGCCCTAGAGCCTCCAGGAAGGAATGCAGCCCTGGCAGTGCCATGATTTTTAGAACTACAGAATTTGAAGACAATAAATTTGTGTTGTTTTAAGCCACCAAGTCAGTGGTAATTTATGATGGCAATATAGGTAACTAATATGCCAACTCACACTATTCTTAGACAAACAACCAGCCTATTCAAAGGTAAAGGATTTACAGAATATATCCATCTTGGGACCCAGTTATAGGTGCTACCAAAAAATGGAAGGAAAGGGGCATAAAAGTTAAAAAAAAAAAAAAAGAGAGAGAGACAATGAATACCTGTTAGAAAATGAATTACTCCAGGAAACATAAGAACATTTTAGATAAAACCTTACCAGAATGTTCTAAATAATTTAAAGAGAATGGACTCCATGATATAGGAAGTGAAAGAAAAGATGATGAGATTTTTAAAAAGGAGATGCAAAGAAAGCTCACAAAATGAAGGAAAAATGCCTAAGGGGAAAAGTAAAAGCATTATGGAAACAAAAAAACAAATGAAAAACAGCAAGAAATAAACACAGCAGAAAACAGTCAGTTACCATGAAGGTCAGAGTGGAGAAAATAATACCAAAAAGAGTAAGGTAAAAGCCACCAGCAGAAAATCCGAATTATGAAAAGCTGATGATAAATATCTAACACACACATAATTGGTCTTACTGAAGAAGAAAACCAAGCAAATGAACCAGAAAAATATTAATATATCTACTGGAAGAAAATCATCCTGAAATACTGTAAGTGAAAGGGTTCCTAATGTCCAGAGAAAAGTAATAAGGAGAACCAAGACTGAGCTATGGCCTGGTGATTGTAAATGAACTTAAAGAGAAAGAGAAGGGGGTAGGGGACACAGACAGAGGCAGAGAGACAGAGAGATCTCCCGAACACCCAGGCAAAAGAAACACATCCATAGGCCGGGCGCAGTGGCTCATGCCTGTAATCCCAGCACTTTGGGAGGTTGAGGGGGTGGATCACCTGAGGTCAGGAGTTCAAGACCAGCCTGGCCAACATGGTGAAACCCTGTCTCTACTAAAAATACAAAAAGTAGCTGTGCATGGTGGCACACATCTGTAATCCCAGCTACTCAGGAGGCTGAGGCAGGAGAATCGCTTGAAGTCAGGAGGGGAAGGTTGCAGGGAGCTGAGATTGCGCCATTCCGGCCTGGATGACAGAGTGAGACTCCATCAAGAAAGAAAGAAAGAAAAGGAAGGAGGGAAGGAAGGAAGAGAGAAAGAAAGAAAGAGAAGGAAAGAGAAACACATCTGGCAAGATGTCAGAGGCTGTGCAGAAGGGATTTGGAACACTGAGGGCGGGGGAGGAGCTTGGGGAGAGAAAGAAAGAAACATGATCAAAGAATTCTTTGCCAGATGTTGTTTACAAGTAAAAATAACAGAAAGACATTCTCAAGTATGCAAAAATTCAGGAAGTTTAGTATCTATGTACCCTAGCTGAAAATGAATCAAAGACATAATCCATTCAAATGAAAGATAAAATCAAAATTAATAAATGAAGAGGTTGAAATATATAAACAACTGGTGTTGAAATCTTAATCCAGTTTTAAAGAGAATAAAAACTTTGTAAGTATAGTAATTATAGTTAAAAACAGAATATAATTGTTATATTTCTAGAAAGAAAAGCTTAATCAATACTGATTAAAAACAATAATCTGTGTATAATAGACTGGCACAGAAAAATTTCAGGATATGTCTGTCCCTGGCTCCCCCAAAATGGAGAATGGCTGGAGAAGGGGGATGAGGAGGCAGTACATGTGGGATACTCTTTTTTTTTTTTTTTTTTTAGATGGAGTCTTGCTCTGTCGCCCAGGCTGGAATGCAGTGGCGTGCTCTCGGCTCACTGCAACCTCTGCCTCCCGGGTTCAAGCAGTTCCCTGCCTCAGCCTCCTGAGTAGCTGGGACTACAGGCGCCCACCACCATGCCCGGCTAATTTTTGTATTTTTAGTAGAGACAGGGTTCCACCATATTGTCCAGGCAGGTCTTGAACTCTGGACCTCGTGATCCACCTGCCTCGGCCTCCCAAAGTGCTGGGATTACAGGCGTGAGCCACCACGCCCAACCGACATCTTTCATATGAAGGGGTCAAGATATTCTGCTGCATTTCAAAATCAACAAACTGAGAAATAAGGTTTAATCAAGTCGTGTTGAAGAGACTATTAGAACTATAAACAGATTATCTTCTAAATTAACGGAAGTGGGGCAGGTAAGAAGCTAACAATAACAAGAACAAAACTCAAAACACATCCCATAAAGAAAAGATGGAAAACAAAGGAAACCATAATGAAGCACAAAATAAAGTAAGAAAAGCAAAAATAAGTGGGATAGACTCAACTATTCAAGGAAAAAGTCATTTCAGATTGAAGAAAAAATATCAAACCCAATTTCATTCTGTCCACAGTGAAGACAACATCTACGGGCTCCACCCATGCATCCAGAGCTTCCATATAGCTTTTTAGTTGTGTCATCAACAAAAAATAAGAGAAGCAAAATAGTTGAAAGTAAAACTTAGGAACATGCAAATGTAACAAAGAAATCAGAGTTTGAATTCCAGATAAAAATGGCTTCTTGAAACCCGCACCAGATTTTGTTTCTTCCCCAAATCCCACAGAAAAACGATAGGAAAGGCACTTTGAAAACCTAACCTACAAGGACAGAAAGAACAGGGAAGAAGAAGGCAATCAGACAAAGGTTTCGATGCTGGAAAGCAGACTTGAACCAGAGGCAACGAGCTGAGGCGGCCTCAGAAAGCCAAATCCTAAATCAGTAGTAGGAAAGCTGAGAATCAACCTCATCTTCCCCAGAAAATCCTCAAAAGGCTCAGGCACAGGTGCCACCTGGGAACTGGTGGCTAAAATAAGGGGGCTTGGTTGAAATTTGTTTCAGAAGAGAGTGAGTCCTAGATCCCTTCCTCACTCCACCCAGCTGAGTGAATGTCTCTCCTCCACTTGGGAAGAAATTAAACATTTATTCTCTAGAGAGGATAAAATACAGGCTCTTTGGGCTGAAGAATGCCAAGCACAGTTGAGAGCCTGAGTCTATGGTAAACACAGGGGAATTAAGTAAAAGTATGCAAACTGCATGCAGTATGTGAGACCCCTCCCCTGCCCTTCCCAGTGTCCTGCTTCTCCCCTGGACCCCCAGAGAGGGGGTCCTGGCAGCAAGGCCTTTACCCTCCAGCAGGAGACTGCATGAGTCCTCTCTGGGGAATCGGAGCAGCCCAGAGGAAAAGATCTAAAGATGTTGACACTTGGTGGGAGGGTTCTGCACAAATGGCCCAATTTTATCACCCCAATGATACCACCCTACAGTGAAGACTAAACCTGTGGGCTCTTTCCATGCACTCAGAGCTTCCAAATCGCTTTTTAGTCTCCCATTCTTAGACGTGAGCAAACAACCAAGGGTAATTCAACATCTAAGGGTAAAAAAAGACTCTGCTGAGAAAGAATAAGACCAAGACAAACAAAAATTCAATAGAAACTGGTTATGCAGAAAGGAAAAGGAAAAAAGCCTATCTCCCCATCCTCCTAACAAAATCAAATATGTCATTAACATTTTCAAGAGATAAAAAAACCATGAAATAAGATCAAGAAACTATAAAAGGAATATTCAGAAAACAAAAAGCTCTTGAATATTACAGAAATAAACAAACCCAAGAGCAGAAATTAGAATTCAATAAAAATGTTGGAAGAGAAAGTTGAGGAAATCTCCCAGAAAGTAGAGCCAAACAAAACAAAAAGCAGCAACTGACCACACACACACATACACACAAAATACAAGGGAAAAAAGATATTTTTACAACATTTAGAAGCCCAGTCCTGAAGATCCAATACCCAAATAACAGCAGTTTCAGAGAGAATAGAAAAAAGGGGAAAAAATCATTAACAAAATAATTCAAGAAAATGTCCCAGGACTGAAGGACACAGGTTTCAAGATTAATTTCTGGTACGGTGGAGTAAATCTGACCTATACCAAGGATATAATGAAATTTCACTGTGAAATTTCAGAACCCTGGAGACAAAAGGAAGAGCCTACAAACTTCCACAGAAAGAAAAAAGTCACGTATGAAGGCTCAGGATCAGATTGGCATTGGACTTCTTAGCAACACTGGAAATTCAAAATTCCACGGGAAAATCATTTCCAGCCTATAGTTTCTCACCCAGCCAATCTATCCAACAAGTATGAAGATAGAATAGACACTTTCAGATAGAATAGTAGGGCCCCCAAAATTTACCTCCCATACACTGTTTCTCAGGAAGTTACTGATAGATGTGTTCAACCAAAACAAGGTAGTAAACCAAGAAAAAGGAAGCCATGTGATATAGAAATAAAATATCGAATATGGGAGAGGGGTAAAGAGAATCTTCAGTGTAGTAGTGAAAGGCAATCCCAAAATGATTGTTGTGTACAGGCATAAAGGGTGACTTCTTCAATTTAGAACACATGTGTTTCCGGTGTAACAGTCCACTGCTTTTAAATCATCTTTTTAACTTGGGAAGCAACTAGAGGTTATGCTTTGTCAAATCAAGGGGGTATATAAAAGGAAGATGTGTAACTCAGGAAGTAGAGACTCCAACTCAAAAGAAAGCCAAGGGGAATTCCTCTGATTATAGTAAAGAAAAGCCCCTGATGATCAACTATGCAGTAAGCCTAGAAAAAAACCAGTCCAAACAGAAGAGGAATGGGAGTGACCAAAAAAAAAACAACAACCTGAAACTGACAGATTACACAATATGATGGACTTTGTGGGAAATTGTTCTGAAAGGCTATTATGAGATGTGGAAATAATTAACTAATAGGTACAAAGAAAACTAGACAAGTGAAAAAGCAAGATGATTATTAACTTCAGGAAAATCAAAAAGAAAGGAAAGGAAAAACAAAAAAAAGCTAACGCCTTCCAGCTGAGTTAGATTCCTTAAAGCAGGTTTCCTGGAAAAACCACAAAATTGTATGCTTGTATCTCATTAGCCAGAACTTAGTGTTGTGGCTCCATATAGCTGTAAAGAAGACTGGAAAATGGGATCTTTTATTTTCAGACACCAAAGTACTCCTCTGAAAATTGATCTTTTGTTATTGAGGAGGAAAGTTAGAATAAATGTTGGGGTAGATAATTAGCTGTCTGTCACTGATGGTCACTTTCATCAAGAATACATTTCACAATGAACACATAGCTGACAGAAACCTTTATGCACTAAATAACATAGCACCAAAACACATAAAGCCAAAACTGTAGGAAACACAATAAAAATTAGTGGCACAAGATATTCAAATTATGTTAATATATTTAAAGACAGGGGAAAGGGGTGATTTTCTAAGAAGAGACCAATTGCACAAGAAAAGAGAGAAATTCGAATTGACCAAACACCCTGAACAAAATCAATCAAATTGTTAACAAGCTACCTCTGCCCCAAAGTGCCAGATCCAAAAAAACAGTTACTGCCTGAGTTTTAAAAACTCTCTCAGATATGGAGAAAGAAAGAAAATCTACGAAATTTTCACATCACTGATACTAAAGCCTAACAAAGCACAAGAATGTGGAAAAATTCTAATCCATATTATAGATGCATATTAATGCAAAAAAAAATGTAGCCAATACAATCCAACAGCATGTTAATTTCCTTGTGCTGCCAATATCATATTATGACAAACTTAGCTGCTTAAAGATACTCAAATTTGGACTGGGTGCGGTGGCTCACACCTGTAATCCCAGCACTTTGGGAGGCCGAGGTGGGTGGATCACAAAGTCAGGAGATCGAGACCATCCTGGCTAACACGGTGAAACCCCGTCTCTACTAAAAATACAAAAAATTAGCCAGGCGTGGTGGCAGGCACCTGTAGTCCCAGCTACTTGGGAGGCTGAGGCAGGAGAATGGCGTGAACCCGGGAGGCAGAGCTTACAGTGAGCCAAGATCGCGCCATGCACTCCAGCCTGGGAGACAGAGCGAGACTCTGTCTCAAAAAAAAAGATAATCAAATTTGGCTAGGTGCAGTAGCTCATGCCTGTAATCCAAGCACTTTGGGAGGCTGAGATGGGTGGATCACCTGAGGTCAGGAGTTCGAGACCAGCCTGGCCGACATGGTAAAACCCGTCTCTAATAAAAATACAAAAATTAGCCATACATGGTGGCACACACTTGTAATCCCAGCTACTCAGGAGGAGGAGGCAGGAGAATCACTTGAACTTGGGAGGCAGAGGTTGCAGTGAACAGAGATCATGCCACTGCACTCCAGCCTGGGCGACAGAGTGATACTCATCTCACAAAAAAAAAAAAAAAAAAAAAAAAAGAAAGAAAGAAAAGAAAAAAAGATACTCAAATTTATTATCTCCCAGTTTCTGTAGGTCAGAAATCTGGTATGGGTCTAACTGGGCTTAGGTCAAGGTATCAGCCAGAGCTGTAGTTCTCACCTGGGGCTCACTGTTGGTTGAATTCATTTCTTCTCACATTTTCCACGGCCCCCATCTTTGAGCCACCAATGCTGTGTCATGCTTAGAAATCTCTCTGACTTCCTCTTCTGCCCTCAGTCAGGAGGAAACTCTGCTTTTAAGGGTTTGTGTGATTATTCTGGGCCCACCCAGATAGTCCAGGATGACCTTTCTATTTTAAGGTGAACTGATTAGTAATCTTAAGTATATCTGCAAAGTCCCTTTTGTCATGTAATGTAATATTCAGACGCATGACAGCAGGGGGCAAAGGTCCTAAGGGTCAAAATTCTATCTGCCACAAGCAGTAGAATAATATTCCATGAACGAACAATATGCCATGACCAAACCAGTTACTATAGGAACAAAAGACTGGCTTACTAATATTAACATAATTTATAATACCAATGTGTCAAAAAGGAAAAACAATTTTAAAGGATGCTGAAAAGCTCTTGATAAACATTAACTAGAGATTTTAAATCACGGAGCTATACTTCTTTTTTTTTTTTTGAGACGGAGTCTCACTCTGTCGCTCAGGCTGGAGCGCAGTGGCGTGATCTCAGCTCACTGCAAACTCCGCCTCCTGGGTTCACACCATTCTCCTGCCTCAGACTCCCAAGTAGCTGGGACTACAGGCGGCCGCCACCACGTCCAGCTAATTTTTTGTATTTTTTAGTAGAGACGGGTTTCACCATGTTAGCCAGGATGGTCTCGATCTCCTGACCTCATGATCCACCCACCTCGGCCTCCCAAAGTGCTGGGATTACAGGCGTGAGCCACTGTGCCCGGCCAACTTCTTTAACTTCATACAAATTGTATGCACTTCAAACCAAAAGCCAGTAGCACCTTAATGTCAGCAGTACCAGGACAGCCCTTATGGTCAGGAAAAACCACCGTGTCGATCATGACACCCTGTTCTGAAAGTACCGCCCAACAAGAGTAAAATGAAAAGTATAAATATTGAAAAGGAAGAGGCAAAAGGATGAGTATTTGTAGATGACATGGTCATCTACCTGTAAAACCCAAGAGAATCAACTGAAAAACTATCCAAAACAGTAAGAGGGTTTGAGAAGGTGGCTGGGGTATAAAATAAGTAAGCCAAAATCAATGTCTTTTGTATACTCTTGAAAAACCCCCTTAGAAAATATGGAATGAAAATATCTTATTATAATATCAGTAAGAAGAACAAGAGATAATATACCTAGAAATAAAATAAAAAATGCGAGACCCAAGGAAGTGTTGATATTTTCACTAGAAGCAAAGACAGAATATATCCATGTCAAACTGTAACGGATTGTATTAGTCCGTTTCACACTGCTATAAACAACTACTTGAGACTGGGTAATTTATAAAGGAAAGAGGTTTAATTGATTCACAGTTCCACATGGCTGGGGAGGCCTCAGGAAACTTACAGTCATGGCAAAAGGTAAAGGGGAAGCAAGGCACATCTTACATGGCAGCAGGAGAGAGACAGAGAGAGAGCAAAGGGGGAGGTGCCACACTTTAAAACCATCAGATCTCGTGAGAACTCATTCACTATCATGAGAACAGCATGGAGGAAACCGCCCCCATGATCCGATCACCTCTCACCAGGTCCCTCCCTAACATGTGGGGATTATAGTTCAAGATGAGATTTGGGTGGGAACACAGAGCCAAACCATATCACAGATCAATTTGAAAATCTAAGGCAATTCCAGCTAAAATTTCAATGGCAGTTTCTTTTTGTACATGATAAAATCATTATAGTGCTCGTTTGGAATAATAAATATATAAAATAGACAATAAAGAAGATCAATGAGAGGGCCTTGTCCTGCATTGACTATTGAAATACAGATATGACAAAAGTAAAGTAGTTAAACAGAGAGGTACTACTGCAGAAATAGACACTCAGAAAAGAGAAAGTTCAGAAACAGGCCCAGTATATTGAGAGACTAAACACACAGTTTGATGATGGTCAGACCATATATAAAAAGAGAACTGGAACCCACAACCTGCAGCAACCTGCCCGGGGTGTCAGACCACAATCTCTGCAGCAATCAGCCCCAAAGGACCAGGACTTGATCAGGAATTGACAGCTTCCCTCATTTTTGCCACCATTTGCAAGGTATGACCAACCAGAGAAAGCCAAATATGTTCCCTTAACCAGTCACACAGGAGGCCCCGCCTCTAGTTAACCCACCCAGCTTCCCCAAGCCAACAGCCTCCAACTGGGGCATGGTAGAACCGAAGCCTTTCCCACCTTCCACTAGAATGCTGTCACCTCCGCTGCCTGCCTGTGAGCCTCTGCCAAAACGCCAAGCAATGGTGGCTGACCCCTTGCTATTGCAAGCTCAGACTAAATAGCCTTTGCTTGCTTTCACTTTGGTGGGCTTCACTGCTCTCCACAATATATACAATTGTGATGAGCTCTCAAGTTCAAACTAGTAGAGGGAAGACAGAACATCCAGTGATATTCAACACTCTGAACAAATGGTTAACCATTTGGGGAAAAAATAAAAGGGGGACTCATACTGCCTACTCACATCCAAATAAATATCAGCTGCACCAAAGATTTAAATATAAAAATGAAACTGTAAAAATAGTAGAAGAAAACATCCATTGATTTGTATAACAATTCCCCAAGGAAGGCAAGACTGGTATTTATTACTGTTTTACAGATGAGGGTCCATCAAGGAGGGTGAAAGCCAGGATTTGAACCCAAGCCTGACTCCTAGTCCACCGGGCAGATGGGATGGGTGGGAATGGGGATGACCAGGAGACATTCCACTTCAGGAACACGTGAAGGCTTGTGTAACCTGGACCCCTTCAGCTGAGCCCTGGAGAGGGGGTGCCCAGGGGCTTGGCCAGGGCTGCTGGCTTGGCTGGGGCAGCTCACCTGTTGGGATTGTAGCCCAGGCGGTTCAGCAGGTGTGCCTGGTCGAGGTCCCGCGGGACGCCGTGTAGCACCCAGCCTTTCTGGATGCAGTCCTGCTGGTCCAGGCGCTGGCTCAGCACCTTCATGAGGAGGCTGTCAGGAACTGCAGAGAAGGGGGGCAAGTGAGTACCCTGCTGGCCGGCAGCCCATGGGTCCTGGGCTTCCTAACTTTACTTGGCCATAGATTGAGCTGCTGAAGAAGTGGGTCTAGGTGGAGCCACTTGGAACCACTTGGACAAGGTTGTCAGTGCCTATTTCCCAGGTCCCTCCTCGGTCCCAGCAACGGGGCTGCGTGAGATGGGAAATGCACTGGCTGACCTTGACCTCGGTCTTTCCCTTTCCTGGACACGACACCATCCCCACCTGCAACCCAGTGAGATGTGAGCAGATTGTCCCCCTGTCTTAGTCCATTTGGGCTGCTATAGCAAAATCCCGTAAACTGGGTGTCTGGGGAGTCTAAGATCAAGTCAGATTCAGTGCCTGGAAAGGGCCTATTTTCTGGTTCACAGATGGTGCCTTCTTGCTTCATCCTCACCTGGTGGAAGGGGTGAGAAGTCTCTCTGGGGTCTCCCTTATACGGGCACTAATCCCATCCACAAGGGCCCCTGCCTTGTGACCTCATCACCTCCCAAAGGTCCCATCTAACACCATTGTCTTGGGGATTAGATTTTAACATATGAATTTTGGGATGACACATTCAGACCATAGCAACCACTATGGGCCCAGTTTTTGCAGCAAACACTTTTCCTGGAAGCGCACCAGCTCCAGCTGCAGTTTCAGTTTTCCTCAAGTGGGACTGTGCCAGCGCCCCCAAAGCTCTCTGCCAGTCTGTGATGCGCTAGCAACGCCCACTCCCCTTTCCCAAAATTCTCCAATTCTCCCATCCTTGATGCTTAGAACGAAGTCTCTCCCAAGAATCACAGAACTAGTTATAACCAAAGACTGAAATAAAGTCCTAAGGAGAATGAGATATTGAGAAGCCTCTTGTTTACATTGCGGCAATTGACATTTTCCTGAAATTCATACGTCTCTTCCCAGACTCATTAAATGTCCTATGTTGCTAATGTACTGCGTTCTAGCAATTTGCACTGTGTTTCCTGCACTTTGCACTCATTTTTCCAGAAATACTTGGTAAATATTACCATTGTTTGCTATGACTGTGGCCCCATTGGAACTGGTTCCTAGGGGTGTGGTGGCAGTGAGTTTGGCAGTTTCTCTGGAAGCTGCCTGGTTACCCTCCTACCGACTGCCCGGGGGTCTGGCAAGCGGGCCTGAAGCACACATTTGAAACCTTCCACAGGGCCCCCCAGGCTGACAGCCAGGTGAACGTGGAAGCAAGAGATGCAGAAAAATCACTGCCAGCCGTTTTCCCTGTGGCCGTGACTTGCTGGGTTGCTGCCCTTGTCACCAAAAAACCATAACCCTAATTCTAAGCAGTCTGCATTTCCCTGAATGTGTTCTCTCTCATGCCCTTCAGCCTTTCTTCCCCAGTCCCTAGGAAAGAGCAGAAAAGGGTTTTTGCTTTAACGAGAACATCTGGCTATCTAGCATGAATGAGAAGTCACTTCAGCGAATCCCATCCCTTCCCCTGCTTCAAACCTGCAGGGGCTCCCCAGTGCTCCGAGGATAAAGAGCAGTCTCCTTTCCAAGGCAAGGTCTGTGCCCTGCCTTCCTCCCAGGTGAATCTTGCCAGCTTGCACCTCCCTTCGAACGTGCCACCTCCTCCATCCGGAACACCCTTCTCCCACATCTTGCCTGGGCCAGCCTTCAAACTCAGCCTCAGGGCCACGGTGTGATGTTCCCTCCCCAGGGAAGTCTCTGAGGACAGCCCCCAGCCTGCACTTCTCATCCTCCCTCACTTGCCACCCTTGTTATCACAAAGATACTTCTCTCTGGGTGATTCTTTCTTTAATGTCTGCGTCTCTTTCATGGATGGGTCCCATAATAACAAAGAACCATGTCTCTCCCATTTTTCCCTGCCTAGAAAGATGTCTGGCACATAGTAGGTGTTGAATAAATAGAAGGCTTCTCTTTTTCAAATATTTCAAAAGTAATCAACTCTGTTAAAATCAACTTGACCAGACTTTGGGGAAGCCAGGTTGTAGACAGAACATGGGCTTGGGGCATTCACAAATCCAGGTCTCATCTCAGCTCCTCCCTTTCTTGCTGCCTCATCTCCAGGCAGTCTCTCACTCTCTGAGCGTCAGCTTCCTATCTGCTGAAAGGATAAGAGGACCTGTTGTGACCGGCTCACACCGCATTTACGATTCTGGCACACAGCCGACACTCAAAGGTGGTGGCTATTACTTTTCAATTCAGGAGATGTGTGTGGGGAAGTGATGCTTCACGAATATTTTCACGGTTGCCTGTGGTCAGGGCGTGCCAGCAAAGACTGTTGGCACCTGGGATAAAGGATGACAGATTAAGAACAGCCTTGGAAGTTAAAGACAGAGACCTCCAGAGAGACTTAGGGACCTCTGCCTCGAGACATTTGTTTACATTCAAAGGGCTGTAAACCTAGTGACCTCCTCCTCCTCTCCCCAGAAGGAGTCGGAGTCAGAGTCGGTTCCTTCCAGAGTAAAGCTCGGGAGGGAGCTGGCATGTTGTCTTGCATAAGCTCCAAGAGTCACAGTGTTGGGGCTCCCCTCCTGCTATAGACCCCCTGTACACTCGGGGTGCACTTGGCTCTTTCCACATTGCCTGTGAGGAACTGGGGCGTGGGGAGCCAGCTCTGAGATTACTGTGTGAAAGAATTTGGTCTGTCCTCTGATCCAGAGACCTTGTGTTTTCTTGCCAGGATGAATAAATACCGATTTAAAACAATGTAGGGTAAGAATCTGCCATAGAGCCTTCCAGTCCAGGTCTACCCTTAATATTTACAGATATTTTCACGGAAAGAAGAAACCAATACAGAAATAATCCTATCCCCACGATTCACCCAGTGGGTAGTTGCTGACCATCTAGGCTGTGCCAGGCACTGTGCTGGACATGGGATACGGTCTACGCAGCAAGCCTGACTGCCAAGGCCCCCGGGCTCCTGAAGTTCACGCTGTCTCGGGGAGACAAACATTACCCAGGTAACAAATAACCATTTCTAAGAGTCATGGGTACTGTGAAGAAAATCAACCAAATGATGGGAGGCTGATGGTTTGACCGGGCCTAGGACGGCTACTAAGGAGGCCGCATTTGGCTGAGATCAGAATGGTGGATCCCGCTAATAATCCAGGCCCACTAAGGCCTCCATTGTTTAGCGGTGAGAATTATTTGGACCAAATATTTTCTGAGTGTCATCTCTAATAATCAAGTATGGCTTGGAAACCCAGCTGCACTGTAGGTGGTCTGACCTTTGGAGCCACAGCTTTCTGAGGGCCTGGAAGGTCATCCCATTGACCTCTTGTTTCAAAGTTAGGAAACTGAAGCCCAAAGAGGTTGTGGTTTAAGTGACCCGCCCAAGGTCATCTAGCCAGCTGGTGATCAGGCTGGGATAGGACCCTGATCCCCGGCCCATAACACCCCCAACTGTTCTGCTGCCTCATTACCCAATGGCCTGGAGCCCCTGAGTCCCTCACATTGGCCACTTACGAACCAATACAAAGTTTCTCAACTGAGGAGAAATCTGACTCGAGGGAAAAATGGAAGGCCAGATAGAAATACAATGAGGTTTTTGTTTTTGTTTTTTCTGTTAGTTGACAAAGATTTCTAGAGAGAATTTCCCAACTTGCATCAAAATTTAAAATGTACATGTCTTTTGACCCAGCAATCCTATTTCTAAGAACTTGAACCTAAGAGGGGAAAAAGATGTGTATACAAAGATGTCCATTTCAGTGTTGTTTACAATAGTGACAACTGGAAATGATCTAGAATGTCCATCAATAGAGGACAGATTAAATCAAAGAAGGTACATCTCTGCAATAGAATATTAGACAACCTTTTAAAAACAATCTCTATATTAACTTGCAAAGTTAATATAGACAGGTCGAGGCAGAAGTCTATGACAGAATGAGAAAAAAGCAGGTAAATAAACGGCTTGTATACATGGTCTAATTTAAACATATATTCATATGTGACTATATTAATATATACACATACATACATGCTACACACACACACACACACACACACACACACACACACACACACACACAGAGGGAGGGGGAAGGGTGGCCGCCACTTCACGCTCCATGAATCGGACTCAAGCCCTTGCTCATGGAGCCCAGGGTGGTGGAGGTGAGAGGGCACCCGGATGTAATGCAACACAAACCTGGCAGGAAAGCAGAGGTCACAGAAGTAGGAAGTGCTGGGGATGTCGGAGGCAGGGAGGGCCAAATTTCCAAAAGATTGAGGAAGAAAGGGAATGCTCACGCTGGTTCCCACTTTGAGCCAAAACCCAAACAAACCCCTCTCTGCAGGAATCAGGAAACACAGGCTCTGCAGCCAGCACTTCCTGGAAGGGCTCATCACAAGCGCACATCAGTAACAACTGATGTAGTATCCACTTAATACCTGCATTCCCACCCCAATGCCCACCCCATGAAAGCAGGGATCCCCCCAGTAGGGTCAGGCTCATTGCTATACCCCAGCACCTGGCACAGTACTGGGCCCACGGAAAGCATCTAATAAACACGAAGGAAGGAAGGAAGGGAGGGAGGGAAGGAAAAAAGGGAACCATTTCCAAAACCCAGGAAGTTCTTTAGTTCCTCAAGCGTTCATGGGCCAGAGAACTTAAGGACTTTTCTCACCAAGCACTGAATCAGGTCCTGCGGCAACAGAAAATAACCAAGGGAGACGCTTCCTCTCAGTCGTTCCATTCATCTCTACGTGATCACCCACTCGTGAATTAAATATGCAGCCAAAAGAATGAGCACTAGCACCTGGGGTTTGTTGGGAGGGGTCTCTGGGGTAGGGGAGGGTGGTTCTAGATGCAACAAGGGTGGCCACAAGCACGTGAGGTTCATTATACTAGCGATGGCTCCCACAGGTTCATTATTCTATTCTCTCTGCTTTTTAGATGTGTTTAACGTTTTCCACTAAAAATGTGATTTTTTTTTAAAGGAAACCATTTAATGCTTAAAACAGATTGAAATGGCCCCTGTGAGAGACCGTTCCTAAAGTGACAAAGGACACAATCTCCCCCGAAGGCCATGGGCGGCTCTCCCTTTTGGGGGACCTGCAGTTTGGGTGGCCTCCAGCCGTCCTGTAACTCCACCAGTTCCGGAAGCTCTGCCCAGAAGCCTGGCATCACGGGCACTTGCCCACATCTGCCTGTGTTAGCAGTCCTGCGAAAGCTCCTCGTTCGAGTCCTTTAACCTTTTATAAGGAACAGCAACACATTTTGGCTCACAGTTCCTCACTGGGGCTGCGTGGCTAAGGAACTGCACTGGTCCTCTCCCAGCGCACAGGGATCCTGGATCCTGGTAGGGCTCTCCCATCTGGGTCAAGACAAGCAACAGACCCCACTGGGTGCTGCTCTGAGGCTACCGACCTTTCCCAGTCAGCATCTCTCCTCAGTGGCAGCACGCAGGGTTGAGGAGTGAGGGGTGAACCCTGAAGACCCTGCCTTTAGTGTAAATTCCCCAAACCCACCCATGTCTCCTGTCCCAGCCTCTCTGAGGCTCGGTGTCTGTTTTGCTGTGGCTTGTTTGGATTTTCCTGCCAGCTATGGACTCACGTTTCCAGCCCCACATGGTCTGACTGGCCAGCTCAGCACAAAGCTGAGAACAAGCTGCTCCTTGGTTCACTGTGCTCTGCCAGAAGTTTCGAGTCCTCTTGATAATGCTGTCCATTTACCCTTTCTCCTCCTCTCAGACAGAGATTTTTCAGTGCGGTCTAAAGTCTTTCACCATTAAGTCAGATGCCTCAGGCTTGATTTCTGGGCTTGACAGTTAACATCTCACCCTTCATACAAAGCTACCGCCAAGGGTTACCTCTCTGGAGTGTTCTGTCAGCCCTAAATTTAGCCAACTGCAAGATATGAGTATCTCATTATTTCATAAGGCCACACCACATGGTTTCGTTTGTTTTTTTTTTTTTTTTTCTCAAGATCTTCCATAAAAGATGGCAGTCCTCAAGTTGACCTCCAGGTTATTAAAATCTCAATCCATTTATTCCCCGCGGGGCTGGGTGTGCTTGGCCCTTGGCATGGGGGTAGATGGGGATCCATGGTGGCAAGTGGGATGCTCCCAGGCCTCCACTCCCCACCGCGGGCCCGTGTCCCACCCTCCTGTCTCGAAGGGGAAGGAGTCCTGTCTAAAGGCCCAGGATCCCATTGGGCTCCCTCCCGCACAGCAGTTCCACGGCTCCGGACAGGAGTCCCGACACCCATGAGATGCAACTGGGCAGCACTGACTCCTCCCGGGCTGCAGGTCTGGCTTCAGTCACCCTCGGTCACATCCAGCTCCAGAGCTGATGGGTGTGAGTAGGGAAGGGCTCGGAGAGAGCACCCAGGCCAGCTTGCGGTTTTCCAGCAGGCACCAGAGGCCCCTCCTGCTGCGCCACGCCGCCGCCTGCTGTCCGCACCGCAGAGCCAGCCCTGCAGGGACCTTGGCTTTCTGCCCATCAGTTATTGTTGAGGGAGAAGATATGAGGGACACTAAGGTTTCTGGGGCTGGCATATAAAGATAGGACAAAAAGTGGAGAGAAGGAAATAGCTCCTTCAGCCAGTGGCTTAAAGATAAAAAACATGCTAAGGTTGATTGCTAGACTCACGACAAGCCATGTGAGCCTCCTTGGCACCCTAGGGCAAACAGGAAAGAGCTGAGTGCCTCCCCACACACCCTTGCACATGCCCTGCACACGTCACCCCTCCATGCACACTCATAAACGCCCCCACACACTACATACATGTCTACACACACGACACCTGACACACTACAACACACACAGGCACGCACACACACAGACATGTGCTCATGCACTCAGCTACAAACACACACACACACACACCACACACCCCCACACCCCTACACCCCACCACGTGCACAACACATACTGTATACCCACCTATCCACACATAGTACACGAAGCACACACCCTCATTACACAAACACATCTAGCAAACACACCTACATACCTACACCGCACCCACACTGCCTCTCCTCATCCCTCACATTCGCTTCAAACTGCCCGGTGTAACTTCTTTCCTTCTTCAAGCCCTCCTTGAAATTGATGTCAAGATGAGCATCAGTGTTCATGGGGGAGGCTGGCATTTGCTTCTCTTTCTCCTGTGGTCCCTGGGTCCCTGGGTCCCGCCCCTCCTGAAGGATCCCAATAGGACCCAGGAGGTCCAGGGAATCTTACAAAAGGAACAGGACTGTGGAGGAGGAAAAGGGGTTGCTTTTGGTTTTGTTTTTTAATTTCCATTTCACACAACCTGGTGCCTGAAAGAAGCGGGGCTCGCATCCCGCCAGGGGCTCTACTCTAGGCTGCTGGGAGGTTTGCCCAGGCCCTGACTTAATTCAAGGAAAGCCGAACGCCTCCCATCTCTGGAGGCCATCACTCTCGGGATGGCACTGATTCCCGGCAGCTGGGCCTGCAAGCCCGTCTCGCTGCCGTCACCAGAAATCCTGCGTGCCCTGAAGGCCCTGCAGCGCCCCAGTGCCAGGACCTGGCGCCAGGTGTTTCTGTTGGTGATGCCGTTTGTTTGTTATTTACTACCACCTGCTGGTGAAACATGGGTTCTGCATCCCCCAAGTGAACGCCGCCAGCAACGCACAGAACATTTCCAAACCCTGGAGAAGAGAATGAGGAGAAACTGGGATTGTTCCATCGGCCGCACCCTGCAATTCCTAAGGGAGGGTAAGGCCACTGGATCTAGCTTGCTCTTTGGTAAACTCAAGTCAATTGCCCCAGACAAACCCCCATCTGGCCGGGCCTTGGTTCCCCAAGTAGGAGATGAAACAGATGCCTTCCATGGTTTTCTTAGACGCCAACCTTTCTACTCTAATATCTCTACTGCTTAACAACGTTTAAAATTGCCTGGCAGACAATGGCGCCAGGAAATAACAATGTGTTAATACTGGATTTTCTTTCAAGACCAGAGAAGTCAGTACATCAGCCCTGGGTGCCCTGCAGACTAGGAGGCCATGTTGTGCCCCTCCTCCCTTGGAGAGGGCCACCCACTTTCTGTCACTCTCTTCTTTACCATGTCTACTCAGGCAAAAGGCAAAGACAAGACTGAGGTGCCCACACGGCATTGACACAGCTACCTGAGGGGCAGAGATGCCCAACAGTGAATATTTCAGTTTGTCCTTTTTTTTTTTTTTTTTTTTGAGACGGAGTAGTCTCGCTCTGTCGCCCAGGCTGGAGTGCAGTGGCGCGATTTCGGATCACTACAACCTCTACCTCCTGAGTTCAAGAGATTCTCCTGCCTCAGCCTCGTGAGTGACTGGGATTACAGAAGTGCGCCACCAGGCCCGGCTAATTTTTTTTGTATTTTTAGTAGAAATGGGGTTTCACCATGTTGGCTACGCTGGTCTTGAGTTCCTGACTTCAGGTGATCTGCCTGCCTCGGCCTCCCAAAGTGCTGGGATTATAGGCATGAGCCACCACGCCTGGCCAGTTTGTCCCTTTCAAATGAAGTTTTAGGTGACAAAAGAGACCATTCAAAAATAGACATTCTTCTATAAACAACTGGTACATCACTTAGCAAATTAGTAAAACTTCTCTATTGGAAATGCTCGGCTAGCCACACTGTGCAGAATGATTTGACAATTTTTATTTTAAAGTACATTTTTACATCTTTCAATGGAATATGAAAGTATCTGGGAAAATGAGCAGAGGTCGGCCAGTCTGCATGTGAACTGGATTATTTTAAAGAGTGATGTATTCACTAAGTGTACACTGCAGATCAAAGCATTTAAGGAACACGATTTTCCTTCCATTTTAATGAATTCAGGGCTTAGAACCAGTTTTTTCTCCCACATCTCAAGGGCAGCAAGGATGCCATAGCCCACGAAATCTGGGAGAAGAAAGTCAGCAGCAAACAGAACCATGAGCCCAGTTTTCTGGGAGGGAAAAGATATGATAGTATATTGACTCACCAAGCATGTATGCTACAGTGCATATGATGAGCCTGGCCCTGTTCTAAGCATGTCTTTGTTCTAATACAAATATTAATTCATGTAGTTTTCTCCCTATGAAAGAAGTAGTCACAGTATCCCATTTTACAGATTAGAAAACTAAGGCACAGGAAGAGGAAGTGACTTGCCCATGGCCATACAGCTCACAGGTAGTGGAGCTTGGATTTGCATCCAGCCAATCCAGCTCTGGGGCTGCTTGCTGCCACCTGACTTTTAGGAGGACGAGCACTGTGACGATGAGGACTAGAGGCCCAAACTCTGCCCTGCGCTCTGCATTCCACTTGCAGCCTGCCTTTGGGCGACTCATTTTACCTCCTAGCCAAGGCTTCCTCCTCTTCATGGGGACAAAATTGGGCTCCAAAGCCACGGAGGTATTGGTAGGCCCCTGTGTGGCACCCGATGTCGCCTGGGGATCCAGCTCCTGAGGGCTGCTTAGGCTGTGGCTGCCTCCCAGGCACGTGGTGCAGCCCATCCTGAACAAAACTAAAATGTTCACATCAAGCCTTCCCCGGTGTGGTGTGGGAGATTAAAGATGGCCACGCCTTCTTTGCTACTCCTCCCAGGGCAGGGGGCGGGAGGGGGGCGGTGTCTCAATCCCCTCCCTGGAACCTGGGCTGGCCCCAGTGACAAGCTCTGTGAACAGATTCAGACAGAAGTGTATCCTGGGGTGTCTGTGGTGAAGTCATGGGATGCCTGGCCGCTGGCCCCACCTTCCACCCCAACCACTGCCGCCCTTGAACTCTCTGGAGTGCTTGTGCCAGGAGCAGCCAGACACCAAGTAAGAAGGCAGGTGAAGCCAGCCCCACGGAGAGGCTGTGAGGAGGGAAGATGCCTGGCCAGCCCCAGCCATTCCAAGCGTGCCCTCCCAGGCACCGGGCATGGCGATGAAGAATCCGTCTTGGACACACTATCCCTGCAGATGCAACGTGGAGAAAAACCAAGGAATCAAGCTGACGCCAGAACTGAGATCCAGATGTAAATCCCCGGGTGAGCCAGCCCAGCTCTCTTAGGCAGTTCAAGGCATCCCACCTAAGCCCAAGTCAGCACAGAGCAGAGTCGAGACCTCCTTGCCATGTCCTGCCCCAAACCCTGACCCACTAAATCAGGAGCATAATAAACTCAGCGTCATTTTATGCCATTAAATTGGGGGGTAGCTTGTTAGGCTACAAGAGATACTTGGGGGACATACCCAAGACTGGGTAATTTATAAAGGAAAGAGGTTTAATGGACTCACAGTTCTGCAAGGCTGGGGAGGCCTTGGGAAACTTACAATCATGGCAGAAGGGGAAGCAAACACGTCCTTCTTCACATAGCGGCAGCCAGGAGAGGTGCAGAGCGAAGGGGCAGAGCGGGGGAAAGCCCTTTATAAAACCATCAGATCTTGTGAGAACTCACTATCACGAGAACAGCATGGAGGTAACCACCCCCAAGATTCAATTACCTCCCACCGGGTCCCTCCCATGACACGTGAGGATTATGGGAACTACAGTTCAAGATGAGATTTGGGTGGGGACACAGCCAAACCATATCACGGAGCATCAGAGTAATGCAAACTGGAGCTTTGTCAGTTCCCAGTTACCGCAGGGACTAGGTCCCCAAAGCTGGTAGCAGTCATGGGAAATAAATAAATATAAAAAATCCCCCATATATAAAATATATTCACACCCGACAGGACTTGCTGTGAGTACCATTACTACCACTAAGATGATGACGATGGCAACTCCATTCTTGATAATAATCATGGTGAGTAATCAGTGATTACAACCAGTGACCATAGTAAGTAATTAGTGAATTACAGACACAATTCCCTTTATATAGAGCAAGCCAACAAATGGGATCCTAGGAAAGCTCGCCTTACAGATGGGAAAACTGAAGGGAGCTCTGAGGGGGCGCATGGCTTGCCCAGGAGCACAGCTGGGAGGAAGCAGAGTCTGAATGGGAACCAAGTCTGTGTGATTCTGAGCCACGGCCCCTCCCATCTGGGAGTGACAGTCACTTGCCTCCCTTCTAGAAATCCTTCAGGCTGCATGCTGCCCCCTGTGACCTGTCTCCTCTTTGTTCCTTCAAGACTAATTCTCTGGGCCGGGCATGGTGGTTCACGCCTGTAATCCCAGCACTTTGGGAGGCCGAGGCTGGCGGATCACGAGGTCAAGAGATGGAGACCTGGCCAATATGGTGAAACCCCATCTCTACTAAAAATACAAAAATTAGCCGGGCGTGGTGGTGGGCGCCTGTAGTCCCAGTTACTCAGGAGGTTGAGGCAGGAGAATCGCTTGAACCCAGGAGGCGAAAGTTGTAGTGAGCCGAGATCGCGCCACTGCGATCCAGCCTGGGGACAGAGTGAGACTCCATCTCAAAAAAAAAAAAAAAAAAAAAAAGACTAATTCTCTGAAGCCACTGGGGCTGCCCATGGAGAGGGACCTCACCCGAATAGAAATGCAGGCAGCAGAGGGCAGCATCTGGGCCCTGGGATTGTCCACACCACAGGGACCCAGGTCAACTGCCACAGGCTTGCTCTTCCACTAAACTAGCTGAGCTCCTACCATGAGCCCTGCGGGAGCTGACTCCTCAGCCCTTGAAGCAGCCGGCCGAGCAGACAGCGTGAGCAGAAACAGGGGGATCCTGGGGTAGGGAGGTCCCAGATGAGGCCATCTCATCTCCCAGTAAAAACCAACCAAAGGCTGGGGGGAGGTCAGAGTCCTGCAATCAAGATCGTGGATGGGGTAAATCAGAGGTCTGCAGTGAGGGGTGAGGAGAAGGAGTTCCCCTTCCCCTGCCTCCCGCATCCCCTGGCTTCCACAGGCTCTTCCCAGGGAGGGGGGTGGGAGCAGGTACATCCCTCTGTATGTCAGGAAGTCTCTTCCCTCGCCTCTCCCCCTCCCGTGTCCCTCTGCTCCCATCTTGCTTCTTCTGTCGGGTGTGCCCTTGTCACCCAGAGCAGCAGCGACAGGTGTGAAGCTGCAGGGCGTGGTCCCCGCTTCCCTCCCTCTATGTCCGATGAGGCTGTGCCAAGTTCCCTTGCACAGGAAACCTCAGAGCCAGCTTCTGGTTGACAAACCCCAGCAAGTCCCACCTCCCTGATCATAAGTGTAGAGGCTGCAGAGGGTCACTGGGGCCACCTCTTCCTCACCCCTCATGTCCTGCCCCTGCCTCTGCAGGCCCCGCTCACAGCCCAATGAGAAAGAACCCGTGTCAGCTCCCGTCAGGCGAGGATGTTCCCAGAGGGAAAGAGGCTTCAAGCTGCACCTGCCGTTGGGGGGTCTGTGAGGGGCAGGAGCACAGCTCTAGCCATGCCAAGGGCTGCCCAGACAGCTACACTGAGAGACCTCCCGACTGGAGAAGAAGGCCCGGGGCCTCCAGGGTCAGGCCTGTCAGAGACAATTTCACAGCTGAGCGCACTGGCGGTTTGCTCTTCTCTGAAGCCGCTGGGGCTGCCCACGGAGAGGGAAACGCTTCTAGAAGCTCTGGTCAGAGCAAGGATGACTCTGTGCACTCCGGCTCTCCTTGGACTTCCCAGAAATGTCAGGGTTGGGTTGGGTTTCTTTTTTAATCTGGATGCCTGATACACAGCAACACTTGACATTCAGCCCAACAGGAAAATCTGGCTGTGCCCCTATGGTGGCTCCAGCCAGTGACAAGGAACAGCGCTAAGCAGGCCAGACCTACCCCCCTCCGGCAGCGCCCATTCTTCTTGGGGAGACAATGTTGTCGAATGGATGCATGAATGAATCTGGCATCACTTACTGCCTCAGTTTCCCCACTGGACTAGCCATTGAGCAAAGGCTTTTTGATCTTTTGGTGACGGGGCTGCCTCCTGGCAAAGCATCATTTTCATACCGGAGAAAGACAAGGCACACTTTCAAAATCAAAGTCTAGTGTAAAAAAAATCAAAGAGAAGGACCCTCGGGGGCACAAACCTGTTGATAAGCAAAGGTGCTCACCCGCTTCCTCTAACTGTGCTCATTCCTAGGCCCTCCAGCCCCCACAATGCAAACAACGCTTTTACCCTGCCACTCTGCTTGGCTATCTTGGCCACAGCTTTCTCTCTGGCTGAAAAAGACTCCTACCTAGTTTCCATGAGGAAATCTTTGTAGCAGTCCCAGCGGAAAAGTCAAAAGTTTGACTTGAAAAAAGGAGCTACTTCAAAAGCATTGTCAGACCGAGGTGAGGGTTCCTTTAAAATGCATAAATTACAGGGGGCATCCATTAATAAACCTCTAGGCCACCCTACAGCGGGGGCTCTGGGTTGGGGGTACCAAAGGGACAGAGGCCAACACACCTGGGGGAGGCAACGCGAAGGAAATCCACATAGAATAAGAGTAAATTAATGTGTTTATTACTTACTGCTTGGCGTGTGTGTGTGTGTGTGTGTGTGTGTAGAAAAATGAAAGAAAAATGTAGAGTTTTTTCAATAATAAAAAGGGAGTTGCACTGCGGGGCCCCTAAAGCTTGTGAAAAATTAAACTCGACGGATTCAAACTGTCCTATTTCCACTTCAAAAGAGAAGAGGCACTGAGCTCTTCCCAACTTATCTTCAAACGCCCAGCACCCTAGAAAGTTTCTTTAAAAAAATAAAGGCTCCTGTTCCCCCAAGCACTGTACCGGTTACTGTACCCACTGTCTCTCCCTCTTCTAATTATACCCCTGTGAGTCTATTAATCAACTTGTAAATTATTTAGAGAGTCATGCGCTGTCTTCAGCGAGTACAAACACACCGCATGCAAAGGCTTGCTGGAAACGGGCAGAGGGTCCCTCAGGGTCTCCCCTCCACGGGAAGACAGCTTGCAGCTGGCCGAGGCTGCTCTGCTAAAAACAAGAAATAGCATTCCGCTTACCTCCTCAGATGGGGAGATTTACTTTGTCTTTCAACTCAGCAACTCTTTGCAAGTTTTTAACAAAAGAGAAAAACTGGTCTATGGTCGATCTTTAGTGTGCATTTAGTGATGAGAATATTAATTCCCCCTTAAAAATGCAGCACTTTGGCTGAGCTCTGATCCACACCTCCTGGGATCTGGACTCACGGAAGGCTCTTGAAAACACATCATCATCCCAATTGGGGGCTGGTTTGGCTTGTTTGTATTACGATGGCTGCATTTGCTAGGGTGAGGTCTCATTACCAGAAAGGGTGCAAATTAGCTTCTTGAAACTCTCTCAAATCTCCCGCCTTTTCTCGGGTTCTATTAGGCCATGAGGGACCTTTCCCAGACAGAAATGTTTAGGAAATGTAGGGATGTGTGGGAGGGGCACAGGTAACAACTCGATAATGATCTGTCTTCCACATCACCTTTTCTACATACCAGGACTTTCGCTTTTAGGGGAAAGTCATTACCAATTAAATAGCTGTCTTCCCTCCTGACAATAAGAAAGGAATATGTCTGGTATGTGCCAAGGAATGTGGGCCTTCCTACAACTGAACTGCTTTAGCTGTTGGGAGATGCTGGGGGGGGCGGGGCCACAGGGGCAGCTGCCAGTTAGGAGCTCACCGTAACTGGGCCGACGAGCCAGTTGGGCAGGTGTTGCAGAGTGTATGCAGAGACAGGAGATGTGAAAAGCTACAGTCTAGCTCAGAAGCCCCACTGCTGGGGACATGGCATGGCTGGCGGGCTCCTGACCATGCAGTTCCAGCATGTTCCGAGTGCGCTGTGGACAGGCTGAGATGAGCATCTCATGCACTTGGAGCAAAGACATAAACCAGCAAGGACAAGATCTGCCTTTGGCTGTTTTTCATCTCCTCCCTGGATAACCACCCTCCAGAGGAAGTCCAAGCAACTCATGAGAACGAGAACAGTTCCTTGGGCCAGGGCAGAAGCCAAGCCTTCTGGCTGAAGAGCCGGCGTTGTACCATTCACTGGGCCCGGCAACCTGGAAGTAGGTTATATCCACCATCAACAGTCCCTGGACCCTAATTTATGGCTAAAATTCTCATGAGAAAGGCTAAAAATAAAGCAGTGCAGACTTCAGACTTCTTTATGTTGGGTGAGTTTGAACAACAGAGTGAGGCCCATGAGCAGGGCTCATTTTATATTAAGTGAAAATCGGGAAGCGACATTCCAAGAGGCAAAGACAGAATTATGGCCAATTTCCTTAGGAAGCTCTGGGCCTCCAGAATTCAGAAATTTCAAACACACTTCGGTAGGAATGGAGCTATGGGGAAGGAGCTGAGGACATCATTTGGCAGTGGTGGCCACTGTGAGCCACCGCTGATTTAAGCAAAGAACTGAGATCTAGTAGCGCCTTTGCTTGAGTTCAGAGAGGAAAGAGGACATCTGTACACATGCTGTAGAACACGGTGGCAATGGAGTCCATCAGCAGCAACCATCTCATTTTAAATGATACAGAAACAGCTGAGAACTTATTTTTCCAAAAGCCCAGAATCGTTTTTACTTGTTTTGTACTAGTGTAAAAGTGACAGGAGCTCCCTGGCAACTAAGGCTGCATGATTTAAGCTCGACCCTGTTTATCGTATGCAGAGCAAACTCCTGGTGACTTTAATGGAGGTTGCCTGCATAAAGAACTCCACGTGCGGAGCCCTGGGGAATAAATTTGTTCTGTTCACTGCAGCTCAAGTCAGAACGAGTTTAGGGGGTCAGACCTATATATTTCAAAGTCCAGGCACAGAATAAGCATCTCCCCAGTCCTCTGTCCACAGTGCCATCACCAAGAGCCTGGGATCAAGGGACTGAAGATGCGCTAAGATGGGGCCCTGGGGTCCTTTGCCCAGTAAATGTGGAAAGATGGGAAAACAGTACAGTTATTAATTTTGCTGCTGATTCGAAAGAAGGAGGTGTTGGCAGCACCTGTGAGGACAAAAAAAGAACATAACTAAGTCTGCAGAGGTCACGGCTGGGACATAACATCATGAGGCCTGGAGTGGGGATAAGAGCAAGAGGCTGCACGGGGAAAAGATGACATCTGGCTCTATTTGGCTGAGCCAGTGATGGTGGTGATGGTGACTGTGAGGGTGGCAGGGATGCACAATAACAAAAGCGCACATCTCTGGGGCACGCAGCTCCAAGGTGAGTGGAGAGAAAGCACAAGTCTGCAATGGCAGGGGTCCCAGTGAAAGACCAGCAGAAGGCCAGCAGCCGGGAGCACAGGCAGGGCGGAGTCCCCAGGGAAGGAGGTCCAGTACCCACCAGGGCAATGAGGGGGTACCCAGGAAGACTCTATAGTGCCTGGCTTGGGGAGTGGTGGGGATGGGCTTTCTGCACTGGGTGGCTAGATGGTAGGGTGTTCTGGCAGTGACACCTGCAAGCTCAGAGATGCTAGGGGCCTCTGCCCCATGGCGATGAGGTCTCCATGTCTTTACAATAATCTCACTTGCTGAGCTCCTGAACCTTACAGATGAAAACTCCTAACAGGCAGGGGAGTGACTGGGTGCTTTCCTATGTTCCCAGGAATGCCGCTGGCACCCAGGACAGAGATATCTGAAACAGACCTAGGATTGAAAAGGGGAATCTGGGATGTCTCCAATGACTCCCCAAAGGTATATGGGAGAGCACCAACCAGCAGCTCCTCTTCTGGAAGTTCTGAAAGCCTCAGGGGATACAGCAGCATGTCCTCCAGTTTCAGGAGGCAGGGCAGGTCCTTCTGGTTGCAGGGCAGTGTTCGGAAGCTGAATTCCACTGTTCCCTTCACCCTGTGGCCTCCCTCTTCCCCAGAGCAGGGAGTCACTCCACGACAGGCCAAGTCCCTCCGGCTCTCCCATCCTCCCGCTGGCAGGCACTGGCCCACAGTGCAGAGGAATTTCCTTCCACATCTGCCTCCACTCAGTCAGGGCTCTTCCTGGGGCAAGCGTGGGGGCCCATCTCCCTGTCCCCACCACTGGAGTATGGCCATACAATGGGTGGTTTGTCTCCAGGCCTGGCCTCCAAAGGGCACGTTAAGCCCAAATGTGACCTGGGTTCTCAGCCACATTATCCATTCTATGCTCTCAGCAAACTCTGAGGTCTGTCTCCTATCGGGTTCAGAACTCAGGATGAGGGGAAGGGATGTGGTTAATCACCACCCCTCAAGCCCAAACAGTGGGGTACACCTGCAGGCTAGGGGACCCCTAAGTCACAGATGTCACCAATGCTCAATTCGGGAAGGAGGGGGCCTCAGCCAGCTGGGCTTATTCATAAATAAGCAGGCTGTGGTCGGCTAGGCAGAGTTTCCCTGTTCAGCCTGACCTTCCCTTCAAAACCAAATTCTGTCAAGAATCATTTAAATTTTCTTCCTGTTTCAGCTGGCGGTGAAGTGGGTCCCTGCCAGACCTGGGTGGTTCCAGCGCTCCTGCTCTGCGAGCTGAGCGCTTTGGTTTTCTCGGCAGCTTCTCCACAGCCCACTAATGAGACCCTGTTAGTGGTTATGAATGTAAATGCATTCTTTGTTATCCCTGCGAGATCAGGATTAGTGAAATGACAGAATTTATTGCTTCCGTTAGGGAGATATGATATTGGTTGTTGTTGTGTCTTTAATTTTGTAGGAAGAGCGAAAGTATAGAGGTACATAGTCTAAATAAACAAAAAGCTGTGGAAGAAAAAATTTAGCATGAAACATTGAAGATCGAAGTGATCCGGGTCTCGCTAACTTTATAGAAAATTGGGAATTGTGCCGTCAGCCTCCTTTGCATCCCCCAAATAACAAAAAACAAACACAAAAACGACTCTGCGCCTGGACCACCTTTGAAAGGACTCTTGGGTTTGCTTTTAGTGGTGGATGAATTAAGCCGGCTCTGTACAAAGTTGACGTGCTTTGATTCAAGCAAATTCATTTCTGTCTCTCGAAGAGGAAGTAACAATAGGTCCCATTTACTCAAAAGATACAGTTTGAATAAGTCAGCAAAATGGTGCCCATATCTGATGATTAATTAAGGATCTGTAAACGCCCAACTCCCTATAAGACGAGGAAGATAAGACTGTGCTGTCAGATGGTGAGGAGAGAGGAGATGAGGAAACCAGGAGGCCGAGTGCTCCGTGACCTCATAAAAAACCAACATCCTCATATGACCTTCTTGGCGACCGTGACATCCCACGATGCCTGAGAACTAAAGGGCCGCGATGAGCCACTGTTCTCTTTCCAAGCAATTGCTAAAACTACAAAATTATAACGTGACTTGAAACAGAGATAAAATATAGAATGTAAGTATAAAGAAAAATTAATGGAAAAACGTAAACAACCCTAATATGCAAAGAGCACTGACAAACCAATTAGGACAAAAAATTGCTTAACTGGAAAATGGGCAAAGGGAAAAACAGTTAATAGGCCAGGGCTATAGAGAGGTGGTTCACAAAGATAAAACACACGTGACCAATTATCTTATGAAAATACGTTCAACTTTACCAACCTCACCGACAATCATAAGACCACAATTAAAAATAAATACATCTTTTGTCACATAACAAAGTGGCAAAGATTCAAATGGCTGGCCATGGCAGGCAGAATAATACCTCCCAAAAAGATGTCCACATCCTAATCGCTGGCACCTGTGAATATGTTCCCTGATATGGCAAAAAGGGCTCTGCAAAGGGGACTAAATTAAGGATCTGGAGATGAAGAGATGATCCTGGATCGTTCTGGGTCATCCCAAGGGTCCTTATAAGAAGGAGGTAAGAGGGTCAGAGTCAGAGAGGGAGGTGTGATAGCAGAAGCAGAAGTCAGAGAGAGAGAGATTGGAAAATGCTACTCTACTGGCTTTGAAGACAGAGGAAGGGGCCACGAGCCAAAGCATGGGGATGGCCCCCAGAAGCTGGAAAAGGCAAGGAAGTAAATCCTCTCAAGTGCCCCAGGAAGGAGCACAGCCCTACTAATACCTGGATTTCAGGACTTCTGACCTACAGAACTGCAAGATAAATCTGTGTTGTTCTAAACCATGACATTTGTTATGAAGTAACAGAAGACAAATACACTGGCAGTACCCAGAGATGGCAAAGACAGGCAGGGAATGAGCATTCGCACACTGATGGTGGGAGCGTATGGCAGTACAGCATCACCACTGCCACTGTTCATGGGCATCACTGCTGACTCAGGCCTCAGGGTATCCTAATAAGATCACCAGGGATGTTTCTCCATACAAGAGTGTGCATTTTAGTATTATTGAAGGACTGCAAATCTGGAAACCACCAAAATATTTATTTTTGTAATTTTATATTTTGAAAAAAATTCAAATGGACAAGGAAGCTGCAAGAAGAGTCAAAGAATTCCTGCAGACCCTTCCCTGGTGTTGGCCGATTGGCACTACCTCAGCTGCTTGGCCATTGTCTCTGTTTCTGAACCACTATCTGGTTAGTGGGGAATTAAATTATCTTCCAGGCATACTATGGAATACTACTAGCAACCCTTGAAACTATATACATTAGGTTAATTTGGTATCACATTCACTCATTTTTAGGGTGCTAATCCCCATCCCAGTAAATGGGAATTTGGAGAGAAATGGAGAGAAATTATGCTTGAGGATGCAACAGGTACTCCGCCATTGCTGCTGCTTGCTACTGTGGCTTTTTTTTTTTTTTTTTTTTTTTGAGACTGAGTCTCACTCTGTCACCCAGGCAAGAGTGTGGTGCAATCTTGGCTCACGGCAACCTCTGCCTCCCCGGTTCAAGCGATTCTCCTGCTTCAACCTCCCGAGTAGCTGGGACTACAGGCGCCCACCACCACACGTGGCTAATTTTTTTTTTTTTGTATTTTTAGTAGAGATGGGGTTTTGCCATGTTGGCCAGGCTGGTCTCGAATTCTTGAGCTGAAAACATCCACCCGCCTCGGCCTTCCAAAGTGCTGGGATGACAGGGGTGAGCTACCGTGCCCACTGGGATGACGGGTGAGCCGCCGCGCCCGGCCGCTAGGTGGATTTGAAGAGCAGCAGCTGCCTGTGGCCTCCCAGACCCTGTGCATGTGCATGAGGGCTGCTCCTCAGGACGACCTTGCAGGAAGGGACCTCTACCTCCATCCTGCCACCCGGAAGCCTGGGGCTTCGAGAAGGGCAGGGTGGTTTATTGGTGCCACATGGCTGGTGGGGGCAGCGCTGGAATCTGAACCAGACTGGGAAGCATAAGAGCTCGTGCTGGTTTTCACCCTCCCTGGTGCCTCCTACATCCACCTCATTCTGTGGCCACCGCAGACACCCAGGACCAGACCCACTCACTGCCCTGAGCCTACACAGATCACCTCATTCTGTGGCCACCGCAGACACCCAGGACCAGACCTGCTCACTGCCCTGAGCCTACACAGATCACCTCATTCTGTGGCCACCGCAGACACCCAGGACCAGACCCGCTCACTGCCCTGCACCTACAGAGATCACCTCATTCTGTGGCCACCGCAGACACCCAGGACCAGACCCGCTCACTGCCCTGAGCCTACACAGATCACCTCATTCTGTGGCCACCGCAGACACCCAGGACCAGACCTGCTCACTGCCCTGAGCCTACACAGATCACCTCATTCTGTGGCCACCGCAGACACCCAGGACCAGACCCGCTCACTGCCCTGCACCTACACAGATCATTGCGTCTGACGGCTCCTACTCCACACACTTGAACTCCACCCCGCGGACTAGGACATCTTAAGGAGGGACTTGGGAGGGCTGGCCAGGACATCTCCCGGGGAGGCCCAAGCAGAGGATGGCTGGGAGGACAGAGCCTGTTTTCATGTGCTTCCTCCTCATCAACCTGCTCCATCTAGAAAGTGGTAGGAGAAGGCCACAAGCTTCCACCAGGAGGATTCCTAGCCAATGCCCGCACTGCTCACTATAATGGCAGCTGCTTCTGGAATTCATTTTCTTCACAATAAGCACGTGTTCACAACAGACTTGATAAGTGGGTGTGCACTGACTGCAGGGAGGAGCTGCAGCATGTGCAGGGGAGGAAGGTGTGGGTGCGTGAGTGGGAAATTCACTGCCCCAGGGAAGAGACAGATGCAGGATCCCCAGAAGCCCAGCCGCCAACTGGCTGTGTGGCCTCAGCAGCTCAGTCCCTTCTCTGAGGCTCCTTCGTGGACTCAGGAAGCCTGACTAGAATGCTCCCAAAGGTGCCCTTACTGTGGGTCAGATCCTAGGAAAGCTTTCAGACTGTGGATCACAGAGGGCACCTGGGAAGAGGATCTGGTCCTGCTTCGCCTGTCAAACAGGCGAGCATCTAACTGCTGAGGACCAATGCCGGTCAACACTCACATCTGCAAAGCTGTCTGAAACTTCTGGCTTCTAAGTGCTGATTAAATTGGAATATTTGCCCACAGTATTTTTATATACCAAATAATAAAGGATGTGGGGGCAGGAAGTGGTGGCTTACACCTGTAATCCCAGCGTTTTGGGAGGCTGAAACAGGAGGATCACTTGAGCCCAGGAGTTCAAGATCAGCCTGGGCAACATGGAGAAATCCCATCTCTACAAAGAATACAAAAAATTAGCCAGGCATGGTGGCATGCACCTGTAGTCCCAGCTACTTGGGAGGCTGAGGTGGGAGGATAACCTGAGCCCAGGAGGTTGAGGCTGTAGTGAGCTGAGACTGCACCACTGCACTCCAGTCTGAGTGACAGATTGATACCCTGTCTCAAAAAAAAAAAAAAAAAAAAAAAAAAAAAAGGATGTGGGGAGGTCTGTGGCCTCTCCTGGCTCTCAATTTTAAATGGTACCAGTTATGAAAAGCCAACCGTCTTGAGAAATAGGAACATCCTAAACCATCAGGGATAACCCCCCCACATCCACAAACTCACCTCACTGGGGATCGGGCTCAGACACCAAGAGGCCTTACCGGAAGCAAGCAGCAGAGCCTTTGCTTACAAGAAAACCCAATTTCCATTTCCCGGCTGTTCTCCCCAATTTTGAGCCCCTGAATGTTCAGAGAGCCGCACAAAAAGAAAGTTCTCTCTGGAGCCTGTAAGGTCATGACAGTTAGTGGGAACGTGGCCTACCTGCCATCTCCTTTTCAAAGAAGGGCTGGATGAGCTCGCCAAACGTGGTCCTATCTGCCACAGCCTCTTTCAGCAGTTGCCCACAGCAGACTGAAGGAGAGGGGAACAGAAAGACACCCATTAAATTTTAAATAGGAGGAAGGATGAGAAAAAAAGAACCCCCAGTGCTGCCTGCTGAGGGAAAAAAAAAAGGTCACTGAAAAAAGCATAAAAGGGTTTTTCTGTGTGTGGGTATGTGTCCAAGTAAAAGTAAATATCAAAAAGGAGCCGGGAAATAAATAAAAGAGAGAGGTGGAATGAAAAGGAATGCATTTGGCAAAGAACACATTAAAAATGGACGGCGTGGGGAAGACACTAACGAGGATGTTGCCCACAGAGGAGCCCTGCAGGGCCTCGCTGCACCTGGAATTGCTGCGCAGAACTCGGCGCCCTCCAGGGTGCTGCGGAGGATCAGCGTTCTGGCCGGGGGCTGCTCATCTCTGGGCGATGTGCCTCAAGTGCGTCCACATTTGCACCCTTGTTACACAGCAGAGGGGGTGCAGTGTGTTGCTTCCACAGCCCTTCCAGCTGGCAGGGCATCTCCATGGGATGGTGGGGCCACACAATACGATAGATTCATATTCCAAGTGGGCTGACTCATCATTAAAGGGCACCATGTGGCTGTAATCCCAGCTTTTTGGCTGAGGCGGGCAGATCACTTAAGATCAGGAGTTCAAGACCAGCCTGGCCAACATGGTGAAAATCCGTTTCTACTAAAAATACAAAAATTAGCCAGGTGGGTGGCATATACCTGTAATCCCAGCTACTGGGGAGGCTGAGGCAGGAGAATCACTTGAACCTGGGAGGTGGAGGTTGCAGCGAGCCAAGATCGCGTCACTGCGCTCCAGTCTGGGCAACAGAGCAAGACTCCGTTTCAAAAAAAAAAAGAAAAAGAAAAAGAAAAAAAGGTACCACGCTGCAGTCACCTGGCCAGTGGCGGCTGCCCCGCTCTGGACACCTGCTCGCCCTGGGCAGGAACCTGCCTCTGGCCCCACTGTGTCTCGAGCCCTGAGCTAGGGCCGGCACAAAGGAGGTGCTGGGCAACAAGCATGAGTGAATAAACACAGGCTACCTCCTCCTTGGCTGTGAAAGTCCTTCCTAGCCAAAGCCAGAAGATTTAAACTATATTTTCATGAATTGTTCACTGCACGCTTTTGGCTTTCTTACCTTTAGGGCTAAGAAGTTTTCTGCCTATACTAAGGAGACCAAAAAACATCCTAAAGTTAACTGGATAGCATGAATGTTTAACAAAATTACCATCACCAGGGATTCATTCCTCAATAATGATATGCTTAATTCACTATGTAAATGACAGCAGTTGTCATTTAATTTAATCCAATGTGCTTGGCAGCCTCACCAGCAAAGGACATATAAGTGAGAATAAAGGCTGCTGGGAGCTAGGCGCAGTGGCTCATGCCTGTAATCCCAGGACTTTGGGAGGCCAAGGCGGGAGGATCATTTGAGGTCAGGAGCTTGAAACCAGCCTGGCCAATATGGTGAAACTCCGTCTCTACTAAAAATACAAAAATTAGCCCAGTGTGGTGGTGGAAGCCTGTAATCCCAGCTACTTGGGAGGCTGAGGCAGGAGAATTGCTTGAGCCCAGGAGGCGGAGGTTGTAGTGAGCAGAGATTGGCACCACTACACTCCAGCCTGGGTGACAGAGGGAGACTTTGTCTCAAAAAAAAAAAAAGAAAAAGAAAGAAAAGAAAAAAAAAGCTGCTGAGAACTGAGACAATTCTGTGTGCCAAGCACTGTGCTAAGTGTGCTTTGTTTTATTTGGTCCTCACAATAACCTGCTGTTTCTTAGGTAAAGACACTGAGGCTCAAAGAGATGAAATAACCTGCTTTAGGTCACAGAGCCATTAAGGGGCAGAGCTGGGGTCCAAACCCAGGTCTGCGTGACATCAAACCCATGCTTAGCTTCCAGTTCTGGCCATGAAGGAGTAACAGGTATCATATTTAACTTCTCTTATAGAAAGCTGTGAAACTGAACAAAATCTATGAAGCAATTCTTTAGAGTCATTGGACAACAGAGAGACAGGTCTGTAATCCTTGAGAGGCAGGAAACATACAAAACGAGCCCCATAGTCATCCTGGATTTCTACCTATGGGCACTTCTCAAATCATGGCACAGGAGAAGTGGAGCCCAAACAGATCAGCAGTCTCACTGGGTGGAAGCAACAAAGACTGGAGCTCTGAGACGGCCAGAATTTGTAGAACAGGGTAAGGGAGAGGAGGCAGCTGTGCACAGAAGGAGTTCCAGAAATCTCATAGGGGTTCACTGAGCCTTTGGCCAATATGAAGCTGCACATGTGCAGGGTGAGACTCCAGAGGCCTGGTAGAGAAAAGCTACTGGGAAGCTGTGAACTGAATGGAAATTCACACAGGGCTGGGAGATGCTGGCATTCTGACAACCAAAGTGACAGACCCTGCTGAACACCCCGGACATTCAGCTGAGATTCCAGAAAGGGCAGACCTTAGCTGCAGGGATACTCTAGCCCTAGAGTAAGAACACTCTACTCCCACTTAACAAAGCCTGAAAATAAGCTTCAGTAGGATGGAGTTAATCCTCCAAACTCAATACTCTTAAAGCAGAATGGTGACACAATCCAGACCTTCAAAAATGTGAGAAACACAATGTCTAGCATTTAATCAAAAGCTCCTTGACATGCAAAAAAGCAGGAAAATGTGACTCCTATGAGGAGAGAAAACAGGCCAGAGAATCAGATCGGGGATGACACACATGTCAGAATCAGCACACCAGGACTTTAAAACAGCTATTATGAGTACACTTAAAACCTTAAAGGAAAAGATAGTTAAAATGAGTGAACAGATGGAGAATCTCAGCAGAGAAAGGAAAACTGTGAAAAAGAACCAGATGGAAATTCTGGACCTGGAAAATACAGTATCTTAAATGAAACAAATCACTAGGTGTGCTGCAATCAGTGAATTTAAAGACAGGATAAAAGAGGCAATAGGAAGTAGCCAAACTGCAGCAAAGAGGGGGATGGGAAAGGACCGGAAGAAAAGAACCAAATCTAAGAGACCTAGAGGACAATACCAGACAGTCTAACATATGTGGAACTGTAGTTCCAGAAAGAAGAGAGGCAGGCAGAAAAAAGATTTCAGAAGATAATGACAGGAGAACTTCAAAATTTGATTAAAAATTTCAGCCCACACACCCAAGAATCTCTGAGATCCAAGCAGAACAAACACAAAGTAAGTCACACTTCGATACATCGTAGTCAAATTGCTGAAAGCTAAAGAGAAAATATTAACAGCAGCTGAGGGCAGGGGGAGTGCTTCACATGCAGGGCAACAATGGTAAAAATAACCTCTGAGATTTCATCAGAAGAAGTGCAAGCCGGAAGACAATAGAATGACATCTTTAAAGTGTTAAGAGAAAGAAACTGTCAACATAGATTTCTATATGCAGCCAAAACATCCTTCAAAAATGAAGATGAAATCATATCATTTTCAGGCTATGAAAGCTGAGAAAATTTGTCACCAGCACACTTTCACTACAAGAGCTGTTAAAGGAAGTTCTTCAGGCTGAGAGGAAATGATACCAGATGGAAACCTGGATCTAAACCAAGGAGTGAAGAGTACTGATAGGTGGGTACATATAAAAGTCTCTCCCCCCTTATATCTTCACTTCTTTAAAAGATGAATGACTATTTAAAACAAAAATAATTACAATATATTGTAGGGTTTATAACATACGCAGAAGTAAAATGTATGTCAACTGTAAAGAAGTAAGGTAAATGGAAAAATCTACTGCTGCGAGGCTCTGATATCATACATGGTGAGGTGTAACATTCACTCAAAATAGGCTGGGACAAGCAAAAGATGCATATTTAATCCCTAGAGCAACCACTAACAAAATAAAGCAAAGAGATATGGCTAAAAAGGAAATAGAAGAAAGAAAATGGATTACTAAAAAATACTTGGTTAATCCAAAAGGTGGCAGGAAAGGAGGAACAAAGAACAGATGACACAAGTAGAAAACAAAACAAAACAAAAAAACAGGCCAGGCTTGAGGGCTCATGCCTGTAACTTCAGTGGGAGGCCGAGGCGGGAGGTTCACTTGAGCCCAGGAGTTTGAGGGTGCAACGAGCTATGATTGCACCACTGTACTCCAGCCAGGGCAACAGAGCAAGACCCCGTCTCTTAAAAAAAAAAAA
This sequence comes from Homo sapiens, assembly GCF_000001405.40. Classification (NCBI taxonomy): domain Eukaryota; kingdom Metazoa; phylum Chordata; class Mammalia; order Primates; family Hominidae; genus Homo; species Homo sapiens. Next base: position 132,818,862 of record NC_000009.12, read on the forward strand.
GTGAGACCCAACTATATGCTGTTTACAAGACACATAGTTAGACTATAAGACACAGATAGTTTAAAAGAAAAAGAATAGAAGGTATATCATACAGACACAAATCATAAGAAAGTTAGAGAAACTTCATTAACATCAGACAAAGTGGACTTCAAGAAAATGAGTATTGCTAGAGAGGAAAAGCAACATTTCCTAGCAATAAAAGGGTCATTTCACCAATAACATATAACTATCCTTACTGTATACAGTCAGCCCTCCATATCCATAGTTTCTACACTCATGGATTCAACCAACCACAGATTGAAAATATCTGGGGTAAAAATTACGTCTGCACTGAACATGTAGTCTTTTTTCCTTGTCAGTATTCCCTAAACAATACAGTATAACAACTGTTGCATAGCATTTACATTATATTAGGTATTATAAGTAATCTAGAGATGATTTAAAGTGTATAGGAGAATGTATGTAGGTTATATGCAAATACTACGCCATTTTGTATCAGAGACTGGAACATCCTCGGATTTCAGTATCCAAGGGAGGTCCTAGAACCAATCCCCCATGGATACTGAGGTGTGACAGTATGCACTTAATGACAAATTACATGAAGCAAAAACTTGCAGAGAATAGACAAATCCACAATTCAGAGTTGGGAGATTTTTTAAATGTTGGGCTGGATGATTGTAAAAAATTAAAAATAAAAGAGTTGGGAGAGTTTAACACACCTCTCTCAATAACTGACATAATAAGTAGAGTGAGAATCATTAAGGACATAGACGAATTTCAAAATTTGATTAAAAATTTCAAACATCTTATCCTAATCGATATTATAGAACACTATAACCAACAATGCAGAATACCTATTTTTTTAAGTACACTTGGAATTCACCAGTATAGACCATATATGCAAATTTCAAAGGATCAAAATCACATAGGGTATGTTCTTTTACCACAATAGAATTAAATTAGAAATCAAGACTATAAAGCAATCAGGAAAATCCCCAAATATGTGGGAATTAAGCAAGGTGTATTCTAAATAGTACACAAGTCAAAAAAGAAACCAGAGGCTGAGGTGGGAGGATTGCTTCAGGCCAAGAATTTGAGACCAGACTGGGCAACATAGAGAGATTCCCGTCTTTACAAAAAAAAATTAGCTGAGCATGGTGGCATACACCTGTAGTCCCAGCTACTTGGGAGGCTGAGGCGGGAGGATCACTTGAGGAGTTGGAGGCTGCAGTGAGCCATGACTGCACCACTGCATTCCAGCCTGGGTGACAGAGTAAGACCCGAAAAAAAAAAAAAAAAAAAGACAAAGGGAAGGAAGGAAGGAAGGAAGGAAAGAATTCATGCTCACTGTAAAAAAAAAAAAAAATCTGAATTGTATAATCCACAGCTCTGCCGAGATAAGCAGTTTGGTGTATGGATATTTCTTCATGCTTTTTCTGAGCATAAACTAACATGCTTTTTTGAACAAAAATGAGGTCACCCCCTGGATACTGCTGAGCAAATTGTTTTCTGCCCCTCCCTTATTTAGCCATGTATCACTGACATCAAATCACTTTACAGGTTTATTTTTAACAGCTGCCTCGCAATCCATTACATGGGTTTATCACAACTTATTTCACAAACCTGCTTATTAACAGAGTTAGAGGTTGCCTCTGTTTCTCATTATGCTTCTGCCACATCTCTCCTTACATATCTGAGTGTTGGAGCAGAATAAACTCCTAGGAGTTAAATCCCAGGGTCACAGGGTTTGCGCAGTTAGTGCTTTAACCAACAGTGGCTTTCGCCTTTCAGAAAGTCGTGTCCGTATATACTCCCATCATCCTAAGTGAGGTCTTCTGATGAACTTTGTGGGAGTGAGTGTGGGGGCTGTCTGTTTTTTTGTTGGTTTGGAGATATTTTCCTTTGGCTGAGAGATTCACAGATGTGAAGATTAGAACCAGGCGAGCGGATGGCCGCAGCGGAGCAGACAGCACCTGGAGCTCTGGGTTCAGACACGCATTTGCAGAGAGATCTCAAGGCTACCTGCCTTAGGTCTCTTAAATGGGTTTACTTAAATCTCATGACATCTTGTATTTATCAAGAACACCTTTGAGAAATGTGAACTTTCTGAGATAGTCTCCAAATGCTTAATTATCTAAAAGAGCCCCATCATGGCTCTTAGGTAACAAGCAAAAACCATGATGAGCTTTTCTATTTTCATTTTTGGAAAAATCTAGGCAGGTAATTTCATCTCTTCATGGCTGGTGTGCTGAACGCAATTTGAATTAAAAAAAAAAAACCTTTTATTGAATGAGAGTGTCTGCATCATAAAACAGAGCACCGAGACAATTATTTCCATAAAGCCCTGCACTGCATTAAAGTATTGCTGCCGTGTTTTCAGACTCTCCCTCCACCGCGAGTGCCCCTCCACGCTCACTCTGTCCCTTCCCGTAACGATGTGGGCACATGCTTACGTAAGCAAGTGATGCCGCCACAGGTAGACTGCTGGTCATCGGAACAAAGAAGCCATCCCTAACACTGCTGGAAATTTCATCTTATAATTCTCTTAAGAGGAACAATCAAAAGAAGAAGGAATTATTGAAATAATTTATTTTTAAAAACGGACTCAGGAACATTTTTTATTCTAAATGTCCTGATTAATTTTCCATAGTAATCAAATTTGCAGAGTAATTGTTCAGGTCTCTATCTTCATTTTAGGTGTGTGACTTTTGTCATGGATTCCTTGCTGGTCTCAGTGGCTTTAGAATTGTAAGCTGGAGGAGGCCTGAGAAGCATTTTTATTCAAAACTTGATTCTTCTGGGGTGGTATATACATATATTTGTATGCATATACATATATATACACGTACATTTGTATGTATATACATATATGTATATTTGTATGTATATACAAATATATACATATATGTATATGTGTATGTATATACAAATATATACATATATGTGTATGTATATACAAATATATACATATATGTGTATGTATATACAAATATATACATATATGTGTATGTATATACAAATATATACATATATGTGTATGTATATACAAATATATACATATATGTGTATGTATATACAAATATATACATATATGTGTATGTATATACAAATATATACATATATGTGTATGTATATACAAATATATACATATATGTGTATGTATATACAAATATATACATATATGTGTATGTATATACAAATATATACATATATGTGTATGTATATACAAATATATACATATATGTGTATGTATATACAAATATATACATATATGTGTATGTATATACAAATATATACATATATGTGTATGTATATACAAATATATACATATATGTGTATGTATATACAAATATATACATATATGTGTATGTATATACAAATATATACATATATGTGTATGTATATACAAATATATACATATATGTGTATGTATATACAAATATATACATATATGTGTATGTATATACAAATATACATACAAATGTACAAAAATGTACATATATTTGTAGGTATATTTGTGTGTGTCCATATATTTGTTTGTATTCCCTCTCTATATTCATATGGTATGCCTGTATAATTTGGGGGGGTTGTATGCATATGCATATATTTGGGGGTGCAGGTCTCGTTTCCTTAGTAAATACAGTAGAGGCTACTTAGGTTTGTGGAGCATGGTGTGCGTAGGGGCAGTGCTTTTAACTCCCTTCAACCTGGCAGTGTGTCTCTGCTACAGTTTCTTCCTGATTCCCATCCCTTTATCCTCCTGAACACAAGCTGGCATCCAAGACCGCCTGGGACCACCCCGGGAAAGACCTGGAGAGCTGATTTCAATATTTTCTCTCTTCCTGGTAAAATATTTATTGAAACTGTGCGGAGTGAGAAGTCTTCCTCTGGTTCAGAAATTGTCTGCCTGTAAACACACTGACCTGGGTTGGGGGCACCAAACGAGACTGGAGAAAATAAATAAACAGCACATTCCTATTACGCAGGAGCCAAGGCTTCAGGGGAGATGGCAGGGGTGAGATGGGAGCCACCCCTGGTGTACAGCACAGACAAACCCCCCGCTCCAAAGGATATAAAAAACGATGACTGAAAAATGTTCTGTCTCTTTGGGCTGTGGACATGTTTTTAGTGGTTAATGTTTTTATGGCAATATTCCTCGGGAGGAAGAAAATTCCTGCAAAGATGGACTAACAGAAAATGGTTAAGAACAAAGAGCCAGAAAGAGAAGTGATACTGACCCTTCCCCCCCAACACCACCCCCCATAAAATGAGAGCTGGGGAGGAGGGGCAGGAGGCAGGGAAAGGCTCTCGAAGCTGGGCAGCCCAGCACCTGGGGCACTCACCATTGACAAGCCTGTATTTCTGGGCCAGGAGGGCGGCCTGCAGACTTTTCCCACTGCCCACAGGCCCGAGCAGCAGCACCCTCGGGGTGAACGGGGCATTAGTACGATGGTTGCTTTGGACATAGGTCAGAGCTGGAAAGAGAGGATATGAGGATAATAAACCCAGGTCCTAGAGAACAGGAAACCCGCTTGCAGCCCCTCTGCTTTGACTCTTTTAACGGCAGTAACTCTTTTTCTCTTTCACAGCACCATGGAAGCCCTCTGTGCATCTGGCGAAGAGGCAGGGAAAAGAATTACGTGGCAGGCCTGGGCACCAAGGCAGGGAGCGAGGAGTGAAGTCCACAGAAGCCACCCTGGAGCGCCGCCCTGGATTCCTCTCAACACAGGCGTCTAAACACGTGCAGGTGTCTGCATTTCCTTCCAGGCTGAACTAGGGCTGGCTGTGTTGCAGTTGGGAGACTGGTCCCAGGACATGATAGCACTCTCTATAGGGCTGGTGGCTTTTCCTACTGAATCGGGCTGAGCCTCCCAACCGGAAGCCCCGGAACTAGGCTGGTCTCCTAGAAGTGCACGCTGGCTTTCTGCTAGGTGCACCTGAATGTCAGACACAGGCTTTGATAAACGCATCCAGCCACATGGGGGCCCAGTGCCCAGGGACTTCTAAAGGACTCGAATTGGAGAGTAGTTTGTGCAGCTGCACTCTGGTGACACCAACTTTGTTGCGACTCTCCAAAGAGGTAGTGATCAAAGAGGTCACAGGAGTGGCCAGATGTAGCTGCATGGCCCTGGCCTGTGGTGTGCCCCTGGCATTTGGTGAACAAAGAAGTGAGGAGATGGGGTGAGTGTCTCCAACAATGAGGCCACCTGCACCATGGGGGGCACCGGATGCCAAGAAGCCACAGGGCAAAGCTACTGAACATCAAACCAGGTCACCTCCCGCTGGAGCTCAGAAACAGGGAGCTGTGAGAAAAGGCTAATGAGGCTGTAAAGGCAGCATTTCGGGCACCTGAGGCAGGAGAGATGCCCACAGATGAGGCACGGACCTGTGCCAGCCCCCACCCCAGCGTTCAAAACAGGGCATCCTTCCCCAGGGAGACCTTCCCCCTCCTGCCAAGGCCCCAGACTGTCCTGTGCAAACTCAGCCAGGGGTGGCCCCGTTACACCTTCCTGCCAGTCTGCCTTTACCAATGTGCCTTGCGGTGGGTGCCGTGCTGGGTGAGGGGCCAGGCCATCGTGCCTCCTTCAGGAACATGCCACCCAGGAACCAGGCAGGTTCCTCATCCTCAGCACTACTGACATCTGGGGCCAGAAGATTCTTTGTTGCGGGGCTATTCTGGGCACTGTAGGATGTTGAGAAGCATCCCTGGCCTCTACCCACTAGGTGCCTGCAGCACAACCGCAAGGTATGACAACCAAAAAACCTTTACAGACATTGCCAAATATCCCCGGGGTTGCGGTGGGGGCAAAACTGCCCCCGATTGTGAACCGCTGGGATATGTTCATTGTGAAAATCCTGAACTCTCAAATCTTTGCTGGACTTTTAAATTGGAAGGGTCATTAGAGATGCACAGTCCCCTCTTTTTAGAAGGCAGAGATGAGTTAGAATGGACTTTTTTCCAGGTTGTGATCAGCATCATCAATGGCATGTACTAATTGCTACGACAAATACTCTATAGGCACCATCTCTTTTCTTTGGCCCAACAATCCCATGAGGGTTGCGTTATTCATGTCCCATTTTACAGATGAGCCAATTAGGCTGAGACTTGGCAGAGCTGGGGCAACTCTCCCAAACCACCTGCCATGGGTACCATTCCTCCACTGAGAGAAGCCCAAAGGAAGCTACTCAGGCGAGGCTCTCTTTATTCTCAGACCTTCCATAATCCCGTGCATCTGAAAAGCACAAATACTACAGGCAAAGCAGCCTGCTTACAAATGATGCTTAATTTACAGTAAATAACTAAGTTAATTAGAAGTAATGATCCCCCAGACAGTCTCAACATCTAATTATTCTTTTTAAAAATGTGTGGTTGCTGGATGCACTGCAGAGAGATTAGAAAAACAACACAGAGAGAATTCTGCATTCCAATTTTCAATTTATCTCTCTGCATTATTAATTAATAATAATTAATATTCAGACACTCACATTTTTATTTACAATTCCAGGCATGAATTCTTTATGAACGATCATATGAACTTTTAAATTTAATTAAGTAATTTGGAAGTAATTAATGTGTAAATTCAGAATCATGGCATAAGATAAATGTTGTGGTTGTTTATCTTAAGAGTGCAGTGTTTGTTACTAATGACCCTTCCGAGATGCAAAATCACTGGAAAATTATAAGCCATCATAAGCCTGGCATTTCTTCTTTAAGTAGCGACATTTTCTACTAACCCACCCGCTGGCTGATTGCTCCCTTCAGAGGGCGAGGCTGTTCAATCCACGCCGGCAAACACCGCATCTCCGAGCTCAGTGTAGCAATGAGGTTTAAGCACCGAGTCTACCAGCAGGAGAAGGTGCTGGGAAAGTCAGCAGGGAAGGGCTTGAGGGAGCTCAAAACCACTTCCCCGGCAAAACAGGACTTTTCTTGGAGAGTTTTGAGAGAATATATGAAAAAAAGGACTTTGTAAACTGTCAAGTGTCTTAAATATCTGTGATGTTCCCATCGTAAACGCTTCATTTACCCAACACTGTGTGGAAGGGTAATTTTGAGACGACTGGATTTTGAGATACTGCATTTTGAGATGACTGAAGCTCAGCAAGACTTTTGAAAAGGATAATACAGCTGTTTGGGGATAGAATTATTCTACCTTGCCCTTGCCTTTTTGGGCAGGGTGTTGAACAATGATAGGAGCTATGACGACTGATGTTTATTGAGGCTTTTCTCTGTGCCAGAACTGGGCTTGTGGCTGTGGACACGTGATTTGGAGAATCCCATTTAATCCTCACCTACGCCTGGGAGGAGGGCACAAGTTTTGTTCCTATTTTAGCGATGCCAAAACTAGGGCTCCGAGGAGTTAGGAGAAGTGCCAGAGGCTGCACAGCTGGGCTGCGTCGGGGCTGAGATTTGAACAGGTTGCTCAGCTCAGCCATCCCCGCACCTCGCACAGGCTGCCCGCAGTGGCTCCCGAGCTGCTGTGAACATTGGCCATTGCTGTGGACAGCAACGCAGTGCCAGGCGCGGGGCCATGTATCTCCATCCTAAATGAAGCATACCACCTGTGCTGTGTGTGTGTGTTTTATTGTGTTGTGTGTGGTGGTGGTGGTTTTGTTTTTGTCTTAATCTTTATATATTTTTTCTTTCCTCTCCCTCAAGGTCAGGCTCAAACTTCTTGCTACCATGTCCCTCCCACCCCATCCCTTGCCTCTCCTCCTCCCGACCCCACGACCACCAAATCTGCTGTGGGCCAGAGATGTGACCACATCTGAGTGTGGGACATTAGCCCAGGGTCTCCAAGTGGGGTACCCCCAGGGGCTCTGCACACATGCATTTCTGGGCAGGGAACCCGGGTCATCTATGTCTTGACTTCCAGGGTCCCAGGCATGTCCCAGACACTGGCCACTACCAGAATAAGGGACAAAGTGGTAGAAGGCACAGCGAGCCCCGCCCTTGGCCGTCTGTCCAGGGTGGGGCTGCCTGCTTGTGTTTACCCTGGTAGAAGACGTCCACACATGGCTGGTCAGCACTGATGACTTTGAGGATTTTGGGGTAGGAGGGAATGACCCTGACGATGTTCCTATGATACTCCAGCAGTTTCTGAGCCGTCTCCAGCTCTGAGATGTCCTCTGGCACCATGAGACGGTTCTGGATTTCAGATTCGGGTGGCCAGTCAAAGGTGGTGTGATAAATCTCTACAAGGAGAGAGGTGCACAGTTAGAAATGGCCATGCAGGGGCCCTGTGGGCGCTGCTGTGCCTGGCTGGGGTGCTTGCTGTCCTGGAGGCCAGGCCCTACACATTCCTGGGGTGTGGCTGACCACGGCAGGACACCGTTGCTCAACACCAGCACTTCCAGCTACTCTGAGCCTGCTCTTAACTATTATTCTTGTTACAATACAAGAACAGGACCCAGGGCAAGGGCTGCCGTGAACTTCTGAGCACTTACTCTGTGCCAGCCACTCTGATAGGCACCTGCAGACTCCCATTTCATCTTCACAGCCATCCCATCACCCATTAGGTTGGTATTTTCATCCTCAAGTACAGATAAGAAAACTGAGTCTCAGGTATCCCATGTCTACAGCCAGAAAGGGACAGAGTTAGGGATCCACAAACCCAGCTCTATCTGCCACCACAGCGTGAGGCCCGGAAGATCAAGGGCAGTCCCGTCTCCCCCCACCCTCCCGCCAGCCCCTTGCTGAACTGCCTGGTCTTCAAGGCCCAGTTCAAGGGCCCCGTCCCCTGCAACACCTGCCAATTCTCCCAGGTAATGCTCATGCCTCTCTCTCCTGTATAAATACCAAAGAATAAGGGGTGTCAAGGGGGCACATAATTTGTCCCAGGGAGAGGCAGACATGTCCCCTGGCTCCTGTGTGGGCCCCAAGCCCAGGTGCCTGGCATGACCCCCCACACTCTATTCTGGTTCTGCCACAAGAAAGTCTCCTCCTTTAGCCTAAACAGGCCTCCATTTCCTCATCTACCAGAATGTACCCTTGCCAGTGTCTTCCAGCTCAGAGCCCAGCCTGTGGCAGCCTTCCTCGTGTCCCTCTGTGGGTGCCCAGAGCAGAATGCGAGGTCAGGAAATGGTAGACGGGCTGTCATCACCATGGACTCTGAAACCCCATGGGGCTGGGTGGGGGTGGCCGTAGCCATACCTCCAGTTTGAGGGTCGATTCTCTTCCCCAAGTTTCTCTCGATCAGGACCGTGTCTGGAGCACTCAGCACAACTGGGCAGAGAAGAAAAGGAGCAAAACCAGGCATGTCGGGCAGCGGGTGCCACACATTTGAATATCACAGACCAATACTTGCTTTACGTTTTTTGCTTTTCTGTATAATGACATTAAAACAACAATCATCTCCCATCCCCGTGAATTCCTAAGAGAAAGGTCTTCTCGCACCCAAACACAAAGAGTGTAACGTTGGGACAGAGCACGGCCCATGACGGAAAGTTCTGCCTGTTAACAATTTCCCTCGTCACAGATAACGCCACAATGGGCATCTCTGTGCGCACTAAATGCTTGCACAGCATTCTATGCTATGCATAGAATATGCATTTCCTTCCTGAGACAAGGAATCGCCAGGCTGAAAACGAAACCCCACTTTTCTTAAGAACCAGCCCTGAATATATTTAGCTCTGTGAAAAATTCAGTTGTGCTGTCCTCTTCCTTGCTGGGTCTCAGACGGTGCCTGGGCTGAGGTCAGGAGCAGGCAGCATGAGCGGGGCGCTCACTGGCCACCCCTTGGGGCTGCAGCTCTGGCAGGTGGGGGACCCTTGGGAGCTACTCACTGACGTGTCTGGGTGTGATCCCCAGGGTCTGGATCCTCAGAGCCTGCTCACGCGTCTCAGGGATGCCATCCAGAATCCAGCCCTAGACAGAAGATTCAGAGAGGTGCTCATCTGTTTTGAGTTTTAGATTTTTTGGAATTATTTTAAAAGGAATATAATAGCTTTATAGAAAGACTAGAACTTTTAAGACAAAAAAAATGTTTCTGATAGCTACCTCACCCTTCTTTAAAAACTACTTTGTAATATATTATTATATTCCCTTCCGAATCATATCTTGGTGATTATAATCATAACATATATATTTTACATCTTGATTTTTTTTTTTTTTTGAGATGGAGTTTCACTCTCGTTGCCCAATCTGGAGTGCAATGGCACAATCTCGGCACACTGCAACCTCCGCCTCCTGGGTTCAAGCAATTCTCCTGCCTCAGCCTCCCAAGTAGCTGGGATTATAAGCATGTGCCACCACACCCGGCTAATTTTTTGTATTTTTAGTAGAAACAGAGTTTCACCATGTTAGCCAGGCTGGTCTCAAACTCTTGACCTCAGGTGATCTGCCCACCTTGGCCTCCCAAAGTGCTGGGATTACAGGCGTGAGCAACTGTGCCTGGCCTACATCTTGATTTTTTTCTACCACACAATAGCGACCACAAGCATCTCTTCATATCTGCACAGCTCCTCATTGTCCACATTATCAACGGCTGTGCAATGTCCCACCAAGAGAATGTACACAGCCACTTAACTATGTCCACAAATGAACATTTCAACTGCGGGCAGTGTTCACTATCATAGATAATACCTCGATGAACATCTTTGTGCATCTAGCGCTTTCCACATTTTGGATAATTTCCTAAAGACAGTTTCTGAGAGATTCCTGAGACCAGGGTGAAAACAAAACCCCACTTTTGTTTTCATTTTCTGCCCCATATATCTGCAGGAACACCCCATTTTTCTTAAAAAAAAAAACCCTGGACGATGATTCCGGTTTCTACTCTGCGGCTAACTTGTTACAGGATTGAAATTCCTCACCCATCAGCCCCCTCTTGGTACAGCTAGGGAACTGGTTTAGAGGTTTATTTTTACTATTTATTTATAGAGATAGAGTCTTGCTACGTTGCCTAGGCTGGTCTTGAACTCCTGGGCTCGAGCAATCCTCCTGCCTCAGCCTCCCTAGTGCTGGGATTACTGGCGTGAGCCACTGTGCCTGGCCTTTACTAACTCTTTAAATCCAATTGTGAAAGTAATATACAATCATTGTACACTGTGTGGAAAATATTGAAAAGCTGAAATAATAATAAGAGTCACTGGTAACACCTCAGACCCAAACAAGCCACTGTCAACATTCTGGTATATCTCCTTCCAAGCAGCAAGTGCAGATACCTTTTTTCCCGGTGGCTGGGGGTTGTGGGGAGGGGAACCACACTGTACACACTGTTTGGTAATCTGTTCTTTTCTAGCAAAAACATTTCATGAACGTTTTCCCATGTCACAAAGTGCTCCTTGCATAGAAGTTTTCACAGCTGCCTGGTATTGTATGAATTGACCTGATGTTAACTGATCCCATATTGTTGCTCATATTGCTCAGTTTGACTCCAGTTTTCCACCATTATAAACAATGTTGTATATGCATCTCGATGCCTATCAAACATCCTCAGATAAATTTCTAAAAGTTGATACCTTCTTTTACGACTTTTGATACATTTTGCCACATCGCTCTACAAAATGGCCCACTAGTTTATGAATCCAATGGCAAAGCATGTTTCCTTGCATCTCTGCCAATGTTGGGCATTATCTAGGGGAAAAAAATCTGTCCAGCAAAATACAGTATACCACTGCTGCTTTAATTTACATTTCTTTGATCATTAATGAGGTTCAGTATTTTTTCCATATGTTTGTTAGCTATTTGGATTTTTTTTTCTTTTCCAAAATGTCCATTTGTGTCATCTATCTACTTTCCCCTTGGGGTCGCATCCTTTTATTTATTGACAACAGCTCTTTACATATTAAGAACGTGAACCCATTTTGGCAAACACTACCACAAACCCTTTGAGGCAAACTATGTTGCCAATATTTTCAGCAGTTTGTCTTGCAGCCTTTTCATTTTGTGTGTGGTGTTGCTTTTAACACACCAGTTTGTGGCCAAATGAATCGCTGCTTTCGTCTTTGGATTCTGGCATTGTGTGGATGCATAAAACACCCTCCCCCCTGAAAAAGCTGATACATATTCACTTGCCTTTAAATTGTGTTCTTGTGTTTTTACTCTTTACATGTAAATAGTAATGATTTGTGTAATAGGGCTGCATTCCAGTGTGCGAATGATATAGGGCTGTGATCTACTCTGTTTCCTTATGGCTCACCACCTGTTCCAAACTCACCCACAATACAGTCTATCTTTTCCCCTCTGAGGACACTTATCACAGTCTAAATGCTGATACGACATTGGCTCTGGCCTCTTTCTGCCTGTAGATTGTTAAATTCTTTTTATTTAACTGTTTAAATTGTTGTTTTATAAGTTATCGTAATGTCTAGTAAAATACGCTCTCCCTTCTTTTTTTTTTCAAAGCAAGATCTTTCAGGTAAACATTAAAAATATTTTGTCAAGTTCCCAAATAGAAATTCCACTGGGATTCTGGAACAACATTAAATGTGTAGATCAATTCACGACAAATTGACATTTTTACACTATCAAGTCAATGCATTATCGTCTCATGTGCTTAAGTTGTTTTTTATGTCCCTCAGCAATGTTCACAATAAACAATTTCTAAAGTCCTTTCAAGTCCCGTGAGTCTAGAGTTACACACACACACACAATGTAATGCTTTAGACTTGATGTCCAGGTACATTAGTAAAGGGAGCTTTGGAAGAGACTGAAAGAAAGCAGCGAGTTGCTTCAAGTCTCCATTGTGTAGGAAGCGGGGTCAGGCAACTGGGAGTCAACGCTGGGAGCCCCCGCTTGCTGTAGAGCCCTCCCTCTCAGCCACTGGGAGACTCAGTTGCTCTAAGGTCAGATGACGGACTGACATGGACGGACTCAGCCTCCAGGTCACTCACGTCCATATCACCTGATCGACAGACACAGTGTGGGCGACTGTAAGAGATGTCTTTCTTTAAAAACAAACCAAAAGGTGGTCTGGGTGCAGTGGCTCATGCCTGAAATCCCAGCACTTTAGGAGGCCAAGGCAGGAGGATCGCTGGATGCCAGGAATTTCAAACCAGCCTGGGCAACACAATGAGACCCCCCCACTCTACCGAAAAAGATTTTTAAAAATTAGCCAGGCGCGTTGGTGCACACCTGTAATCCCAGCTACTTGGGAGGCTGAGGCAGAAAGATCCCCTTAGCCCAGGAATTTGAGGCTGCAGTGAGCTACGATCGTGCTATTGCACTCCTGCCTGGGTGACACAGTGAGACCTTGTCTCTGAAAAAAAAAAAAAAAAAAAAAAAAAAAGGCCAGCATTTCTTCCATATTAAAATATTTAGGTTCCCGTAGCCTCCACTGACATTTAAAAAAAAAAAAAAAAAAAACCTAAACAAATTTACAGCCTAAAGACTGTTGGAAAAATCCAGCAAGCTTTCATTAATTTCTTGAATTATACAGGAAGACTCACAGCCACGGAACCCCTGGTTTCTAGAACTAATGAAGCAAAAGTGCAAAAACAATTTTTAACAGTCTTTTGCTCCCTCAAGTCCTTGTTATAGCCAGCCAAGCGCCGGGCTGCAGCTCTTAGAAAGAGCAAACATCTACAGACGTGAGCAACACCAGCAGAACCAGGAGACGCAGCGTCTGACAGCTCCCTCACAGTTCTGGAAGCCGAACCAACATTTTCTGAACTTTAGCTAAATTCATACCCCCTTATTTTTCCTTCATTTGGACGGGGAGGGATTGTGAGCCCATTGATTGCTGCTTCTAGTACAAGGGCTGGCAATTCTGTTTTAGTCCCTTTTTGAAGCTGGAAGGTTGGAACTCCATCTTTGCTCAGCACTGAAAAAGGCCTCTGCTTTTAATATTGCATTACTGAGCAATCATTATAATCTCACCCATAAATTTGCAGCAGATATCAGTATGTGGTCCAAGGCTTTTAGAACTATTCAGGGGAACAGCTCTCACTGACTTTTCACCAGAGAAAGCGGGACTTCCAATTACACAGGAAAAGTGCAGCAAAATGAGGAACATCTCCCTAATTAGCCTGGCCTCACTGGAGTGTCATTCTGGTGCAGATGTGAAAATCTAAAAGGAAGAAGGTGGGGGGCTCTGGAGTGAGCCCTAGGCCACCAGCTCTCCAGGTCTGCTCTGAGCTGGGGAAATGGTACGATCACCTGGGGACTAAGAAACAAGGTCCCCGAGGAAGCCCTCGAGCAGCACCCAGGCCCCATTAGAGCCACCCCCCACTGTATGGAGAAGGCAGCCATGGAGGCTCTTCCTCTCTGCGCCAGCCCACGCTGGTCCACACTGGTCCACCTGGAAGGGAGGGCGCCTTGACCAAACCTCTGTTGAAGGCGGGTCTGTCCTACGGCATTCTCAAGATGAAAGCTGCAGGCTTGGGGCTCAGAAAAGATCTTCTTTCCCAGAGCTCTTGCATTTAAAGGGGTTATTTGCCCAGCTGCAAAATGGGCTGCACGTTCACAGGGAAGCAGCAATTTTGGCTGGGAGGACTTTAATGGCTACAAATTCTGGCAAAGCAAGAAGTCATAAATCAGTAAATAGCACCCGACAACTGCCATGATGGGACATTAAGACATTCCCAACAAGCCTGTGTTGCGAGGTTCGCGGGTCTCACGTCCAGGAGTGGCTGGATGTGGAGGTATCAGTCAATCCCTAATTAGAATACATTATCCATCTTCCTGACACTTCAGTGAAATGTCTATTCCACTCTGAGCTGCAGCTTTGTTCAGAGCAGGTTAATTGATATTCTGATGCCTTCGCTCACCGTACCCCCGTGGCTCGGTTCTGTTTTATCACACATCAAAAAGGCCGTATGCTCAGGGCACTCCAGGCACCAGTGCAGAGCTGGAGGTCTGCACAGCTGCGAGGGGTATGGTATCACAGGAGGGACAAGCACTGAGCAGATGTCACAGATGAAAAAAAAGCAAAGAAAAGACGCCAGTCAGCCTGGGGAACTTGGCGAGGCCCAGCAGAGCACGGCCTGATGCGGCACGAGCCGTCCGGCTTTGTGCGAACACTGGCCTCTTTTGCCCTCCTGACTATTATTAAAGCGCAATTAGCAACTTCACATGGGAAGGCTCTGTTGCCCTCTGGGCCTCTGCCTTTTTGATGCGTTGCCTTTCCGCTCCTCCCCTCTCCTCCCAGGACCAGAGCGTGGGGCTCCCTGGGTGTTTTCCCCAGTCCTGCCTCTGATCTGGCTCGCAGCTCCGACTGCAGACTCCACCGGAGGCATTCCCTGGAGCTGCATGCTCAATCTCTGCAGTCCCAACGAGGCAAGCTGAGGCTGAAGACTTGGACTCGATAAATCAGTTTCGCTCAGTTCCAAGTCTGAACCAGGGCAAGCCTCACAAGAGGCACTGCAGGCTGAACGCGGCCTAATGTGGTTTCCCAACATAGAGGAGAGAGATTCTGTCAGCCAGGAAGGAAATGCATCTTAAAAGATCCAGTTTGGGACAGTGATATGTTCTAAAGCCAATCGGTGAGAACAATGAGACTACCTTGATGAACATAAAAAAATCTGACATCACACTGTCCCAGGAGCAGTTACTTTGGTTTATACAAAAACATAAAAACCTTAGCCTGCCACAGAACCCTAGGATGCCGTCCATATTCAACTCACCTGAAAGATGACTAGCAAGAATTTTTATCTCAAAGTTGAATCCCAAACAATATGCAACCCCTGTTAGCACTGAACGTGGAATGCACTGAACACGGAACGTTAGTATTCCACATTCCACATGTATGACTGTAGCAGGAACCCGTTACCCCTTAACTTGCTCTGATTCCTCCACCTGATCAAGGTGAGGTGTGCCCAGGGCTTTGCCTGACCTTTTTCTGGGCAGCCTAACAGTGATTATGCTCTTACAACGCCGAAATATGCAGGAGTGATTTTTCTAAACAGAGTTGAATTCCACCCTTGATAATCAATGATACATGCGTGGTATTTTTATACAAACGTGCAGATGCGGGGATATCATTACTCCTAGATGTGCAGCCTACAGGCCAATGATCTCTAGGATATGAAAACCTGGTAAAGCCCAAATGCAGGCATTCAAGAGGTGCCTTTTTTTTTTTTTTTGAGACAGAGTCCCACTCTGTCGCCCAGACTGCTGGAGTGCAACGGCATGATCTCGGCTCACTGCGACCTTCTCCTCCCGGGTTCAAGTGATTCTCCTGCCTCAGCCTCCCAAGTAGCTGGGACTACAGGCGCATGCCACTACGCCCAGCTAATGTTTTATATTTTTTAGTAGAGACGGGGTTTCCCCGTGTTAGCCAGGATGGTCTTGATCTCCTGACCTCATGATCCACCCGCCTTAGCTGCCCAAAGTGCTGGGATTACAGGCATGAGCCACTGCGCCCGGCTTCAAGAGGGTTTTTATTAGTTCCTAAATAGTTAAAAAAAATTTAAATTCCTATCAAGTATCTATGGTGCCCCTGAAGCCACTCCATGGAAGAAGACACAGTTTGAAGAACAAATTGTTCTGTCCCCAGATGCACCAGTCTACCCTAGCTCTGAGGTTGGCCCCAAGATAGCCCCCTGCAGAGATAACTCACTTTGGAGGTTCACATTTAGTTCTCCAAGTCAGACATAATGTGCTTTAGATGAAAGTAACAGACACGGATAACCCAGCATCCAGGGCCCATTCCCCTCAAACACTTTAGACCATGTCTGTGGTGTAGACCCACCTGTCTAGAAACAAGATTAGCCCTGGAAAGTATCAGTTTCTTGTAACGGCGGAAAGCAGTGGCTTTGGAACCAGATGACCTGTGCCACAGCCAATGTGTGACTTTCAACCAGTCACTTCATCCCCTCTGGCCTCATTCTCCTCTGCACAATGTGAATAATCAAAATCTAGCTCACGGTTGATGAAATAATTAAATGAGGATTATAAACAAACAGACCAGGCACCGTGGCTCATGCCCATAATCCTAGCACTTTAGGAGGCCAAGGTGGGAGGATTGCTTGAGGCCAGGAGTTCTAGACCAGCCTGGACAACACAGCGAGACCCCGCTTCTACAAAAAAATAAAAAATTAGGCCAGGCGCAGTGGCTCACGCCTGTAATCCCAGCACTTTGGGAGGCCGAGGTGGGTGGATCACCTGAGGTTGAGAGTTCGAGACCAGCCTGATCAACATGGAGAAACCCCGTCTCTACTAAAAATACAAGATTAGCCAGACATGGTGGCGCATGCCTGTAATCCCAGCTACTCAGGAGGCTGAGGCAGGAGAATCGCTTGCACCTGGAAGGTGGAGGTTGCGGTGAGCTGAGATTGAGCCACTGCACTCTAGCCTGGGCAACAAGAGCAAAACTCCATCTCAAAAAAAAACAAAAAGTTAGCCAGGCATAGTGACATGCACCTGTAGTCCCAGCTTCTTGGGAGGCTGAGGTGGAAGGATCACTTGAGTCCGGGAGTTCGAGGCTGCAGGGAGCTATAATTGTGCCACTGCACTTCAGCCTGGGTGACAGAGTGGGACCCCATCTCTGAAAAAACAAATAACAAAACAAGTGTAGTGCCTGGCAACAAAGAAATGACCCAAAGTTAACTAGTTTTATCATTATAATTTTGAGAAAGGTGAACGATCTTCTTTTTCTCTACCTACTTCCAAGGAGTCCCACTTAAGTTTGTAGAACTTAATATTAAAAAAAATTGTTTAAAAAGGCAAATCTCTGGGAAACAGGAGCAACTGGCATTCCAGGTATGAACTGAGGGAAGATCTTTAATTAAGGAGGACTTGGGGTAGACACATTTCTCTTTTTTTGAAACTGGGGTCTTGCTATATTGCCCAGGCTGCTCTCAAACTTCTGGCCTCGAGTCATCCTCCTGCCTTGGCCTCCCAAAGTGCTGGGATTACAGGTGCACCACCACGCCCAGCTGGGACAGACACATTTCAATTAGAATGCGGGGGTCTAGTGAGTTAACAGCTACTGTGGATTCACCCCAAGGTGGG
The DNA here is from genome assembly GCF_000001405.40 of Homo sapiens. Taxonomy (NCBI): domain Eukaryota; kingdom Metazoa; phylum Chordata; class Mammalia; order Primates; family Hominidae; genus Homo; species Homo sapiens. Next base: position 132,836,755 of record NC_000009.12, read on the forward strand.
CTCACGCCATTTGCCATCACTTGGCCAGCTGCCCTCTCTGAGGGGAGTTTGCCTGTCCTCTGGAAGCCCATGTGACTGTTTCCTTATCTGTATAACAGGAATGATGATAATAGTACCTACACTTCATAGCGTTTAGGGTTACAGGCAACGATGTACCTAAAGTGGTGGCACAACGTCTGGCAGATAGCAGGTGCTTAATAAATGTCTCCTGGCATACACAGGCTTTTCATAGTTGACAACTCATTTGAAAAACAGACCAAACTCAGCCTAAGAATGGGAGAACGGGCCAGGCGTGGTGGTTCACGCCTATAATCCCAGCACTTTGGGAGGCCAAGGTAGGCGGATCATGAGGTCAAGAGATCGAGACCATCCTGGCCAACGTGGTGAAACCCCATCTCTACTAAATATACAAAAATTATCTGGGCGTGGTGGCGGGCGCCTGTAATCCCAGCTACTCGGGAGACTGAGGCAGGAGAATCGCTTGAATCTTGGAGGCAGAGGTTGCAGTGAGCTGAGATTGCGCCACTGCACTCCAGCCTGGGTGACAGAGCAAGACTCCATCTCGAAAAAAAAAAAAAAAAAAAGAATGAAAGAATGAGGAGTTGGCCCCCTTCTGCTCTGCCCTTCTGCTGTGGGTGCCCTGCTAGCTCTCGGGAGCAGACGTGGCACCTCTGACTCTCTGCTCAGCCTGCGAAGAGAAGAGTGATGTGGTCAGTACTTCTGGGTCCAGTCCCGTTCCCATCATCTCCGTGCCTCTCAATACTCTCTCCTGCTCCAAGGTCTGCTTGCGTCTGCTCAAACCTCAGGCCCTGTCCTGCATTTGATCATCTCTTTTTCCTCTTCTACTGCAGTGAGAGGGATGATCTGAGGCATCACACATCCACAGAGCATATCGGAACACGCGTTCCTGTCCACATGGAGTGCTACGGCTCTGTATGCAGACACATGATCCACACGTGCCCTTAAGAAGCCCATATCACACCAACCAACCAACCACGCCTCAGCATCAGGGTCTCTTACAGAAACACCCACAAATAAGGGGGCACAGGAGGTGTGCTCACTGTGCTGTGCCCGGCACCTCACCAAGCCCTCAGAAGCCCTGCCTCGCCGTGATGCGGGCCATACGTTTCCTGAGTGGAACTCAGACCTCCACTTCCAATCCCCTGCAAAGCTAACTGCATCTGTATTTGAGGAACACACAGCCAGGGCCTCAGCAGAGCTGTGGATCAATAAAACCGCACTCCTTGGAGGAGGCAAGTGACATCTATAAACCCGTGAGTGTCAAAACAATGGCAAGAAAATCCTGTGTTCCTACTGTCAGTGGGATGAAAGTGGTGTAATTAATGCCAGCCCAATGACACCACAAGGAGAAATAAAACAAACAGCTGGTGGTTCTGTGGACCAGCATCTAGCTCCTCCACTCCGTTACTGTTTCCACTATAAAATACTGACTCATGTTATGGGCAGGGAAGCATAAATCTAAGACCAAAGAGGAGGAAAAAAGACTATAGAAACCCACCATGTAAATTCTAAACTTTTGGCTCCACAGTCAAAAGTGTGCTACGTCCGCTCCCCCTTTACAGTGAAAGAACCAAGTTTCCATGATATTACATGAGATCTAAGAGGAGTCAACCTGGGAACACAAAATAGAATTTTGCATTTCATGTTCAGTAAAGGAAACACCCCCGGCCAGTACAGTCACTTTTGGGGCTGGGGGCCTGACCTTGCTTCCCAAGTGCATCAGAGACCTGACTCCAGGGATCTGCGGACATGGTCAAGGTTCAGAATGGTCCAGGTGTTGCATCTGATGATGGCATTCTTACTGTAGCTCCAGGAGGAAGATTATGCAGAAGCAGACATTTTGAACCTGATGCATTTCTAGAAGGTCAGTTTTTCTTCTAGGTAATGTATTTATCCCTCCTTTGGGTCAGTGGGTGGGGCTCCTGTGCTACGGCCTCATCCGTAGAATGACAGCAGCTCTTAGAACCTGCCTGTTCCTGTCAGCCCTCTGTTCTGAGCCACCTAGAACATTTGCTGGTGCACAGCAGGTGCCCCAGAAGTCTTAGCTGTTGAAAACATCATAGGACAGTCATGCAGGTTCAATGGGAAAATGCATCACAGTGTGACGTGGTGTTCGGCACATATCAGGGGCCAGTAAATGCTAGCTGAGCATTCTGTGTACCTTATTATTTTTTTATTTTTTTGTTGAGACCGAGTCTCCAACTGTCGCCCAGATGGAGAGTGCAGTGGTGTGATCTCGGCTCATTGCAACTCTGCCTCCTGGGTTCAAGCGATTCTCCTGCCTCAGCCTCCTAAGTAGTTAGGATTACAGGCGCCCACCACCACACCTGGCTAATTTTTGTATTTTTACTAGAGATGAGGTTTCACCATGTTGGCCAGGCTGGTCTCGAACTCCTGACCTCAAAAGATCCACCCGCCTAGGCCTCCCACGGTGCTGGGATTACAGGCGTGAGCCACCACGCCCAGCTGATGTGTACCCTTATCTTGATGGACCAATTTTGCTCTTCACCAACTGTGTCTTGGCTTAGTTCTGGCCTTCATTTTCCTTCTTTCCTGTCTTTAATGTAACATGATCACAGGCTCAATGAGTCATGGGGCAAAGTAACACTCTTTTAACACACTGAAGCAGAGACCCGTTCATATTCCATTTAACTGATCATGGGTCCTGGTGGACAGGCTCTGTTTCCTTCCTATGCTTTTGATGGGAGAATAGGAAGACTTCTCGAAGAGGTGCTGGGGAATAAGAGGCGATGTCTAGAATGCATTAGCCAGGATGCAGATGGGGACAGCATCCCTCCGCAGGCTCCTGCTCAGCAGCACCGGGGAGGATGCAGCAGGCCTAGCTTTTGTTAGTCACAGTGTCGCTTTGACTCCGGCAGGGGCTCTGAGCCTCACAGTTAAGGAAGAAGAATGAGGAGACACTGTGAACAGAATGCAGATTGAGGAGGTACCTCCCACCAGTTGAGCACTGTCTTAGTCCGTTTTTGCGGCTTATGACAGAATACCTGAAACTGTGTAAATTGTAAAGAAAACATTTTTTTTGCCGGGGGGGGGGGCGCAGGGACGGAGCCTTGCTCTGTCACCCAGGCTAGAGTGCAGTGGCGCGATCTCGGCTCACCGCAACCTCTGCCTCCCGGGTTCAAGTGATTCTCTTGCCTCAGCCTCCTGAGTAGCTGGGACTACAGGCACCCGCCACCATGCCCACCTAATTTTTGTGTTTTTAGTAGAGACAGGGTTTCACCATGTTGCCCAGGCTGTTCTCGAACTCCTGACCTCAGGTGATCCACCCGCCTTGGCCTTCCACAGTGCTAGGATTACAGGTGTGAGCCACTGCGCCCGGCCCCAGTCACCTCTTAAAGGTAGTACTATGGCTCTCAATGCTGCCACATTGGAGATTAAAGTTCAACATGAGTTTTGGAGAGGACAAACATTCAAACCAAAGCAAGCATCAAGAAAGCAAATTCCTGCTGCAGTCACACTGAAGGTCCCTTCCCTCACAGCCCAGCTCCATCTCCAAAGGAGTGAACCGAGCATCTCACGTGCTTGGCTTCTTGCATTACGCTCGCGTTTGGCAACATTTTGAACCATTCCTAACCTCCAGAGTGGTGGGACTCAATCCCAAGTGGACACTCACACACACACACACACACACACACACACACACACACACACAAGGCAAGTGAACAGGCATGAGGAAGGCAGTCTGCAGCTGGCTCGGAAATTTCACTGATTTTTTTCCTCAGGCACTACACTGAAAAGACTGCTCACTCTCATTCATCCAGGTATGGGGATATAATAGAACTCACTTGAGTGGTGGTTTCAAAAGTGCACCACAGGCCAGGCACAGTGGCTCATGCCTGTAATCCCAGGAATCTGGGAGGCTGAGGCAGGTGGATCACCTGAAGTCAGGAGATCGAGACCAGCCTGGCTAACATGGTGAAATCCTGTCTCTACTAAAAATACAAAAATTAGTCAGTTGTGGTGGCACACGCCTGCAATCCCAGCTACTTGGGAGGCTGAGGTGGGAGAATCACTTGAACCCAGGAGGCGGAGGTTGCAGTGAGCCGAGATCGCGCCAAAAAAAAAGTACACCATGATGTTGCTGGTAGATCATAAACCCACCCAGAAAGTGTCCAGGACTGTTTTCTAACACAAAGCCCAGGTATGAAGAAGTAGCAGACTTCTACTCATAAGGGATCCTCAAATGGCCTTCACCCAAGTCATCCAGCATGTAAAAAGCATCAACTCTAAGTGGACCTCCGGGCTGGGCACAGTGCTAAGTGCTATGCTTGGATCGTCACATTTTAATCAGACAGTGAGACAGCTGTTACTTCAGAGCATGCGCCGCAGCACCTAAGGCCATGCTGCCTGCCTGTGAATTACAGGGCGCTCTACATAGAAAAGCACTGCAGCCCGAGCAGGCTGTCCACACCAGTCCCTGTCTGAGTGTCCCTCGCTGCTGTCTGCCAGCCCAGATATTCAAGGGTCAGCTCAGGTCAGCAGATGTGAACCCGAGCCACGTGTGGAGCCCATAAGAATCACATTCCCGGTGCGTGAAGGCCTCTGCCTTTTGATGAATAATAAAATTCTCCGCACATGACGAGCCGTCATAATTGGGCACAAGTCTTTCCTTTGCCCCCTGCAGCGGCGTGGGGGTAGCATCCATACATGAAAACATTTCTTTTTTTCTTTGCCAGATATTTTCCAGTCTGTGATATTCCAAATGTCTGGTGCTGGTGACATAAAAATGCCTTTGTCAGAAGGCCTGGCACAAACCTGCCGAGTCCAGCTGAAGCCTGACCTGCCAGTCAGGTAGCCAGGAGCCTCTGCGTGGTGGCCTGTAAAATGCCACACTGACCTGGCCTGTGGGACGTCAACCAAATTCCTTCCTCCATCTGGGCCTCAGTTTCCCTTTTCATAAGAGGTTTTTGTGGGATGATTTCTGTAGATGGCTTTTTAAAAGACATTGATAAGACAAACTGGGATTCATCCACCAGGTGTGATCACTTTTATGTTACACATTTATTTAATGCTTTAAAATCAAGCACCCTGGCGCTTGATTCTTGTTACAGTTGATTAGAGGAATAGAGGAGGAGGAGACAGAAAATCTCCTGGCATAGGAGATCAGATTGGAAGACTGGTTCTCAAAAACCTGAACCCGGGGTCCCAAGGGGGGACCTCCACCCTTAGGGTGCAGTGCTTGAACTTTCTCAAGGTGTAGGAGTCCAAGGCCAAATGGGAAACTTGAAAGCACTAATGATGGGAATAATTTTAGAATACAAGGAAGAAGTCGCTAAACAGATCCAAAATTCACAGAAAACAAAGCTAGCACACTGGCCAAAACAATCTCCCCAAAGAAGCCTGAAGACAAGTATGTTCCTAGTGTTGAAACCATTATTAGGGCATCCGGATGTGACTGGATAGGGCTGCTGGATTTTAAACACCTTTGCCTCCTTGGGCCATGTGCATGTTGGGATAAGATTTCACTGCCACGGTGGTACAGAACTGGGGAATTATCCAAATGGCATTGATTGATTCATTATTGACTGGTTCATTCATTCATTCATTCATTCATTCATTCTATAAATATTTACCCAGCATGGAGTCTCTGCCAGGTATCACATGAAAGATCTTGCATTCCTACTCCTAACTATGACAGTGCAGAGTTGGAGAGCAGAATGCTGTGAGCATGTGTAACAGGCAGGTCGGCCTCATCTGGGGCTGGGCAAGGCCAGGGGAGGCCTCCCTGAAGAAGTGACTTGAAGCTGAGGCTGAGGAATGAGAGCAGTTTTCTAGCTAAGGGGTGGGGTTAAGAGCACTGTGTATTCCTTTTCCACTGCTGCATAACAATCTTAGTGACTGTAGACAATACAGTTATTATCACATGGTTTTCAAGGAGTCTGAGCACAGCTCAGCTGGGTCCTCTGCTCAGTCTCAAAGGCTGCAGTCAAGGTGTTGACCAGGCTGTGTTCCCATCTGGAGGCTTGACTGAGGGAGAACCCTCTTCCCAGCTCATCTGGATTGTTGACAGAATCCATTTCCTTGCTGCCACATGACTGAGGGCTCCGGTTTCTCGCTTGCTAGGGGCTGGAGGCCCCTGCAGTTCCTAGAGACCAGCCATGTGGGCTTCTCCAACATAGCTGCATACTTCATCATGCCAGCAAGGAGGATCTCTCTCTGGTCTGCTAAGGCACATTCTTACATAACATAATGTAGCACAGGAGTGACATCCCCTCACCTTTGCCACATTCAGCTGGTCCTGCCCCCACTCAAGGGGAGGGGATTACATAGGCATGGACACAAGGGGGTGGGAAATCACTGAGAGTTGCTTAGTGATATAGTTTGGATATGTGTCCCCACCCAAATCTCACATTAAAATGTAATCCCCATTGCTAGAGGTGGAGCCTGGTGGGAGGTGTTTGGATCATGGGGGCGGGTCCCTCATGGTTTGGTGCTGTCTTCACAATAGTGAGTTTTCAAGAGATCTGGTTAAAAGTGTGTGGCGCCTCCCCCTCCCACTGTCTCTCTCTTGCTCCTGCTCTGGCCACATGATGTGCCTGCTCCCCCTTCACCTTCTGCCGTGATGGTAAACTTCCTAAGGCCTTCCCAGAAGCAGAGCAGATGCCAGCACCATGCTTCTCTTATAGCCTGCGGAACCATGAGCCAATTAAACCTCATTTCTTTATAAATTACTCAGTCTCAGGTATTTCTTTATGCATTGCAAGAATGGCCTAATGCAATTAGGGTCTGGCAGCTGCCCACAAAGGCCTGAGCAGGGTGGGTGCAGGTTGACCTGGAGAAAGGTGGCGGGTACTGAGTGGGTAGATGAGAGAAGTCCAGGGATGAAGCTGAACCGCAGGCAGGCCCAGGACACACAGGGCTCCTGGAAGCAGTGGAGGGTCACAACCACATTTATTTTAAAATAACAAATGTTTCTCTATGTTTAAAGTCATCCTCAGAAGGGTGCACTTTCAAGAAAGTGTGAACATCAGTTGCCTCCAGGGAAGGAAGCTGGGTGGCTAAGGAACAGGAGTGAGGGGGGACTTTGGTGCCTTTGGAACCATAGGAATGAATATATCATGGTAATGAAATAAATTCATTCATTCTTTAAAAAGCCATCCTTCCAGCAGCAATGTGAAGAAAGAGTTGGGAAGAAACCAGGGTAGCTGTGGGGAGATGGATCAGGTTCCAAATAAAGGAAAGGGATTCTTAGCAATTTAAATAAAATGGAGCACAAATGGTGACTATGGTCAAGGTAAAATTTAGAATCTCTTTGGTACTGAGCCTTTCCCCCCAAGTTTCCAGAACTTACTGTCTTATGTCTTGGCTTTTCTTTGCCCTACAGGGGTAGTCTGAGGATTCGGGCACATTCTCTTGATTGTCCCTAACAATGGCTAATGGGTATCCAACAGGTAGAGCCAACTCCTTTTGATCGTTCCAATACAGAGTGCTAATTTTTCTTTCTCTAATGCATTTGATGGTCACTTCAAAAAAAAATTCTTCAAAGAGACTGCATTAGACCAAAAAAAAAAAAAAAAAAAGAAAAAAGAAAAAGAAACGACCCCCCTGCATTAACTACAGAATCCTGATGGGTTATGATTGCGTTATTTTTCCCTGAACACTATTCCCTGCATTCTTTCTGTGCTCTAAATTACCAATTCTAGTCCCTGTGTAGCTAAATAATAATAATTACCATATAAATGAATATGCATATGTGTCATTTTTCTCCCTAAAAGCAAGAAAGCCTGTTTATTTTGGATGAGGGTTTGTTTTGTTTTTGAACAACCAAAGCACATAATTAGAAGTCTAACCTCTTACTCTTGAAATCCTGTCTCCAGCGGGAAGAGATGAAAAGGCAATGGATGCCCCTTAAAGGTTAGAAGAAAGTTTAAAACAAATTGAAGGAGATATTTCTTTACTCTGCAGGTAACAACAGCGTGGACATGATCAGAATCACAGAACTATAAGACTAGAAGGGATTTCCATGCTCAAGACTAGAAGGGATTTCCATGCTCAAGTCCAACCCCATGGTTTTATAGATGGAAAAACTGAGGCCTAAGGAAGTGAAGCTCTCACCAGAGTAACACGCTCTGTGCCTTCCTGAGATGCAACCTTTGAAACAAGAACAGTGGCCAATAGTACAACACTGTGTTTGCATCTCAGTTCTGGGATTTAATTGTGGGATCTTCAGCAAGATACACAACCTCTTCAAGGCCTGGATTCTGCATCTGTGAAATAGGGTAGACAGCAGTGCCACCTCCGCAAGGTTGCTGTAAGGACTCCACAGCACACGGTCCTGCTGCCAATGCTACACTCCCAATCAAGGGGAGTCACCCAGAATGTAATTACAGCCTCTTGCATAGTGCAAGGTGCACCTGCAATGTCATGTAGCAGATAACATGCCAGACCAGGCGCGTAGACTACAGCTACCACCATCATCAAAATAATCATAATAATAACACACATTATAAATACTCAGTCAATATATTATTTATAATACAATGTAATCACATATAGTGTAATGTAACTAATAACGATGTCAATTATAATTGAGATTTTAATTTCTAACAATAGACTTCATCATCATTTTTATGATGGTGACTTGGGATGCATGGTCCTGTACTCTGTCCACACTGCAGGTGCACTATGCAAAGAGGTTATGCAGACCAAGCTTTTAAATAAGCTCAGGAAGAATTCACAGAAGTTAAATGCATATTTGAAAGACTATTCTAGGCCGGGTGCAGTGGCTCATGCCTGTAATCCCAGCACTTTGGGAGGCCCAGGCGAGGGGATCACTTGGAAGTCAGGAGTTTGAGACCAGCCTGGCCCACATGGTCTCTACTAAAAATATAAAAATTAGCCGGGCATGGTGGCATGTGCCTGTAATCCCAGCTACTCAGGAGGCTGAGGCAGGAGAATCGCCTGAACCTAGGAGGCGGAGGTTGCAGTGAGCAGAGATCGCGCCACTGCACTCCAGCCTGGGCAAGAACGAAACTCCATCTCAAAAAAAAAAAAAAAAAATGACTATTCTAGATCACTGAGGGCATGTTTGGGATATCCAGCTGCAAACACAGAGAGAATCACCATATTTTCCCCAGAAACTATCACTCAGTGAGGTAGAAATTTTTTAAAAATCACGGAAACAAATCTGTCCAGGCAGCTGGATCCTGTGTGAAAACTGTGCAGCCTTGTTAGATTCTGGAGTGGGGAAAGAAGGGCAGTGCGGCTTCAAGGGCGTGTATATAGCCAGTGGGACACACAGACGATCACTGGCAGCCCACCCTGAGGCCCTGCATCTCTGGATTCTAGATTTCCACCTAGAATCCAGAATGCTTACCCACCAGAAACATTTTCATTGGAATGCTGTAACTTGTAAAAATTACTTACACGAAATAGTACTGTTTCAAATGTTTTGAGGTTGGAAAGGAGAGAGACTTTGAGGGTTGCTCAGTGGTATCCAGACACCCACCCTGGGCCTTCTGCAATGGATGTGTGGGGTGGATGGGGCAGAGGGGCCCACAGATGCCTTGGCCCCATGCCAAGCCTCTCTTCCAGCTATGAAGTTCAGATCTGCCTCTAACTGACGTGACTCCTTTGCTTATTTATCTGGTTTATTGTCTGTCTCTCCATGACTAGAACTTCTGTTCCTTGAGAGCAAGACGTTTAACTCTCTTGTTCACTGCTTTGGTCCCTGTGCTTAGCAAAGTGATTTGTTGCATGAGAGAATAGATGAATGAATGAATGAATGAATGAATGAATGAATGAATGAATGAATGAGTACTTTTAGGAAACACTGACTGGGGAGCCGGGTAGGCCAACAAACCATGACAAGGCTTTTGGTCACGACTCTAGTGGAGGAACATATCAGGTGGCATGGGGACACGTTGGGGGCCTGTGAATGGCACAAAACACGACAGGGAGTAGATAGGCTTTGCCCAGCCTTTGAGCTTCTGTCCTGGGCTGCATAGCACAGCCCTGGAGCCCCTGGGTCAGAGCGCTGGCCCTGTGCACCATGTGCCTGGTCTACCCTGGCCAGCCCTGCCGCTTCCCCCGGTGTGGCTCTGGGCGTGCCTCAGGCCCTGCAGCTACAACATGGGCACAATAATAGTAACACTGGCCATGTAGGGTCCCGTGAAGCTGGAGAAGCTGCTGGGCGTAGTGCCTGATGCCAGGCTCAGACGCATGCTCCATTCAGGTCTCTGGCTTCTCCCGGGCCGAGATAGAGAGCTGGAGCAGAGGCTCTGGGCCTGCCTGCTCTCCTGCCTGCCTGGATCCCAGAGACTTCTGCCTTCCAGTGGTCAGCAGGCCAGCTCCCGGCTTCTGCTGCACTAAGGCAGCTGGTTGAAGCAAACACTCTTGACCAGGAGAGCGGGCCGGGGGAAGAGCGGCCCAGACACAGCAGTTCCTGCTCAAGTTCCTGGGTCACAGGTGGTTTGGGGATCATAGCATCTTCAAAGGAAATCTGAAAAGGGAAAGGCAGGTCTTCTACCACCAGGCGTGGGGAAGTCCTGCTGCCTTTGCTGACTAAGACAGACCGTGGCGCCATCTCCACCGGGCCTTTCGTTTGGCAGGGGCAGTGATGGTGGCTCATGAGTATGCCACATTTTTTAGGTGCGTGTTATTCCTGAGGATATGAACTACATAGTTTCTCCCTTCCTGTGTGCTTAGAACGAATGCTCATCACACTGACAGTCCTGGTTCCAGGAACTCTTGGCATATTGAATTTGAAACACTGCCTGATGGGCAAGACCATATCCAGCTGTGCTTTCACAGACAGCCCCCACCCCTGCTGAGGGGGTCCAGTCCTGGGCAACTAAGGTACAATTAAGCCAAAGGAGTACCACCCCCCTATATTTGACCAAATTTGATGAGTAGCTATCATGATGAAAAAGAGAAAACAGCTTAGCTTTAAAGATCAAAGAGAGCCAGGCATGGTGGCTCATGCCTATAACCCCAGCACTTCGGGAGGCCAAGACATGTGGATCACTTAAGCACAGGAGTTTGAGACCAGCCTGGGCAACATGGTGAGACCTTGTCTCTACAAAAAATACAAAAATTAGCCGGGCATGGTGGTGCGCGCCTGTGATCCCAGCTACTCAGGAAGCTGAGCAGGAGGATCGTTTCAGCCCAGTTTAAGATCAGCCTGGGCAACATTGGGAGACCACGACTCTACAAACAATAAAAATGAAAAACAGATGGGCATGGTGGCATGTGCCTGTAGTCCCAGCTACTCAGGAAGCGGAGGTGGGAGGATTGCTTGAGCCCAGGAGGTTGGGGCTGCAGCGAGCCATGACCGTGCCATTGCACTCCGGCCTGGGCAACAGAGCAACACCCTGTTTCAAAAAAAAAAAAAAAAAAAAAAAAAAAAGATTGAAGAGAAGAAAGGAAGACTCCCTTGAATGCTTCCAGCCTGGTGATCTGCTATGCAAGAGTCTAATCCAACTTGGCAAATGCATAAGAAATAATGGATAATGGATTAAGGCACACAGCATTTTGTATGGGAAAATGCTGGCCCATTTCCAGTCACTCGGGCCATCTTTCCCTCCCCTTTAATGCTCTGCCAAAAGATTGTTTGGCACTTCCTAGGTAAAAGAGGTGGGAAACCTTAAAAATAGTGACCGACTGATGGGTCAGTTTTAGGAAAAGTTCCCGTGAGGTTGGTTTGACACTCTGAGTTAAGAGTGTGAAATTGGGGTAAAGGACTGGGTTTTCTGGTTCCTGCCTCACTTCTGGCTGCCATTCCCTCCAGCCTAAGACGGCCCCTCCACAGTCCACTCCAGTCCCCTTCACTAGAGGCTTCAGGAATCACTTGACTCTCCCGCCCTGGTTTTTCCATCACAACCCTTCTCACCATCTGCCTTGCCTTGGTCATGTTTGACTCTGCCTTCAACTGCAGATGGTGAGCCCAAGGCAGGCAAGACCATCTTGCTAGAAGTGGGGGGTGCTGAGGAGGAAGGTCTCGGGTGTGGGGAAGGGTCCTGGTAGTGAAAACCATGCAGGGCCTGCAGGGGGCACTCAACTGGAGATGCAGAATCAAGTCGCCGAGCTTGGAAGTCAGGTGACTGGGAGGGAACTTAGTTAAAATGAAAGTCTATGGGGAAGCTGGCCTTTCTTCTAACACTCCTGTTTGCTTTTTTTTTTTTTTTTTTTTGACACGGAGTCTCACTCTGTCGCCCAGGCTGGAGTGCAGTGGCGTGATCTCGGCTCACTGCAACCTCTGCCTCTTGGGTTCAAGCGATTCTCCTACCTCAGCCTCCTGAGTAGCTGGGACTACAGGCGCGTGCCACCACGCCCGGCTAATTTTTTGTATTTTTAGTAGAGACGAGGTTTCACCATGTTAGCCAGGATGGTCTCAATCTTTGGATCTCATGATCCGCCTGTCTCAGCCTCCCAAAGTGCTGGGATTACAGGTGTGAGCCACTACGCCCAGCCGGAAGTTTGCTTTTTATTGAGAGCTCAAGAGAAAGGGCAGAAATGTTTTCATGATCAATGTGAAAGTGTTACTTAGAACAGGGGTTGGCAAGCTACAGCCCGCGGGCCAAATCTGGCCTGCTGCCTGCTTCTAAGATAAAAGTCTTTCTAGAGCACAGCCGTGCCCTTTTGTGTCTGTGTTGTGTACGGCTGCCTTTGTATTACATCAGAGCTGAGTCGTTGTGACAGAAGCCATATAGCCTGCAAAGCCTCAACGAGTGTCTCTCCATCCTTTTCAGAAAACATGTGTCCACCCCCGATTTAGAATAGCCTCTGGGCTCTGGATATCTGCCCACACCTGGGCAGAAGACCATCCACTCACAGTGAACAATTTGAGACAATTCAGATGTAAACACACTGTTCAGAGCCAGTGTTGCAGCCCGGCCGGCAGGGTGTTTGTGATGGAGATCCCATGGCTGAGGGCCATGCAGAACAAGCTCGTGAGAACTGCTACTCCCTCGCCAGCATGCTGGAAAGATTCCTGCTTCAGGTTTGGGGCTTCCCAATCAATATATTTTTGAGACAGGGTCTTGCTCTGTCACTCAGGCTGGAGTGCCGTGGTGCGTGTCGGCTCACTGCAACCTCCTCCTCCAGGTTCAAGCGATTCTCCTGCCTCAGCCTCCCGAGTAGCTGCGATTACAGGTGCACGCCACCATGCCCAGCAAATTTTTTGTATGTTTAGTAGAGACAGGGTTTCACCATGTTGGCCAGGCTGGTCTTGAACTCCTGGACTTAAGTGATCTTCCTGCCTCAGCCTCCCAAAGTGCTGGGATTACAGGCATTAGCCACTGCATTCAACCCTAGTACATTTTTTTTTTTTTTTTTGAGACAGGGTCTCACTCTGTCACCCAGGCTGGAGTGCAGTGGCGTGATGTCGGCTCACTGCAACTTCCACCTCCTGGGTTCAAGCCATTCCCCTGCCTCAGCCTACCGAGTAGCTGGGATTACAGGCACCCACCACCATGCCCAGCTAATTTTTTTTTTTTTTTTTGAGACAGAGTCTTGCTCTGTAGCCCAGGCTGGAGTGCAATGGCATGTGTACGGCTGCCTTTGTATTACATCAGAGCTGAGTCGTTGCGATAGAAGCCTCCTGCCTCAGCCTCCCAAAGTGCTGGGATTACAGGCGTGAGCCACTGCATTCAACCCTAATACTTTTTTTTTTTTTTTTGAGACAGGGTCTCACTCTGTCACCCAGGCTGGAGTGCAGTGGCGTGATGTTGGCTCACTGCAACCTCTGCCTACTGGGTTCAAGTGATTGTCCCTGCCTCAGCCTCCCAAGTAGCTGGGATTACAGGCACCCACCACCATGCCCAGCTAATTTTTATATTTTTAGTAAAGACAGGGTTTTGCCATGTTGGCCAGGCTGGTCTCGAAATCCTGACCTCAGGTGATCCGCCCGCCTCGCCTTCCCAAAATACTGGGATTACAGGCGTGGGCCACCACGCCCGGCCAATTTTTTGTATTTTTAGTAGAGACGGGGTTTTGCCATGTTGGCCAGGCTAGTCTAGAACTCCTGGACTCAAGCAATCCTCCTGCCTTGGCCTCCCAAAGTGCTGGGATTACAGGTGTGAGCCACCATGCCCAGCCTGGCCCTAATACATTTTCAAGTGAGAGACAGATGGAGAAAGAGAGAGAATCTGTAGGTGCATTTAAAAAAAAAAAAAAAAAAGACACAAGTTCTGATTCTGGGAGACAGGAAATGTGCGCCACCCGCCTTGTCAACCCCACTGAAAGTAGCTGTAATACATTCATAAAACACACAGGGCAGCTATTCGAGGACTCAGAAAGTTACCCAGTAGTAGGCAAGTTGGGGGAAAAGACTAGAATCCAAAATACCACCAAACCAGTATCTCCTGGCCTGGCCTTAAGGCAACCTGAAGGCTGAAAGTGGGAAGCAGATGGGAGAAGAGCGAGCTAGGAGGGGAGATACCTCTGTGGGGTTTTTCTTTTCTCTGTTTTCTCACACTCCTGCCTCCAGGCAGTCCTGCGGTGACTGTGGTGGCACTGCTGTGTCAAAGGGGCCTGCAGGTGCCTGAAACACTGAAAGAGGGGACCCTTCTCCAGTCCCAAGAGAACAGGGCAAAGCCCTGTCAATCCTTCCTTTCTCTGTCCTCCCACCACTTGACCCTGGTCATGGGTGCAGTCCCAGGAAGTGAGTGGCAGAGCAGGATAAATAACCTCAGTTTTCTGGCCAAAATACCAAAAAGAGGAGCACCAGGGAACTAGGAGTTATCAGGAGATGACAGAGAGGGGAGCTCAGGGAAGTAACTAAACACAGTGTTTGATGAGATCAAAGGCTCACCCCCAAGCTGTGCACGTGTGGGCCTGACCCTAAACGGCATTTCAGAGACACTGAGACATGAACTGTGGCCAGCTCACTGCCAAGTCCCCAGGTGCCCCTGGGTGATGTGCACATAGCACAGAGCTGCATGGTCGGTCACTGCACGGCACTGCAAAGTTGCTGAACACAGGACTGACATGGAAACCACACTCTGAGAAGCCTGGCTGGAACATGCAACCTGAACCCAACTGAATCAGTCATCTGCTAAGACAAAAATAATGACATTTGCCATAGGATTTAAACAAGACCCAGAGCCTCATAACAATATTTAAAATGTCCAGGATACAAAATTACTTAGCGCAGGGAGAACCAGGAACATCTCTACTCACATGAGAGCAGATACAGATGTCACCACCACGTAACTCAGATACTGGAATTAGCGGATGAAAACTCGAAAGCGGCTATTACAAGAAACTTCCAACTGGTAAAAACACAGAAAGATACAGTCTCAGCAAAGACACAGAAGGCAGAAAGAACCGATGCGATAAAAAACTCACAGGACAAGCTCAATAGTGGAATAAAAAAACAAGGGAAGATTCAGTGACCCTGACAATAGTTCAATACAAATTATCACATGTGACTGATAGAGAGTAAAAACAATAGGGGCCAGGCATGGTGGCTCACGCCTGTAATCTCAGCACTTTGGGAGGCCAAGGCGGGAGGATTACTTGAAGTCAGGAATTCCAGTCCAGCCTGGCCAACATGGTGAAACCCTGACTCTATTAAAAATACAAAAATTGGGCCGGGCGCGGTGGCTCATGCTAGTAATCCCGGCACTTTGGAAGGTCGAGGCGGGTGGATCATGAGGTCAGGAGATTGAGACCATCCTGGCTAACACAGTGAAACCTCGTCTCTACTAAAAAATACAAAAAATTAGCCGGGTGTGGTGGCACGTGCCTGTAATCCCAGCTACTCGGGAGGATGAGGCAGGAGAATAGCTTGAACCTGGGAAGCGGAGGTTGCAGTGAGCTGAGATCGCACCACTGCACTCCAGCCTGGGTGACAGAGCAAGACTCCATCTCAAAAAAAAAAAAAAATTAGGCACGGTGGTGTATGCCTGTAACTCCAGCTAATGGGGAGGCTGAGGCATGTGAATTGCTTGAACTTGGGAGGCAGAGGTTGCAGTGAGCCGAGATCATGCCACTGCACTCTGGCCTGGGCAACAGAGTGAGATTAGGTCTCAAAAAAAAAAAAAAAAAAAAAAAAAAGAAAGAAAGAAAAAATGATAAGAAAAAAAAAGACTGGAGCCTCAGGGACCTGTGGGACAACAGCAAAAGGGTGAATGCTTTGTGTTATTGGAGTTGCAGAAGGAGAGGAGAGAGAGTAGGGTGCAGGAAGTTACGTGAAGAAATAAAGGCTAAAAACTTTGCAAGTTTGGAGGAAAATACAAACCTATAAATTCAGGAGCTCAGCAAACACCAAAAAGAATAAGCCCAAAGAAATTCATCCCAGACATGTCATAATTATACTAGTGAAACCTAAAAATAGGCCGGGCACGGTAGCTCACACCTGTAATCCCAGCACTTTGGGAGGCCAAGGCGGGTGGATCACCCGAGGTCAGGAGTTCAAGATCAGCCTGGCCAACAAGGGGGAAACCCTATCTCTACTAAAAATACAAAAATAAGCCAGGCATGGTGACGCATGCCTGTAATCCCAGCTACTCAGGAGGCTGAGGCAGGAGAATCGCTCAAACCTGGGAGGTGGAGGTTGCAGTGAGCCGAGATTATGCCGCTGCACTCCTACCTGGGCGACAGAATGAGACTCCGCCTCAAAAAAAAAAAAAAAGAAAAGAAAAGGAAAAAAGAAAACTAAAAACAAAGAAAAAATCTTGAAAGTAGTCAGAGAAAAAAATGATGCATTATTTATAAAAGAATTTGAATGACTGTGGATTTTTCATAGAAACCACAGTGGTCAGAAGTAAGTGGAGGCTGGGTGTGGCGGCTCATGCCTGTAATCTCAACACATTGGGAGGCCAAGGCAGGAGGACTGCTTGAGACCAGAAGTTGGAGACCAGCCTGAGAAATAGAGGGAGATCCAGTCTACAAAAAATTAGCTGGGCATGGTGGCACACACCTGCAGTTCCAGCTACTGGGGAGGTTGAGGCGAGAGGATCTCTTGAGCCCAGAAGGTCAAGGTTGCAGTGAGCAGTGATCGCCACTGCACTCCAGCCTGGGCAACAGAGCAAGACTCTGCCTCAAAAAAAAAAAAAAAAAAAAAAAAAGTAAACAGAGTGCTAGCTTTGGCAAGCGCATATACTAAAATTAGAACAATACAGAGAATATTAGCATGGCCCCTTAAAAATTACAAAAAAAGAAAAAACTGTAAGTGAAACATTTGTAAAATGCTGAAAGAAAAAAACTGTTAACCTAGGATTCTAAATTCAGAAAAAAATATAGGAGCCTAGGAGTTTGATAACCAGCCTGGGCAACATAGTGAAACTCTATCTCTACAAAAAGTACAAAAATTAGCTGGGTGTGGTGATGCATGCCTGTAGTCCCAGCTACTCAGGAGGCTGAGACAGGAGGATCACTTGAGCCTGGGAAGTTGAGGCTAAGTGAGCTGTGATCATGCCACTGGGGTCCAGCCTCGGTGACAGAGCAAGACCCTGTCTCAAACGTATATATACACATACATACATATATACATAAAATAAAATAAAAAGAGAAAAGTAATGACATGACCCAATAGGGTTCCTGTGAGGACACATGAATCGGTGTGCAAAGCCCTCCTGTGGCACCCATCAGTGCCCAGTAGACAGGTGCTATGCTGCTGTCCTCCTGAGCCCTCCCCTGCCCTCTCCACCCTCCTTGTGCCCCAGGAGGCCGGCCTCAGTGGACTGCTCACCTGGACTCCTGCCCTTTGACTTCACTGGGTCTGGCAGGAGATCAAAGGATAGGAGGCGAGAGTCTGGGGTACCCCTAATTCTGCCTCCTGCCGATGCCAGTCCCTGGCGCCTCACCATCACTTGTCGGTTGCCTTACCCTCCCATGCTTCTGCGATTGTCCTGTCATTAAATGCTTTCCTGTGACCCCTCTGGATGGGCCAGCTATTTCCTACGGGAACCCTGACCGATACAACGAATTCCACACTGTTCCTTTTCCTTTGACAAAAGCAAAATCCATGTCTGTAGACTGACCTTCACGGAGTTCCCGTTTGCCTGCCTTACCTTCTCTTATGCCTCTGGTCATCTCTGGTCTTGGAGATGAACACACGCCCTTCACCCTCCCCTTTATCTTGGCACTGAAACCCCTAGCTCACTGGAGTCTTACCTGCTTGATGCAATCCTCTTCAGCCAGGCGTTCCTGAATCAGCTGGACGAGCAGCGCGCTGGGAACTGTCTGAAGGAAAAAGGACACACAGAATGATGGCCCAAACCTGCTTCCTGCAGCTCAGGACACAGACCAGCACACACCCTTCACCAACGCCCTGGCCTCTGGAAAGCACCGACCACCATCGGGCCCCGCCCTTCCTCCACCCGCTGCACCCTTTCCTTGAACTCTCTTCTCCCCCCAGCATCTTTGAGGGCCTCCCTCACACATGTACTCACCTTATCCTGTGCCCAAGCCCCAACATGCCCTCGCCCACCTCCACCTGAATAACTCCAGGGCTCCCTCAGAGCCTCAGCCCCAAGTGCCAGCCTGCAGGAAGCCCTGCCGGATCCTCCCAGGCCAGGCTGGTGCTACTTCCCGTGCTCCATCATCCTGGATGGAGAACTCTGTCACTGCACTAACCACCGCACACGCTAATGGACTGCCCACGTGGCTGTGTCCCCAGGAAGTTGTAAAGCTCTTCAAGGAAAGGGACAGTGTCCTACTGACTCTGGACTCCAGACAGTGGCGGGTGGGAGGGGATTGGCTCCAAGACTCAGCAGAGGCGAGTGTGTCCATCTCTTCCCAAGTCCACAGTCAGTGACCTCATGTTGGTAACAAAATTGGCCACGGTGGGAGTGTCTACACCACAGAAATGATAAAGGCTACAATAAGGACTCCCCACCCTGCCCCCAGTGCTGGTTGTTGAATATTGACCAGCAGACCAAATGGTATCAAGGATATAGGAAGCCCTGTCGACCATAATGAAACTTCAAATTCCTTGATGCATTCAACAAGCAGCAATCATGACGGCTAGCATTTGTTGAGCACGTGCTATGTGCCAGGCACTGGGCCAAGCATTCCATTCTTTGCTTTTTGTAACAACTCTGTGCCATCTACACTCCACTTACAGTAACACGGGCCCCCAAAGAGGAATCCCAAAGAGGAGTCGCCCTCTTGCCCCCTTCTGCCTGTATGGTCTGGGTGTGCTCAACTCTATCCTCAGATCCAGAGGAGGGCCCTGACTGGTCTAAGCCAATCCGCATACCCCACTCCTGACCACTGTGATTGATTCAGAGTGTTGGCCCTTTTCATAGAGGAGGAAGCTGAGCCTGGGAGAGGTGAAGCTGCTTCCCCAGGGTACTCCGCACTCTCCCTTCTCTGCAAAGGACTGGGGAGGAAGCAACTCTTCTCAGGGGAGTCGCTGAGGCCTGGCCTGTGCCTTTCCTTGTAGTGCACAACAGGGGCTAAAAATCTCCTCTACACCCACCCACATTTCTGAAAAAGGACATGGGAAGTAGAAATACATTCCAATCAGAAAGTTCCTTGCTGGGGGCGGGGGCCTCCTGGCACAGCCTTTCTTATGCAGAGCAGAGACTCGGACTTGGCATCAGGGCTCACCTCCCACCTCTGCCCAGGGCAGGCTCTCTGCTCCTGGCGGCTGCGATACAGCCAGCTGGGCGACCCTGGGCAAAGCCTTGACCTCTTTAGGCCTCACACACCTAACCAGTAGAAATCAGTAATGAGACTGCAAATGTGGCTTTTATTTTAATTTTCCATACACTCCACTTACAGTAACATGGGCTCCCAAAGTTCCTTTGAGGAGTCACCCTCCTGCCCTTCTGCCTGTATGGTCTGGGTGCGCTCAAGTCCATCCTCAGATCCAGAGGAGGGCCCTGACTTGTCCAAGCCAATCTGCACACCCCACTCCCAGCCACTGTGATTGATTCAGAGGCTGCCTGGGACCCAGTCCCAGCTAGTGAAAGTCAGGCCCAGGACATCAGTGCAATCATTAGGGGCATGAACCCCTGCTTTCCACCAGCTCAGAAGCTGAGAAAATGTAAGAGCGGGAGCTGCGGCAGCCACTTCGTGGGCATGACGGGTGTGGAACGGAATGAAACCAGCACAAAGGGAAAGAGAGAAACCAGACCCAGCTGCAGAATGGCTTTTCCAGGGATGGGGAATGGGAAGAAAAAGGGGAGATAGCGAGAGAACGAGGGAGGGGGCACCTCTGCTGGGAACTGGATGAATATGTTCACTTTAAAGTTATGGGGTCACCATGTTTCTACGAGGTAGACAGCCAAAGTCAAGATCGAGAGCAAGAGGGAGAGACAGAATGAATGAATGAATGGATGGTGCACAGAGGAAAAAGGAGACCAGAGAGGCAAGAAGGAGGCGAGCCAGCATCCAGTCCCTGGCTCCAACATCTGCTGAGATAGCCCTGTATCCTTATCCTACCGCCCCCTTCCCCCACCTTTCTTCCCTAAGCCAGTGGTTCTCAATTTGATTGTGCAACAGAATGCTGGCAGAGCTTCTGGAAACACAAACTGCTGGGCCCCAGCCTGGGAGCTCTGATTCAGTAGCTCTGGGACAGAGCTGAGAATGTGCATTTCTAGCAAGTTTTCAAGGGACGCGGACGCTGCTGGTCAGGGCATCACACCTGGAGAACCACTGGCATAAGCCCACCTACACAGGGCCCCCGGGGTCTGGGGGAAGCTGCTAGAGAGGGAGGGTGTCTTTCCGCCAGTGCCCGTTTCCCTCAGGTCTCCAGGGGAGCTTCCCCAGGCTGGCAAGGGAAGGGGTGGACAGGAAGCAGCCCTGTCCCTTCCCTCTGCATCCCCCCTCCGTCTCATCCTCTCCCCTCCCATCCCCTTTCATCCTTTCCCAGCCCCTCAGGTCCTCTCCTGACCCCAGGCACAGCCAATTTCCATTCTGGGGCTGTTTTTCCCAGATTCCTCTGCCCTCCCTGACAACACCCATTCAGGAGGCAGTGTTCAAACAGGTACAGGATGCAGAGAAGGGTGCCAACCAGGACGCAGGGGGTGCCAGCCAGTCAAAGAGCACCGGCTGAAAGGCGGACAGCCCCGGTGGGGCACAGCACCCCCTGCAGCCTGCACAGCAGGGGACAGGCCTGCGGCTTTGAGCGCAGCTACTCCTGAGCGCCCCCCGCTGCTCCCCGCCACTGTGCTGTCTCCACGCCAGCTTTGATGTGTCACGTCAGCAGCAGGGCTTTCAGAGGCCGCTTCTAGAAGCCCTGCCAAACTGTCTTAGCAGGAATCAGCCTCCCTCCTTGCAGAGCACTGTGATGCTCTCCCACCCCAGCCCCCAAAGTCTGGCATTTGGGGAGAATCAGGGAGAAGCTGACAGTGCAGTGAGGCCGCTCCTGGCCACAGAGAAGGCTCAGCCCCGACTCAGGCCCCTGGCCCCGGGTCTCCCTGCTCGGTGGCACCGCAGCACCCAGTTGCTCCCGTGCTGCTTCCGTGCACTTAAGGGCAGGACAGGCTGTGTTTGCTGCAATTTGGATTTTTCTCTCTTCCCCTCCAGCACCCAGTGCGGCTTTGGTGGGTTTCCCGGCCTGGGGGCAGACTCGCTGATCTCCTAGCCCTCCAAGGTGCCGCCCGCTGTTTTGCTGTTCTGAGGCAGCCAAGTGTGCAGGTGCCAACCCTGGCTCTGCCCCTGGGGCGTCACTTGACTTCTCCCCAGTGGGCTTTCTCACACTGGGATGGCATGAGCCTGCATCTTCCTGTCCCATCTCCAGGCCCCACTCTCAGGGATCCTAATGTCCCTGTGTCAACATGGTGAGTGATGCCTGCTCAGAAGTTGTGGGCATTTTGAGCTACAGTGTGATCTTGGGAAGTAGAGCAGGGAGGGGAACAGGTGAGATGCCCTGATCTGACCCCCACACCCCCCTTCTCCATAAAGGGGCTCCTCCTGGTAGACGAGGGAAACCCAGTAGTCGGACTTGAGCTCCCCTCAGAACTGACAGAACATCCTTTAGAGACAACTCCCATTCCAAAGTTACTGCTGCTCGGAGCTGTCAGAGCAGGTTAGGAGACAGCAGGAACTGCCTCCTAGAGTTTGGGAGGGGGAGACAGGAGGGTTGGGGGACCAGAGACAAGAGGAGGGAGGAGAGAGGAGAAGAGGCTTCAAAGGAAGAGAGCAGACCTCATAGCGTGGCACCCAGACAGGCGCACGGAAGGACGTGGCAGCAAGAGAAACCCTGGACTGGATGAAGGCCAGGAAATTTTCACAGGAGTGACGGAGCCTGGTGCTCCAGTTTCCCTGGGTAGAGCAGTCACCTCCTCTACCCCAAGCCTTCCAAAAAGGCCTGCTCGACGCCACTGCCTGGAGCTGTTGACTCAGGAAAGGGAGGGAGAGACTGAGGGCATTCCCACTGTGTCTCAGTTCAGCCTCAAGAAATGGGAGCAGCAAGGCCAGCTGGAGATGGAGTGGCCAGAAGTGAGGGAGACACCAGGCAGGACTGGGAAGCAACATCTGTGGGCTGTTTCCTAGAAATCCTCAGAACTACTTGGAGGGGACTATGTTTCTTGTGTGCAGACAGAGGTAGGATGAGGGCTCACGTTGTTTTTTTTCTTTGAGACAGGGTCTCACTCTGTCATCCAGGCTGGAGTGCAGTGGAACCATCATGGCTCACTGCAGCCTCCACCTCCCAGGCTCAGCCTCCCAGGCAGCAGGGACTACAGGCGCCCCCCACCATGCCCAGCTAATATTTTTTTCTTTTTTGTAGAGACAGAGAAAAAAAAGAAAGGTGGCGATCCTCCCGCCTCAGCCTCCCAAAGTGCTGGGATTACAGGTGTAAGCCACTGCACCCAGCCAGATTTTTTTTTTTAAACAGTAGAAATTGAAGGCTCATAAGTACAGGATCAGCACCTGAGAGTGGCTCCTCAGTGGCCTTCCCCCTCTCCCCCTTCTCCTCCCTTCTCCTCCCCTACCCTGTCCCCCTCCTTCCCCGTCTCCTCCCCCTCCTCGACCCGGGTCTTCCTCACCTGAGCCTTTTTGTGGTGTTTATGATGTTGAGTCAGACTGTGGGCTTAGAGACAGGGCCAGAGAAAGCAGATGAAGGAAAAAAGACTCGGCTGAAAAGATGAATTCAATTAACTTAATAAATGGGAAGAACGGGAGGCAAAGGTGGCCTCGGGCTGGGGTTCCAGGGGCAGCGTTTCAGGGGAACGGGCCTGTGGAGAAGGTGTTAGGGCCACTACTGTGGGAAGAAAAGGTGGGGGTTTCTGCAGTATTACTGGAAACCATGTCCCTTTCACGGTGTTCGGCGAGAGGACTGGGGCCATTTTGACATTCATTTCGATGGCTCTGACCATGTCCTTGGGTCCCTGATCCCCTCCAGGAAAAGCTGTGGGGTCAGCATCTAGACAAAATCACTCAGGGGAGCCAGTCGCCAGCCAATGACCTTGGCTGGTGTCCAGGGACAGCCAGCGTCTTCAGGGCATCAAACGTCTCTTCCAGCCCGGCCTGGACCCAGAAGCATCACATGTCCCTGATGGTCCAGTGAGGGAGGGGCCTGAGCAGGAGAGGGCCCAGGAGCCATAAGAACACCATCTCCTCGGCGAGATTTATAACTCTGGCTGGCCTGGTGGAATCCTCAGTGACACTTCTAGGTGTGATAATGTGTCTCTATGCGTTTACTGAAAAAGGGCCCTTATCTTTGGGTTGCGGAAATAAATGAAGACCTCCCAAATGAGACAAGCCAAGGCTGTTTACTCAGAGCTTGCTGGGCAAGGGAGTCAGCCAGCATCGTTCACATCTGGCGGACTCGAACGCAGGTAGAGGACAGGGAGAGTTCTAGAGGAAAAGGGAAGGCTCCAGGCATGCCTGAAGGAGGCTGCTGCTGGGGAGCTGGAGGTGTCTCTCTAGAGGTGGGCATTCTACAGGACTAGACAGGGGAGCATGTTTGGCTTTCTCTGGCTGGTCTCAGGTTGGAAGCAGGAACAAAAACTAGAGACACTGCCAGTTATTAATCATGCCCTGGCCATTTGGGATAGGTGGCTATAGGGATGACTTAGTTCAGCTTCCTGGACTATTGGAAGAGAGAGCAGCCTGGCTTCCTGCAAGCCTGGCACAGCAGGTGGCTTCCCGGGTGGGCTCTTGCAGGTCATGGGTTGGTCTCCTGGGTGGGCTGCTGCAGATTGTGGGGCAGAGTCTTATGTTTACAGGAGGTCTTGCCATTGTCCACACTGAATATTCAATCTCAGTAGATCTGGACTAAAACACCCATGGGGAAGGTCAAATGCTGTCTGGGTTTGCTTTAAAATAACCCAGGGCAGGGGGAGCAGGTGAGGGTGCAACCCAAGGCTAGACTGCCATGAGCTGACATCTGTCGAAGCAGGGGATGGATCCATGGGGGTTCTCAGACTATCCTCACTGCTTCTAGATATTTTTATGAGATTTCACAACAAACACTTAAAAACAAACAAAAATCCCTGGCCACTGTGAACCCCCAGCATCCTGGGGCACCATCCCCGTGGGCTTTGTGACACTGCCCGATTCCAGACCGTTCCATGCCTTAGAACATTACAGTGTGCCCTTTGGGAAGGCTTTGCTTAGTGTAACTGTGGTTATGGCTCCAGGGGGTCCCTAAATCTTGCAGCCTGTACCCCCTTCCCAGCCCAGAGCCAGTGCCTAGGACTTAGTAGGTGCTCAGGACTAACGTAAATGAATTAGTAAATGAATTGAGTCAAACAAGCCACCGATTAATTGCTTTATTGAAGGTTCCCTGGCTCCCATACCCTGGCTTGTGCTTAGTTTTATGGGACCATCAGTCTCCTCACTGGCTGGAAGCTTCTGGGGTAAGGAGAAGAAACTCATCTTTGACTCTCCCACAGCACTGCAGAATAGTGCTTGGCAAAAAGGCAGTTAGGAAGTATTTCAGAAACCACTGGGAAATGCCTAAGATGGAGATGTCTTGGTTAACAGTGGCAACGTAAGAGAATTCTGCTTAGGAGGGCAAAGCTAAGACTAGCAGGAGAAAATCAGGTATTTGAAGGTATCATTACTACTTGCAAAAAGAGCCATAAAGATTCCAAATCAGCAGACAATTTAAAGAGGACATTTAATGAGAGGCCTTGACTGGCAGGCACTGTCTGCAGACAAGGCCACGCATGGCCGAGCCTGCCATGTGCCCACTCGCTCTTCAGAACATTTTACTCTTTGATGAGGCCTGACATCCAGGCCTTTCATCTTCCCTCCACCAGAGTTTCTGAGCCAAGGACCCCAACAAGACACCCTTGAAAGCACTTCAATGTGGTTTGAAATATGTTGATAATTAGCAAAATGAAACCCAGGAGGAATTTCCTTAAACTCCCTCCTCTCTGTTGAATTTTATAAAGCTAATAAAAACATTTTTATCCTACAAAAAAGCCTTCCCCAAGAAAGCTTATCTTCTGCAGAAAATGAGATAACCACTTTCTTTCTAAAACCATATTCCCAGCCCGAAAGGCTGGTGTCCCCGCAAGCTGAAGCCACACAGTCCAACTCCTGCAAGACTGCAGGGGCGGCTGGGGGACTGACTTGCCGTGGGGGTGGCCGCCTTGCTGAGCCAGGCTTTCCTTCTCTATCAAGCTGCTGTCATAGGCAGACTTGGGGCTGGGGGTCTGTCGAAGTCACACCCCTTTCTCTCTCTTTTTTTTTTTTTGTTAACACAGAGTCTTATTCTGTCGCTCAAGCTGGAGTGCAGTGGTGTGATCTTGACTCACTGCAACCTCAGCCTCCTGGGTTTGAGCAATTCTCCTGCCTCAGTCTCCTGGGTAGCTGGGAATATAGGCACCCACCACCATGCGCACCTAATTTTTTTGTATTTTGGTAGAAATAGGGTTTCACCATGTTGGCCAGGCTGGTCTCGAACTCCTGACTTCAAGTGATCTGCCCACCTTGGCCTCCCAAAGGGCTGGGATCATAGGCGTGAGTCATTGCACCCAGCCCATCCATACCTCTCATCTGTGAGAACTGCCATCCCCCACCAACCAGGAGTCTTCATAGCCACATCTGAGCTCTGTGGCCTCACTGAGCCCTCACTGCACACCCCTCAACAGAGCTGACTGTGCCTGACACGTGACTAGCTAGCCCGGGCAGATCCCCCTTCCTGAGGATTTGGCTTTGAAGCTGCCTTTGTGGGTGGTCTGAACCGAGAACACAGGAGACAAGAATGGAGTGGTGGTCACGAGTGGCTGGGAGCATGGCAAGAAAGACAGAAGAGAGGAGGAAGAGTCCCTGCCTCAGCCTCCCAAGTTGCAGGGACTACAGGCACGTGCCACCATGCCCAGCCAGAAGGAATTTTGAAGAAATATTTTGAGTTTCTATTTGTATTAAAGAGAAATAATGTGATCAAGCCTTATATTTCCCTTTAGAAGATGTTTTTCAAATATCGAGCTGTTGGTCTTTTAGAAACAACACCCACACCTCCTGCAATGCTCCCCAGCGTGTGTGGGAGGGACAGGGGGAATGGGCACTGCCCGGACCAGAGGGTGGGCTGTGCAGCAGGGTGCCCAAGGCTATGGGAGGGAGACGCCTCTAAGGTACAGAACATGGGGGCTTTCCACTCTGGGGACAGCTGGACAGCTGCCCTTTCAACTGCTGGCGCAGCCCAACCCTGCATCTCCTGGCGCGGGCCGCCAGGTTCAGCACTTGCCTCCATGCCTTTACTCGGCTGAGCCTAAGAAGAAAAAGAGCAAGCCTGGACCATCCCACCAAGGGCTTGGACAAAACAGCCTCCTTCACTCGACCCGTGATCCTTTCCCACTGCAAAAACTCACCTCGGTACCCAACAGGACGTGAGCCCAGTAAAGAATTATCTTCTTCCTTCCTTCACACCCTGCCTGTATCTCATTTTACCCCAGCATTTTCTTGTACTCAATCAAAAATGAAATGGGAACAAACCAAGCAATGGTCAGGTGGCAGTGGGTGTGGCAGTGGGCACTGCTGCTGTGTGCCTACCCCTGTCCCCGGGGCCAGTCCTACCTTCCTTTGCAGATAAAGCCTTCTGGCTTCGGTGGCCGTATAGGAAAACTCATTTAAGATCAGGTTCTCCAGGGTGAGGAGACTGCTGTTCAGATGTTTGCAGAGCCACATTGCCTGAAGAAAGGAAAGAAGAAAAGGGCATTTTCATAAAAACAATAAATACACAAATGACTCTATTAAAATGCCCTGGTCCTTCCCTCTCCTATGGGAAAAGGTTGGCCATGGGGAAGCACAATTATTTCCAGCTGGAGGACGGCCACCAAGGGAGACCCACCCATAAAGCACCTGCTGGCCTAAGAGCCCTGCTCATAGCATCTCTTCTTCTACCAGCATAGACTTAAATGAAGTGGGAAGACCTACAGGCAGGTTACATTTTAGCTGCCCTTGGCGTGCTTTCCAAGCTCTGTGGACCATGAGTTTCATCTCAAGGAAGACTCAGAACAGGAACTTTGAGGACAGAACCTAAGGATGGGTAACAGCCCACACTCAGTGTTCTTTTTTTTTTCTTAAAGATTGGGAGCTGGCATGTGCTGGCCAATGGGATGTTTAGTTCATTGATAATTACTCTATAGTCTATAAGGGAAGAGTAAATTTTAAGGGAGAATAATGGACTAAAACATTCTTGACACCAAAATTGTGCTGATGACTATTTCAGCCTCGAGATGGTTCTGAAGGCCCTTCCAGGGCCTGGGGCTGGTGTGAACCTTCGTTCTTCCTGTTCCTTCATTCATCCCCTGCCAACCAGGAGTCTTCATGGCCACATCTGAGCTCTGTGGCCTCACTGAGCCCTCACTGCACACCCCTCAACAGAGCTGACTGTGCCTGGGACACCTGACCAGCTAGCCCAGGCAGATCCCCTTTTCTGAGGATTTGGCTTTGAAGCTGCCTTTGTGGGTGGTGAGAAACCTCAATGACAGCATTGGGAAGAAGCCCTTTTTGACTGTACATCATATCATCAGATCTGTGTGTCTCCAAAGGGCACTCAGGAGTGGGGACAGCAATTCACCAAAAGGCTTGTTGCTGAAACACCAGCTGCCAGGGCCTGACCTCGACAGAGAGGACAAACTCGATCGCTTCAGCCATGCTGGGACTTGCCGAAAGCAGGTCTCTGCGTTCTGAATCTGCTCTGCCCAGCAGATTCCTACCAGTGACCAGAGAAGAGCTAGGACAGGACGAAGCACAGATGGCCCCAGAATTCAAATGTCAAAGACAAAAGGAGAGCCTCCCACTGAGCAACCAGACTCCTCCAGAAAAACGAGTTCAACGAGCTTGTCTGTCTAAATGCAGGATCTGTCATCCTCATTCCCAATGTCAGAATTACCTGGGGAGTGTGTTCTAACTACTAGTTTTTTGGGGCTCTGCTCCAGGAGATTCTGATGAGGTTGGTCTGCAGGGGACTCCAGGAACCTGCATTTTTCATAGCACCCTGGAAATGCTAATGATCAGCAGGTCTGGGAGTCCCTGGCTTCTAATTGTGAAACAGCAAAATGGTTGGACTCAGGTGGGTCCTGCAGAAAGGCTTAGAACCCTACGGCCTGATATGGAGGAATCTAATAGAAAAACTATAGACTGACAGAAGGGTGAGCAGATGGACAGATGAGTAGAACAGCTATGCTAACTCCAAAAGTATAGCAGATGCAGGTTAGTTTGTGCAAGGATCAGTCATTTTAACTCCTTTTCAGAAGAAAGCAAGGTGCCAGTTAAACCGGGGAACAGCCTGCCCCATCCCGTCCATGATACATGCTCACAGCAATGATGTGGTCACAGAGGAAGGGTTCGCTGATGTTCACCAATCAGGCTTTTAAAAGGTAAAAAAGGTCCCATCTTGGATGAATGAAATTTTAACACATTTTTGGCACTTAAAAATGGACCTTAGGCCGGGCACGGTGGCTCACGCCTGTAATCCCAGCACTTTGGGAGGCCGAGGATCATGAGGTCAAGAGATCAAGACCATCCTGGCCAACATGGTGAAACCCCGTTTCTACTAAAAATACAAAAATTAGCTGGGCATGGTGGCGTACGCCTGTAGTCCCAGCTTCTCGGGAGGCTGAGGCAGAAGAATTGCTTGAACCCAGGAGGCGGAGGTCGCAGTGAGCCGAGATCGCACCACTGCACTCCAACCTAGCAACAGAGGGAGACTCTGTCTCAAAAAATAAAAATAAAAATAAAAAATAAAAAATAAAGGTAAAAAGGGTTCCATCTCAGATGAATGAAATTTTAACACATTTTTGGTACTTAAAAATGGACCTTAGGCTGGGCGTGGTGGCTCACGTCTGTAATCCCAGCTCTTTGGGAGGCTGAGGTAGGCGGATCACCTGAGGTCAGGAGTCCAATACCAGCCTGGACGACATGGTGAAGCCCCATCTCTACTAAAAATACATAAATTAGCCGCGCATGGTGGTGCATGCCTGTAGTCCCAGCTACTCGGGAGGCTGAGGCATGAGAATCGCTTGAACCTAGGAGGCAGAGGTTGCAGTGAGCCCAGATCGCACCACTGCATTCCAGCCTGTGTGACACAGTGATACTCTGTCTGAAAAAACAAAAAAGGACCTTAAAGATCGAAGCCACAGATAAATGAAGCACACACCACCAGTTTCTGGACATTCACTGTCCAGAAAAGGGCATTCACTGTCCAGAAACTGGTGATGTGTGAAAAAGTGTGGGCGAGGTGGGCCCAGGCATTTGCTGTATCTTCAAAGATGTATTTTCTTTAAAATGAGGAGAGAACAAACAAAGCAAATATGGCAAGATGTTAAATTTGCATAAAATCTGGGAGTTGGATACGTGAATATCGATGGTACAGTTTGCTGTGCTTTTCTGATTCTTTTAAGTATTTCACAATTAAAATGCTCAGAGTAAATATTAAGATTCCAAGTCAAAGTCTATGAAATGCGTGTACTGTTGGACCCAGCACGTGTACTTCTGGAAACGTACCCTAAGGATATAGCGAAGGGTGAGCAAGGAGAGCGTGTATGCAGGCCAGAAAAAGCCCAGGAAGGTGTCTCCGAGCATGCTAAAGGAATGCTCATCTCTGGATGGTCAGGGAATTCTATTTTTGGTCTTTTGTAGTTTCTAGGTTTTCTGCTATGAATACACACTACCTTTTGTAATAAGAAGGAGGAGAAGGAAAAGAAGAAAAGCTCAGTTATGCTACAAATTCACGGAGGTGCAGTCTCATTCCAGCTCTGGAGGATCAATGAGATATTACAGCATCACAACACTTAATATGATACACTTACTATTGTTGTTTTCCCTGAGGCGGGTGGACCTAATATTACAATCCTGGGCACTGTGGAATAAAAAGATTTGAATGTCACCACTCAACATGACAAGCAGCCTCCCACACCTGCGGTACTCGGGGTGTACTTATTTCTCCCTCCCTAGATTTCATTTTCTGCCAGTGACACGGCCATTTGTAACCCAGCAGCTCAGAGACACTCTTGCCATGGAACGCATTCTCTGTGTTCAGAGAGGTAAGTGATCACCGAGATGGTTTATTCTTCTGCCTCCAAGGGGACAGAGACACGGTAACTTGTTTACCAAACTCATAAATATCAAGAACAATTGGGATTTCAAACACCACAAAGCATTTTAAACAGGGACTTTGTCTCAGGAACGCTCTCTCCAATAAGGCTGTAATTTATGCAAATCGACCTTAGAAGCTTTTCTTTATGTTTATGCCGTTTTATTTAGCAAATTGTATTCCCCATGATTTTACAGAGGGAAGTAATGGGAAAAGCCTGGAGTGTATGGGCCAGATTTATAAAACCCAAGAAAGGAAAGTCTGTTTTCAAAGATGGGCATTTCTATGCAAATGGAAAACACTGGCACCTTGTTTGATTTTAGTCCTGGCTGGTTTTGGTCCCACAGAATTCCCAACCCAGGCTACTGACAAGAGTGTGATATGAACCACAGGCTCCTGAACCTGTGACCGAGAGTCTGGGCTCACCCGGCAGGTGAAGCTCTGGTGGCAGGCCCAGGCCCTGGCCATCGTGGAAGCTGGGAAGGCATTTTCAGCTTCTGGGGTGGGAGCCAGGGCAGAGATTCAGTGGCCCTTTCTCTGTTCTAGGCCTGTAACCTGGGGCAAGGCCTCCCAGGGCCCTCCCTGTGGGGAGAGAACCCACTGCAGGTGGAAAAACTGCTTGCAGGACAACTCTGGAAACAAGGTGGCTTTGGGGACAAGTGGTCAGGTGAGAGGAAGAGGTGAGACAGAGCTAGAGTGGCTGCTGGCGATGGGAAAAGAGCTGACCAGCATGGTGAGAAGGGTGCAGGAAGGCATCACACTGGGTTGAAATGAAGGGAACAGCAGTGGGGTCTGGACAGATGCATCCACACTGCCTGCCTGCTCAACACCATCTTGATTGGGCCAGCTGTCCCTCTCCTTGTGGGAAGCCGGTAACCTTGGCCTGGCCCCTGACCCAAGGTGACAGATGAACAGATGTCCACTGCAACTCACATGAGCCTCTAACGTCTGCATGAGAGCCTATTCTGGCTGGGCTTTCAGGAGGGAATCTCATCTCAGCAGAGGAGAGAGGTGCTGTATCTTCTAGTTTGGAGGCAGACAGAGAAAAGGAACTAGACATCGTCCTTTTGGCCAGCAATGTAATGGTTAGCACATCTACACCCAGCTGGCTGCTTGGGTTTAAATAGATCTTTGCCCAAAATCATGGCACCTTCTCATTTTTGGAGGAAGTCAAGGTAACTCACTGAATGATCCTCTCCTTTAACCTCAGAAGCTGTGGACCTTCATATTCTCCTTATGGCTGTTCCCTCCACGTTCCTGCCTTGCCACCTGTCATTTCCCATCAGGAATGTCCTCCCTTCCCAGCACCCAGCACCCCCAGCCTCCCACTCCTTCTCCCTCCCCGAGATCCTTGTTCTCACTCCCTGTGGAGGCCCGTGATCAAGTGATGGGCTGCCACAGTCTTCCACGTTGGTGAATGTCAGCCCACTACTGAGAAACAGGTGGAGTTGCTGTCCCCACAGGAAGAGAAGCTCCCAAGGGCAGAGACCGAGTCTTATCCTCCTGGATCACCCCCATGGCGGCCAGAACTGTGAGGAGCCACACACAGTGACCTTCAGGGCCACCTCCTTGGCCATCCCCATCTCGTCCTATGGTCACTGTTTGTCACCTTTGTCACCACCATTACTACTGCCTTACAGAGGGCCCCCTCTGCCAGTCAGCATGTTTGGGTACAAGTGCAGAAACTGAATGCAGCTGAGTCAAGAAGAAAAGGGGGTTGATTGCTCACACCTGTAATCCCAGCACTTTGGGAGGCCGAGATGGGCGGATCACTTGAGGTCAGGAGTTCGAGACCAGCCTGGCCAACATGGTGAAACCCCATCTCTACTGAAAATACAAAAAATTAGACAGGCGTGGTGGCACACAACTGTAATCCCAGCTACTCGGGAGGCTGACACAGGAGAATCACTTGAACCTGGGAGGTGGAGGTTGCAGTGAGCTGAGACTGCGCCACTGCACTCTAGCCTGGGCAACAGAGCAAGACTTCGTCTCAAAATATCTATATCTATATCTATGTCTATTTATCTATCTATCTATCTATCCCAGCGTGGCTCATAAGAGTCCTGCACAGGCTGGGGAGCCAGGCCTTCAGGGCTACCCCACAGGAACAACACCCCAAGCAAGGCCACCAAATGGGCTGGGGAGACACCAGACAGTGCTGCCCGTGCCCATGATGCTGCTGTCACATGTGGGCATGGTGCCGCCATCAACCATGCTGCCGCCATCAACCATGCTGCCCTTCCACCCAGGAAGCAGGCCCTGCGGAGCTGCCAGGAAGTGCTCCAGGTCCTGCCTGTGACTCCGACTCTGGACTCGCCTGGCAGGGGAAGCGCTGGTGGTGGGCCCAGCCCTGACTGTCATGGAAGCTAGGAAGGTGTTTTCAGCTTCTGGGGTGGGAGCCAGGGCGGGCATTCAGCGGCCCTTTCTCTGTTCTAGGC
Source organism: Homo sapiens (assembly GCF_000001405.40). NCBI lineage: Eukaryota > Metazoa > Chordata > Mammalia > Primates > Hominidae > Homo > Homo sapiens. The sequence goes on from NC_000009.12 coordinate 132,869,626, forward strand.
CTGTGGCCTGGGGCAAGGCCTCCCAGGGCCCTCCCCATGGGTGAGAGAAGCCACCATAGGATATAGTGTGGAAAACACTGCTTGCAGGACAAGTATGGAAACCAGGTGGCATTGAGGACACATGGTCAGGTGAGAGGACGAGGTGAGATGGGAGCCAGAGTGCCATGGGAGGTTTGTGGGGAGGAGTGGCAGGGAGGGTGGTCAAGGGTGGAGGAGCCTTGGGCCACGAGGCAGAGGGCTCGTGTGGATCATGGAGAGAGCGCCTGCTTGGCCAAAGTCTGATGAGGGAGCAGTGGGGAACCTGGGTCCACTCATGCACCATCGCCTGCTGCCTCTCCAGGGCTCTGACCACAGGCCCTGCTGAAGCTCCTCCAAACACAGATGAGGCCCAACAGGGCTCAGGGCGCCCAGAGCCCAAGGAAAGGGGAGATGCAGCTCGGCAAGGGCCTTTGGGGAGCGAACCTGACTCCACGCATTCATCTGAGAGTTCCCGGGCTGGGGGCTGCAGGGGAAACCCTCCCCTTCCAGGTTCCTGTAAGTGGCACCCAAATGGTACATGTCTATGAATAGACTTTAAAAGGGGAACATCCACGGCCTTTCTCCCCACCTAATTTCTCCCACACATTTATGTGATTAATTTCATTTTCTTAAAATCTAACACCTTGAAACTACAGCCCTGCTCATGAGTAATTATTTATAAACAGTGTCATAAAAGGCTGCTGGACTGCCAAGAGTAATCAACTTCTTCCAACCACTTCAAAGGAAATCAAAAAACCTTTCCATCCACAGATCCTTTTGAGGTTTAACTAGGAGCATGATTTAAAATTCACAAGAAAACCCTTAGGTATTGGAGCTCTAATACACAGCTTTCTTGGACAAACGTTTGATAAAAAACGAAACATACCATTATATACACCATCGCCTGCTTTAATATTGCCCAGGGCTACTGTAAATGCTCACTTTGTACTAAATCTGCCTTTCTGGCGGCGAAGGGGCTGCCAGCCCAAGTGCCGGGGCTCCCTCTGCTCCCTCGTGTGCTCGCTCACCGGGATGAGTCCGGGGCCTTCTTTCTCTCTACACCAGTCACCAGCCATGTCACTGTGTGTGGCAGTTAACCCCAGGCCCAGTAAGAGGAAGGGTTGAGGTCCTAGCTATAGTTACCCCAGGCCGCTGCATGGCTGGAAGGGGGCACAATGATCTGACACACCAGCCCAGGGGAACAAAAACACACACTGGATGTCATGGGCCTCTCCAAGCCTCCCGCACTCTTCTAGGACACATGAGGATTGGGCTTAGCTGATTCGAGGCTTCTCCCACTCCTAGAAAATTCACCTAGGCGGCCGGGTATGGTGGCTCATGCCTGTAATCCCAGCACTTTGGGAGGCCGAGGCGGGTGGATCATCTGAGGTCAGGTGTTTGAGACCAGCCTGGCCAACATGGTGAAACCCCGTCTCTACTAAAAATACAAAAGTTAGCTGGGCATGGTGGCGGGTGCCTGTAATCCAAGCTAGTCAGGAGGCTGAGGCAGGAGAATCACTTGAACCTGGGAGGCGGAGCTTGCAGTGAGCTGAGATTGCGCCATTGCACTCCAGCCTAGGCGACAGAGCCAGACTCCATCTCAAAACAAAAAGAAAAACAAAAAAACAGAAAAAGAAAAGAAAAGTCACCAAGCAGGGTAGTCTCCCCTGTCTCCCTTCCTCCTTCCCATTTTTGCTTCACTTGTCCACAGAGGCGTGGGCAAAGAGAGAGAAACCCATGGGTGTCGCTCTCTTCTTTCCATTTCAGTGGTTGGGGCTTGAGCCAAAGGACAAAATGTTCTAATATCCATAAAAGCTGCCAGCTGAGGGCCTGCGGTGGAGTGCAGGGCTGTGGGAAACAAATGAACTCTCCAAAACAGTGGTTCCTGGGACCCAGTGACTCGACTCCCTGAGAGCATCCGGGCAAAAAGCTGGACTCAGCTATTCAGGAGGACAGACCCCCCCGGCTGGAGGCTGGCCCCCAGCTAGAGACGGCACGAGGCAGGTCTGGAGCCTAAGCCTCTGCTCGAGAACAACAGAGCAGGTGCAGTGCAGAGAAAGGAGCAAGGGCTCCTTGGAGGGAGCTTCAGGAAAGCCCCAGACCTTCGGATGAAGGGAAAGGGGCGCTAAGGAGGGTGGGAGGAGGAGACAAAGGCAGGGAGGTGGCAGCGGAGGTGGCTGTCCAGCCAACATCAACTGCACTCCATCCAAACCAGAAAGATGATGTTTAAACTTTAAAATTCTGATGAAGTGGATAGTTTGACATTGAAAATTAAAGCTGCACACAGAGGAGCAAGATCAAAACAAAGAGATGATTGAATCTGCCTCAAATTTCTTGAAATTCAAGGTTCTTGAGCTTCTAGGCTGGGGAACTAGGTAAGCCTTGAAGTAGCGGTTTAAGAACACAGAGGGCCAGGCACAGTGGTCCATGCCTGTAATCTCAATGCTTTGGGAGGCCAAGGCAAGAGGATCACTTGAGCCTAGGAGCAGGGACCAGCCTGGGCAACATAGTGAAACCCCATCTCTACAAAAAATTTTTAAAAATTAGCCAGGCGCAGTAGCATGCACCTGTAGTCCCAACTACTCAGGAGGCTGAGGCAGGAGGATCACTTGAGCCTAGGAGGTCAAGCCTGTAATGGGCTGTAATCTCCCCACTGCACTCCAGCCTGAGCAACAGAGACCCTGTCTCTAAAAAGAAAAATAAGAGGGAGAAAATAAAAAAAAGAGAAGAACACAGGGCATGCATGATTTTCAAACTAACAGTAGAAAATGTCAGTGCAACCTAATTTATGAGAGTTCAAGTGGTTACATTATTATCGAGCACATTTTTTTTTAGATAGAGTCTTACTATGTTGCCCAAGCTGGAATGCAGTGGGTATTCAAGATGAAGTCGTGGCACCATGGCCTCTCACTCCTGGCCTCAAGCGATCCTCCTGTCTCAGCCTCCCAAGTAGCTGGAGCTACAGGTGCACCACCACACCCAGCTTTCAAGCACATTTTTTTTTTTTTGAGATAGGGTCTTACTCTGTTGCCCAGGCTGGAGTGCAGTGGTGCGATCTCAGCTCACTGCAACCTCCACCCCCTGGGTTCAAGCGATTCTCCTGCCTCAGCCTCCTGAGTAGCTTGGATTACAGGTGTGTGCTGCCAAGCCTGGTTAATTTTTGTATTTTTGTTTTGTTTTGTTTTAGAGACAGAGTCTCGCTCTTTCGCCCAGGCTGCAGTGCAGTGGCGTGATCTCTACTCATTGCAAGCTCCGCCTCCTGGGTTCACACCATTCTCCCGCCTCAGCCTCCCCAGTAGCTGGGACTACAGGCGCCCGCCACCACGCCCAGCTAATTTTTTTTTTATTTTTAGTAGAGATGGGATTTCACCATGTTAGCCAGGATGTTCTCGATCTCCTGACCTCATGATCCGCCCACCTCGGCCTCCCAAAGTGCTGGGATTACAGGCGTGAGCCACCGCACCCAGCCAATTTTCGTATTTTTAGTAGAGATGGGGTTTTGCCATATTGGCCAGGCTGGCAAGCACAATTTTTAATTTAGAAAAATCTATTAAGCTTTTTACTAGTGGAAACTAGACGTCATATTCCTGGAAGCTGCTACCCATGATGCATCAGGGATTTCCCATTCCTTCAGCCACTACTGACCAGACCAGAGTTTCACAGCTTCTATCTGGGTTAACCAAACACATCCATTTCACAAACGAGGAAAGTGAGGCCAAAGAGAGCCACGATCTCTCACGTCTCTACATTTTAAGATGAGTGAGCTGCAGGGTCCCTGACAGTGGGGAGGGAGGTGGGGGGGTGGCAGGACAGAGGACTGTGCTGCACTGCACTTTCCACTCGCTCTTGGTTGACTTTTAGTCTTACTTTGTTTTTACTTTACTTTTACTCTACTTTTACTTTAGCTTTTACTTGGCTCTTATTTCACTTTTACTTTGTGTTTCCTTTTGCTTTGCTTTCCCTTTGCGGTCCATTCTTTCTCTGGTGGCGGTGTGAGATAGCTGCGTGTGGGCAGAGATGCTCTCCGCAGCCCTGGAATAACAGAGTTCAGCAGCACTCAAGCTCCCAGCACCCACTCGGCCTCAGGGTGGGGGCAGGGGGGAATGCAGGAACTACCTCCACTGGCAAATGGAGTCAGTGAGGCCTGGGGGCGAGCCTAGGTCTGCAGCAGTAAGGACCACTCAGGAGCGCAGGGTAGGCTTAACATCCACCCTAAGAGCAGGTGATGAATCTGGGGAGACAAAACCTCCCACCTGTACCATGTAATAAACAGCCAACCAGAGAAAGGAGGTCTCTAAGAGTCGCTGCAGGGCAGAGTAAACTGCACCAGGAAGGTGGGTTTGGGGAGAAGGCAAATCAGACACGGGGAAGGGGGTCCCAAGGCCACCCCAGCACCGCACCACCCCCGCCTGGGCATATAGGACGCTCAGTCAACATCCGCTGAACAAGGGAATGTCTAGTGAATCAGCCATTTGCACCTAACCAGAGGCTCAGAAAAGGGCCTTTTTGTTGGCCCTTTGTGGGGTCTCTCTCTGTACCTGCCTGCCTAGGTCCATGCAATGGCATCGGGACCCAAGATTCCCTTACTCTGCTGCTCCGCAGCCAGGCCTGGATGCGTCAGGACTTGCATGTGGGGCACAAGGAAAAGGCTTGGAACCTCCTTTCTTTTTTTTAACTACCTAGTGTCATTTCTCACCTTGGGCCTTCTGAACCTCCACACAGGGCATCTCTGGGCTCTGTCCTCAGCTGTACCAAGCACTAATTTCACTGGTGCACTGGTAGCTCCTTCAAAGCAGCTAATGCTCCAACGAAAGAAACATAAAAGCTCCAAGACATCGGTCCTCCCCAACAGCTCACAAAGGACAGGACTGATCCTCCACTTGGCAAATGGACCATGGAGTGGAGTGAGGGGCCTTCCTTGAGTGAGCGCCTCCCTCCTCCCCAGTTCTGTGCTCCGGCCTTGGGTCAGGCTGACCTGCACCGGCCAACTGCAAAGGTTTGGGGAGCTCGGAAACTCATTAACAGGCTCCGATAATGAGACCGTCGGAAAAGCCCAAGAGCTTGCCTGTCTAGGTAGACCAGAAACCAAACTTACACCTGACAAGTGGAGTGATCAGAGAGCTGAAACCCAACAGGCGACATCAGCTAGGGCAGGCGAAAGCATTAATAATTGATTCCATGGGTCATTCTGGGGTTTTCATTTTAATAACTTGGCAAGAGAATTTTTATAAGTTGTGCTCCAAAAGAAATCAAGGCATTTTTCAATGAACCACCACCTCAAGTTGATGAAACCCCTCCCTTCTGACCTCCCTTCAGACACAGGTAGGACAGAATGGTGCTCAGCTATTCTCGGGATGGGGCAGGGTTCCTGGAGAGGAAGAGGAGGAGGAGGCAGAGGAGTCAGGGAAGAAGGGGAAGGAGGAGGAGGGGAAGGGAAGACGAGGAGGGGAAGAGCCCCAGCCAGTGCTCACCATTGTCGTTGTCTCTATGCAAGTGCTGGATCATGAAGGGGATGGGATCTTCGGGCTGGTGGATCAGGAGTTGCTCCAGCATGTTCTGTGGGTGCAGGGCAGACACCCAGGTGGTTAATACCTGCAAGGGCACCTGGTCACCACAGATACCAGCTATGGGGCCTGCTCTCTCCACTGCACCCCACCAAACATGCCTTCAACCTGGGACCCAGCCACCGCCCCAGCTGGCATCTGCTTGGGTCCCCATGAGCAGAGGCATGAGGGGGGCCACGTGGTGCTGCTGCGGAGGCACCTATGGGGAGGCAGAAGTGGAGGAGTCTCGCCCCTGATTCAGAGCAGGCAGTCCAGGGCTCTCTCCCCTGGGGCCCTTTGAGCTTCCCAGACCAGCCTTCTCCAAGTTCTCAAGCATCACCATTCCCCTCAGAGCCTTAGCAGATGCTGTTCCCTCAGCTTGGAAGCTTCTGCCTTGTCCTCATCCTGGCTAACTTCTGCTCAGTCTCAGATCTCAATGGGAACATACCTTCCTGAGTATGTGCACTACGTAAATATGTCAGATGCTCCTGCACCTGCCTGCGGGCATCGCCCTGTTCCACGCCTCACCCTGTCCCTACTCACCAGGCCACCATCCCCCCGGCAGGCCATGGGTTCTGTGGGCCTCCTTGTCTGCCTAGAGCCCTTGGCACCCCAATACCTGGCAGTCATAGCAGATGCCCAGCGCAGATGTTTGCTGGGGAACATGACCGTCACCACTAACTGTGTCTCTCCAGAATGGAACAGAATGTTACCAGCCAGATTTCTAAATAGTCCTGGGATATTCTGGCCATTTCATCCAATCAGGCAAGCATATCAAGAGAAAGCAGCTTCTGGGGTTGCAGAACCCTAGGCAGAGAAATGAGGAGGAGCTCATAGCAGCTGTGCTGCTGCAATAAGGGGTATCCTTGAGCCCCAGGGACAAGGAGGGAGGGGCTGTAGCCCTCTTGGAGTGAAGGGAGTGTGGGGCAGGGAAAGAGCACCGAGCCATGAGAAGTCTTGGTTCCAGCCCCACTGTATCTCATCAGCAAGTCCCTTCCCTTCTCTGGGCCTCAGCTTCTCTGCCTGTTCAGTAGCACAGCTGGAGTGAATTCATGTTTGTATGTCACTGGTGCGATGATGGAATGAGATGATTTTAGATGGTTCACACATAAATATTTTACATTTCATGTTTAAATCATTGTGTATTTAACGTGTATTAGAAATATAAGTACATCAAATCAATAATTTCAAGGATATCACTTAGGATGAGGCAAAAGCGGCTATTTAATTTTTTAAAAGGTGAGTTGATTTAAACAAGTGATTAGTTTAAATGGAGGTGCAGTAGCGGTTATGCAAATCTGTACATGTGATACAACTGCACAGAACTGTATGCACAACAAAAACATCAATGCAGGTAAAAATGGAGGAAATCCAAACAAGGCCTACAGTTCAGGTAATCCTATTGTACCAATGCCAGTTTCCTGGTTTTGACAATGTGCTACAGTTATGTTAGATGTTATCACGGGGGCAATGTGGGAGGGGAGACCAGAAATCCATACTATTTTTTAACTTCCTGTGAATCTAACATTATTTTAAAATCAAAAGTATAAAAAATGGAAATGGTCAAAAACATGGAGGGAATCCACAGATGACTAAGGACTGGAAATACTGGACTGAAAGCTTTCTTGTTGGGAGGCCGAGGCAGAAGGACTGTTTGAGCCCAGGAGTTCAAGACCAGTCCGGGCAACATAGCAAGACCTCGTCTGTACTAAAATTAAAAAAAAAACATTAGCCAGGTATGGTGGCCTGCACCTGTAGTCTCGGCTACTCTGGAGGGACTAAGGCAGAAGGATTGCTTGAGCCCAGGAGTTCAAGGCTGCAGTAAGCCATGATTGTATCACTGCACTCCAGCCTGGGCAGCAGTGCAAGACCCTGTTTCAAAATCAATAAAAGCTTTCCTGGGCAATTCCTCCAACAATCAATGTGGAAAACACACCAGGTTCTCTAGAGCAGACAACAGGGCTCCAGATGATCCCCCATCCTGCCCTGACCTGCTGACTTCTAACCCAGCTAGCTATTTGATTTGTGATTGGCCACTCAAGCAGTTTTAGGAATCTCTTGCTCTCCCTCTATCAGTTAACACTTTCCGAGGGAAATGTGTTTGATGGAGGTGCAGACACGGGTTTCTTCGTCTGGGCTCAGCTGTCTAGTGTGCAGGGCAGAACCTCAAATGACCACAGACACCACTATGCCCTCCATGCCATGCCCCTGGGGATGGGGTGTACCCTGGGAAGCAGACAAATGATCTGAAAACTGAGCTCCAGCTTCCCCTTGCCTCTCAGAACCTTTGAGTGGCTGAGAGTTCTTCCCCTCCAGCTCCTGAAAGCCTTGACCTCCACCACGTGCAAAAGGGAAAACTGGGGCCCTGGCGGGGACGGGGCCTCGCCCAAAGTCACACGGTGAGCTGGGGGCCCAGTCAGGCCTGGAGCCAGAATGAGAGCTTCGGAGCTGCCGGGGACGTCTGGCCCTGAGGAGGAGGGACCAAGGTGGGAGATGCTGCTGTCCCAGAGGCGGCCCTCTCTGAGGATGGAGATGCCAGCTTGAACTCGGACAATGCCCACCTCAGAAACCTGGGCCGAGAGGCTCCCCACAAATTCGACAGATGGTAATTGTCAGCGCCGGGAGAGCCCCTGGGAGACCACCTCTTGCAACCTGGCATTTCACAGGTGGGGAAACCGAGAAAAGGAAAGGACTGGTTCCAGACCATAAGGCCCGCTGGCGGCACAGCCAGGACCAAATCCCGGCTCGAGTGGCCCCCTTCCTCCCCCTGGGTCCGCCTGAGGCAAACCCGGGCAGGACCAGGAGCGTCCCCAGCTCGAGGGCCCCCTCGGGGTCACGGCGACACACGAATCGTACATCCCGAGTTGGGCTGCTTCGTGGGCGCGCGACTCGGCCCCAGCTGCGGGTCCCGGCCGCGCACCCGACGTCGCAGTGGAGGCTCCCGAGCCGCCGCCAGCGTCGCGACGGGCAGGGGTGTCCGGTCACCTGCATCAACTCGAAGATGTGGTTCTCCTCCCCGTACTGGGGCATCTCGGGGGGGATACGGTGCGGGGCGATAGTGGCGTCCATGTAGCCGTCTCGGCTCGCCGCTCCCTAGTAACCGCGTCGCTAGGGCCGCCGCGCCGACTGCGTCATCAGCACGCGCCGCGGCCCCGCCCTGCAGGCTCCGCGCCGGGCCCAGATACCCGATCCTCGGTCGCGCGGGTCGCCCCCGCCCCGACCTCCCCGGCTGACGCGCTCTGCGGCTCGGGCAAGTTCTTTCCCCAACCCCGGCCTCGCTTTTCCCATTTGCGCATCTTAGCGGGGGACACCCTCAGGTGGCTTCCAGCTGGGCCTCCTCGTATCTGAGACCCCCGACGAAACCCAGAAGGGGCAAGTCGGCCCTCCGAGGGGACGGGAGGCAGAACCTGCTTCTGGTTCTGTCAGTGCTCCCCGGCCCGGCTCCCTGTGCCTCAGTTTACCCATCTTTAAAACAGACGCGGGAATAAATGTGGGGGAGGGTGTTTGAAGGGGGAGGGGCGTCCATGAGATGGGCCGGAGGTTCGAGGATCGGGTGGAAATCCTCAGCCCAACTCCTAGAGTCGAGCCCCGGTAGACCCCTCCCAGCTCCCCGGCTCTGGCCAAGCCGCCAAGTGACCCGATTGCTATGGCACCGGCGGTAACAATCACGCCCGCGGCCCCGCCCCTTCTCGCCCGACGTCCCCACCCACCCTCGCCTCCCAAGTCCTGGAACGGGCCTCCCCACCCTCCGGGGCACCGACACTCACGGAGTCACTCCAACTTCTCTGGGTGCTCCGTGGAGCGAAGAGCGCTCTAGGACAAGCAAGGGTAAACAGGGATGAGTGTGGGTGGGCCCACTCGGACCCCACCCCGGCCTCTGGGTCAGAAACTGGAAGCTGGGGTGGAGGATGGAAAGATGGAGGGGTCCGGAGGATGGAGGGGCCTGCACAGCTGTCTCGGGGTGGGGGCGAGGGGAAGGTTCGCGCTGGAGACGGAGCTTTTTAAGTCGTATGAATTCCCAGTGGTACGGGGCAGCTTGATATTTTATTAGTCGCAACACTGAATTGGGATCTCTAGCTCTTGTCTGTTGCCGTTAATCGTAGGAGCTGTAAGAGTTTGTTGAACTCTTTGTGCTCTCGGCAAAATTCTGTTGTCTCTGTACCTTATGGAGAGGGAAAATGGCACAGTCAATGCAGACAGCCCCAGCTTCAAGTTCTGGCTCCGCTTCTTACTGTGTGAGCTTGGCAAACTCTCTGCTTGCTCCGTGCCTCACTTTCCTGCCCTGTGAAGAGGGAACTGCTGAAGGATTTCAGGAGCTAATGTATTGGAGAGTAATTGGCATGCAGTAAGCACACAATATATGGGGCTACTATTAGTAGTAGTATCTCATTTAATCGTTCCAACAATCCTGTGAAATAGGCACCTTCATTCCCATTTTACAGATGAGAAGTTGGAGGATTAGAACAATGAGGAGTGGTTGGCTGGGTAACTTTGGGTGAGTCACTTCCCCTTTCTGGGCTTCTTTTCTCATCAGTTGTTGATCATACAGCCTTAGAACCAGAAGGCCTCTTGAAGAAGAGGCTAATCCAAACTCTCTCATTTGACAGATGGATAAACTGAGGCCCAGAAAAGGGGGAAATCTTGGCTAGGGCCACTGGTTAGATTGGGCAGAGCCAGGGCATGAACTCTGCATCCAGGCTCCAGCTAAAGCCCTTTTCTACCAGCCATCAGCCCAGAGACATGCCCTCCCAACGTAAAAGCCAGCACTGTTGCCTCTTCCCCTCCAAACCGCTTCCTCAAAGTGTGTACACCTTGGTAGGCTTGTCAAACCCAACTGTAAAGATAGCTGGGGAAGAAAAGGAAGCTGCCTCCCCCTGAGCAAAGAACACAACAGCCATGCCTGCCATTTGCACTGGAGAGGTTTGTTTTGCTTCCTGGACATTTCTGAAATGACTTGCCTTTCTCCTCATTTATTTTAAGCCCTAGGCGCTTTTCCTACCATGATTCAATCTTCTTTAGCAGCCTGGAAAAATACAAATCAATTAAAGCCTAAAACCTATGGGTAATCATTTTTTTCCTCCCTCCTCCCCCAGATCGAGAAGTGCCCGTCCCCTGTGCCCTTCATCCACACTAATTTGGCTGCAGTGGCTCTCGTTCAAGGGACGATCACTTCGGATAGCTTATTACAGCTCCTCTCATGACATTCCTGGCGTGCATGTCACAAGTTGCTAGGATCAAGAACAGAGTCAGTTCCTCTCAACCACTACCAACCACAGCTCCCACCATGATGAGGGAAAAGCCAGGCCGAAAGGGCACACGCCCTTTCTCCCTGGAACTCCACCTATGTGCTCTCTCTCACTTTTCTGGAGCTTCACCTTTGAGTCATTTGTAAGCCCTGGGCCAACATTAGGGCAAGGCAAGTGATGCACCCTCAGCACAAAACTTAAGGGAGTGCCGGCAATTCAATCATTGAGGTGGATGTTTTTCACGTTTTAATGCAATATATTTTAAAAATCAAAAATAATGCTGCCTAAAATCCATTTAGAATAACATGTCAAAAATTTAAGTAAAGGTAGGCTCAGTGTTACTGATTTCTCCTTTTGCCTCAGGCCTCAGTATGGCAAGGTGCAGCTATCTTTTTTTTTTTTTTTTTTGAGATGGAGTCTTGCTCTGTCGCCCAGGCTGGAGTGCAGTGGCGCCATCTCGGCTCACTGCAAGCTCCGCCTCCCAGGTTCACGCCATTCTCCTGCCTCAGCCTCCCGAGTAGCTGGGACTACAGGCGCCCGCCACCGTGCCCGGCTAACTTTTTTTGTATTTTTATTACAGACAGGGTTTCACCGTGTTGGCCAGGATGGTCTCAATCTCCTGACTTCGTGATCCACCCACCTCGGCCTCCCAAAGTGCTGGGATTACAGGCGTGAGCTACCGCGCCCAGCCAGCAATCTTTTCTTTACAAATTCTGATGTTGCCAGCTCATGCTTCTAATCCCAGCACATTGGGAGGCTGAGGTGGGAGGATCGCTGGAGCCCAGGAGTTCGAGACCAGCCTGAGCAACATAGGGAGACCCCATCTCTACAAAAAAAAAGAAAAAAAAAAAAGAAAAAAAAGAAGAAAAAAAAAAAAAGAAAAAAGGTAGTCAGGCATGGTGGCACATACCTGAGGTCCCAGCTACTCAAGAGGCTGAGGCGGGAGGATCACTTGAGCCCAGGAGGTCAAGATTGCAGTGAGTCGTGATCACAGCACCACACTCCAGCCTGGGTGAAAGAGCAAGACCCATTCTTTAAAAAACGTTTTTGGGGCTGGGTACAGTGGCTCATGCCTATCATCCCAGCACTTTCGGAGGCTGAGAAAGGGAGATCACTTGAGGCCAGGAGTTCAAGACCAGCCTAGCTGACGTGGTGAAATTCCATCTCTACTAAAAATACAAAAAATAGCCAGGTGTAGTGGCACCCACCTGTAATCCCAGCTACTCAAGATGCTTTTTTTTTTTTTTGAGACAGGGTCTCACTGTGTCACCCAGGTTGGAGTGCAGTACTGCGATCATGGCTCACTGCAGCCTTGACCTCCTGGGTTCAAGCGATCCTCCTGCCTCAGCCTCCCAAAGTGCTGGGATTATAGGCATGAGCCACTGTGCCTGGCCTATTTTCATCTTGATTGCCGAGTTTTTTGGCGCCTCCTTAAGTTTTGCATGGGGGCAAGTGTCTCCCTCACCTCACCCTAGTTGGTCCTGGGTGAGCCGGACACCACGGGAGGCACAACAGGAAACCACTGTGCGTGAGTCAGCATGTCTGCTCCATGTGGCAGGGACCAGCCAAGGATATGGCAGGTGTCAATAAACCATGGACCCCCCATCTCATTCCCCACCTTCAGCTCTCCTTTCCATAGGAGGTTGAGCTGGAAAGAGGCCCCTGCCCTGCCTGCCCTGGCCCAGGCCCACCCCCAGGGCAGCTGCGACTGTCCCTGTGTCTGTTGACAGTCACAGTGCTGTGGCTCTGCTGCAGAAGCATACTCTCTTGTCTTTCCAGGAGACTCACTCAGTGGCTCTTAAGGTGGCTCCTCTAAGGCAGCCTTGCTGGCTTTTGGCTCCAGGGATAGAGGCTCCATGGCTGGGCTCCATCTTGCTAAAGGGCCTCTTCCCCAGCCTCCTCCAAGTGCTCTGATGTACCACCCCCATCATCTCGCGGAGGCCATCTCCTGGTCTGTTCTTGTGTTTCCTTTCATTCCTCTGATGCCATCTCTTCTTGCATCAACTGGGATGCTCCCCCTACCCTGCCTCTTTTTTTTTTTTTTTTTTGAGTCAGGGTCTCCCTGTGTCCTAGGCTGGAGTGCAGTACTGCGATCATGGCTCACTGGAGCCTTGACCTCCTGGGTTCAAACTGGACCCCCAGCTCCAGCCCTGCTCTGGACACAGCAGAAAGAAATATTTCCCAGCCCCGTCTTGTTATTCCTATCCACCTGGGACCTGCTTGGAAGCTTGGAATGTGCCTTCCCTGCCCCAGTCCATGCTAAATGTTCTGGCCCCTTCCATCTCCAACATCTCCCTTGGACTGGACCTGAGCTCAGCACAGCCTTCTCTGACCCCTGCTCATGTGGTGACACGTTCGAGCCTGGCCTTTGTTCTGGAGGCAGTGGAGGGGCAGCCGAGTGTGGCAGCACTGACGATGCTGGTTAGACGTAAGGAAGCCTAGGACCCAGGGTGTCTTGGGCACAAATTTGCTGTGACACCCTGGGCAAAACCTTTCCCTCTGAGCCTCACTTTCCCCATAGCAGCTCAAGGGAGCTGGTTTTCTCAGTCCCTTCCAGCTCTAACATGAATAGAAATCTGTGGTCTGGAGCATTTTGCACGCGCTCAGCAAAACTGTGATGTCATGGAGCACACACCCACAGACTTTTCTGCTCACAGGAGGATTGTAGATGCTCTGTGGAGCACCTAAATCACAGCAGGGACAGTCTGTGAGGCGCCAAGAGAGAGTCCTCCCCACAGCCTCCATGTTACTGATCATGGCATTCCAGCAATTAACAGGGTCAGGGGGCAGTCCACTAGCCACCAGCCCTGCCCTGAGAATGCGCAAACCTGAGACCAAGGCTCCTGCCCCCAGCCCAGAGCAGGCAGACTTACATCTTCTCAAACTAGACAGTCTAGTATTGATTCTTCTCCCCGCTTAATCCATGGGAAGGAATTCCCAGACTTTCCCACCAGTTGCAGAGCAGCTTTACAATAATTTGATCCAAACTGATCATCTCCTGGTTTTATATCCTGTGGCATATCCCTTGATCCCAGGTTTTGCTGACACCACAGCAAGGGATTGGAGGGCGTGTGTGTACACGCGTGCGTGTGTGTGTGTATGCATGTACCTGTATGTGTGTGCACATGCATGTGTGTGCGTGTGTGTGTGCGCGCGTGTGTGTAGATACCCACATCTGGAGAAACAGAACCAGAGAAACTCTGTCCACAGCTGAGGGAAGAAGTCACATTTCCTGGCAAAGAATGTGTTCATGGAGGGTAAATTTCGAGGTCAGGCTCAGCTCTGTCATGGACAGCCTGGGGGCTCTGGACAAGTGTGCAGCCTCCCAGGGCCTCGCTTTCTTCTGTGGGGAGGCACTCACAAGGCGCTCCAGTGAGAGGGGCCATGGGTATCCCTCTCCCCTGACAGTCCTTCCCTCCGGAGCTGGATCCGAGCATTGGGTCCCAGGACCTCATCACTATCCTCTGTCTCCCCATAGATTCCTCTTCTCCTGTAAATGACCACAGAGGAAGACAATGAATGAGGTGAAAGAATCCCTTCGCAGCATCGAGCAGAAGTACAAGCTCTTCCAGCAGCAGCAGCTCACCTTCACCGCCGCTCTGGAGCACTGCAGGGAGAACGCCCACGACAAGATCCGGCCCATCTCCAGCATTGGACAGGTGGGGCTCCCGACCCCCACCCCGGCCGAGGGGCAACAAGCCCAGTCCCCTCTCACAAAAGATGAAACCACTGGGGCCCAGAGAGGGGAAGGACGTTTGCGCCAGAATTAGGACCCGGACCCAGAACCTAAATGATGTAATGAGTCCTTCATTCGTTTCTCTACCAAATATGTAAGTGAATAACAACAAGTGAATAAAGAGGCAGGTTTAAAACTCAGCCGGCCAGGGCTTAAGTCCTAGCTCTACCATGTGCCACTGCTGTGATCTCAGGCCAATGACTTCACCTTTCTGTGCCTCAGTGTCCTCATCTGTGACGCAGGTTCAGTGGTCACCCATAGAAAACCAGGGATTTACTGGTGACCAGAGGGATCCTGTCCTTCCCATCAGATTCCACTGGGGGTTGAGGAACTGTGGGATGCCAAGCACACCGCCAGGTGCTTTCGCAGATGTTTTTATTTAACCTGCATCTCCTCCAGGGTTAGCTGCTGTCCAGGTTTGCTGTGCAGGACTTGGAGGCCTCAAGACCAAATGATCCTTCCAGGATGTTAGGGGCTGGAGCTGCAGTGCAGTTAGGAACACACACAGGCCGGCCCTTCACAGCTTGGAGGGAGTCAGCTTGTGGAAGGGTAACTGCCCCAAGATGGGTGGGAACAGGCGCAGGGCTCAGAACTGCAGAGGAGAAACAGGCTCGGGAGGAACAAGCAACCCTTGCTGGCAGCATCCTTTAAAAACATTTTTTTCTGGCCAGGCGTGGTGGCTCATGCCTGTAATCCCAGCACTTTGGGAGGCCGAGGCAGGTGGATCATGAGGTCAGGAGTTTGAGACCAGCCTGACCAACATGGTGAAACCCTGTCTCTACTAAAAATACAAAAATAGCTGGGCGTGGTGGTGCGCATCTGTAATCCCAGCTACTCGGGAGGCTGAGGCAGGAGAATTGCTTGAATCTGGGAGGTGGAGGTTGCAGTGAGCCGATATTGCGCCACTGTACTCCAGCCTGGGCGACAGAGTGAGACTCCGTCTCAAAAACAAAACAAAACAAAACAAAAACAAAAACAAAAAAATGAAAAAAAACACTTTTTTTTTCTAATTTTGGTAAAATGTTTCCTCAATTTTTTAACTCAAAAAAATGTTAAATATAGAGGCCAGACACAGCGGCTCATGCCGGTAATCCCAGCACTTTGAGAGGCCGAGGTGAGTGGATCACCTGAGGCCAGGAGTGGAGACCAGCCTGGCCAACATGGTGAAACCCCATCTTTACTAAAAATCCCAAAATTAGCCAGTTGTGGTGGTACGCGCCTGTAGTCCCAGTGACTCGGGAGGCTGAGGCATGAGAATCACATGAACCCTGGAGGCAGAAGCTGCAGTGAGCCGAGATCGCACCACTGCACTCCAGCCTGGGTGACACAGCAAGACCCTGTCTCAAAAAAAAAAAAAAAAAAAAAAAGTTAAATGTACAGAAAAGGAGCACCCATATAACCCTCACCCAGATTCACCGACTTGTGACATTTAGCCAATTTAGCCATATTTGCCCACGCATGCAGCCCCTGAGCTATTGGAAAATAAACTTCCTCTTCTGTAAACCTGGACTTCGGGGGAAAAAAGAAAAGAAACTGCCTACATCCTTTTTAGTCCATCCTCCAGAAGCTTCAAAAGTCAACAAGTGTCCCTTCCCAGAATCTACATCCATGCATAAGGGAGTGGCCTTCTTGCCTTAGGTTCAGCCGAAGGCTCTTGGTAAACAGTGGCCTTGTGTTCTGAGTTGCCTCACCCCTCCCCTGCCCTCCCTGAACCAGAAGTGTCCAAAGGTTCCCTGCACACCGCCCCCCACCCCCGCAATGCTCTGTTGTAGTTACACCATGGGGCAGGTTCCTCCTCCTCGACCCCTACAGGTGCCTTTGTGGGTATGAGTGTGAAGAGCCTCTCCCCCTTACGAAGCTGCTTGTGCATGGCAGTCCTTGGGAAGGAACCACTTCAGATTGTTTGGGGAAACATCCCCTAGCAACAAAAAGACAAACGGTTACAGCAAGAAAACCCTGATTTAGATGTAGACCTTTGTGGGTGCTGGAGGAGGTGATACCTGCATCTGTCATCAGATTGTGGAGAGTAGAACCATCTGACTACGAAATGGGTCTGTTCATCTGGCCTGGACCACAGCCAATTCCTCCCTAGCTCGAGATCAGACCTCCGGCTCTGGCCCAACCTCAGATGCAGTCACTGGGTAACCCCATAAGCTCCACTTACTGGCCTGCCCCTCCTTCTCCACCTTGTGAACACAGTACGGCTGAAGCCCAAAGGATTCCAGTCCCTGCTGTTTCCCTCTCAGTATGGGTGGCCCACGCTGGAATTTCTCACAATGAACCCTCTAGAAGTGGGATGACAGGCACTGTGGCATTAAGTCAGGGGGCAGCCCCCTTTTGCTTTAGGCGGTGGTTGGTTCAGGTGGCAGGGGACAGGTGAGGGGTAGGGCACGGAGCCACTGAGCTGGGGACACCCAACTAAGCCACTGGTGCCCTGGGCGGGTTATTTCACCTCTGCAAACCTCCAGTGTTCATGTCATGGTACTGATCTGTAAAATGGGAATTTAAAAAGGTACCTGCTCAGTGTGTAGGGTTTAGATGAAGACAGGCGAGAGCAGGCCCGTAAAGCATTTTGCATGGTGCCTGGAACACTTGATTTTATATCCATCTATCTATCTACCCATCCATCCGTCCATTTAATTTAATTAATTTTTTGTTTTTGAGATGGCATCTTGCTCTGTTACCCAGGCTGGAGTGCAGTGGCATGATCTCGGCTCACTGCAGCCTCCTCCTCCCGGGTTCAAGTGGTTTTCCTGCCTCAGCCTCCCGAGTAGCTGGGATTACAGGCACGTGCCACCACGCCTGGCTAATTTTTTTTTTCCTAGTAGAGATGGGGTTTCACCATGTTGACCAGGCTGGTCTCGAACTCCTGACCTCAAGTGATCCCCGCCCACCTCAGCCTCCCAAAGTGCGGGGATTACACGTGTGAGCCACTGTGCCCAACCGATCCATTAATTTCATATCATATCTATCCATCCATCCATCCATCCATCCATCCATCCATCCATCCATCTATAGAGAGAGAGATACCACTATATAGAGTGGTCTGTACCTTAAAATGCTTAAGCGTTACTTGCGTCTCCCCCATGAGTCATGTAGGGTGGGAGGGAGTAGGGTGGGTGCTTCTGGACATTTGCACCATAAGCCAGCCAGGACCCGGGTTGGCATGTCCCCAGCTCATGTGGCGGCGGCCCTTGCAGGTGCAGAGCTACATGGAACACTACTGCAACAGCTCCACAGACCGGCGGGTTCTGCTCATGTTCCTGGACATCTGTTCAGAGCTGAATAAGCTCTGCCAGCACTTTGAGGCCGTGCACTCTGGCACCCCAGTCACCAACAACCTCCTGGAGAAATGCAAAACCCTCGTTAGCCAAAGCAACGACTTAAGCAGCCTCAGAGCAAAGTAAGTCCCTCTGATGCTGCTCTTGAGGCCCCGTGTGTGCCTGTGGGGAGGCCTCTGTCCTGCTTCTTTCCTGTTGCCTGGATCATGGTGCTCCTATTAGACCACCCCGGGCAGGAAATCCCAGTCTCCACTCATTTATTGGAATGACTCGGATTCAACAAAACCTTTTCTTTACAACCATCGTAGACATGGCAGGACACCAGGTGTCTCACGGGTGTTAGCACCAGGCAGGTGGAGAAGGGGGTGTAGAGCCCAGAGCAGTTGCCCCCAGAAGCCCACAGAGATCCTCACTGACATGCAAAGAAGTGGACACCAGAGCCGCCTCCCAGGGGCAGCAGCACTGGCACTGAGGGCTCCTCATCCTGACAGCCCGGGAGCCTGCAGCACAGTGGGCCAGAGCCTGGGGAAGCTCTGTAGATACCAGGGTGAGAAGAGCCAGAGGGATGAGCCAGCCAGTTCCTCACCCCTAACCCAGGTTTCTACGGACCATGGGGCAGTGGTTTGCATCTCCTGTCTTTCACACCAGAATTACCTGGGGCTTGTGGCACCCCAGGCCTGGTCTGCCAGAATCTCTGGGGACAGAGCGCCTCAGCGTGCTGTGTGTCCAGTTCTAAAGCCTCCCCAGGTGACTCTGCTGTGCCTGAGGTGTGGCAGCTGCTTGCCACGGCATGGCAAGTCCCGGGAGCATGGGTTCACCTGGCCCCCTGCCGTCCTGCAGATACCCTCATGATGTGGTGAACCACCTCAGCTGTGACGAGGCCCGGAACCACTACGGCGGCGTGGTCAGCCTCATCCCCCTCATCCTAGACTTAATGAAAGAATGGATCGCCCACTCCGAGAAGTTGCCGCGCAAGGTGCTGCAGCACGTGAGTGAGCCCCAGGCGCACCAGGAGAGCACCAGGGGAGCCGCTCGTCCTGCCCAGGCCATAGGGACCCAGCCCAGGGCCACTAAACACAAGTGTAGACAGCTCACAAAAGCCAGCCTCAAACCCAGGGGATGTTCAAAACCACCCTGGAGGCCTCCTGGTGGGAAATTGTAACTCAGAGCCAGGAGCTCCGTCGGCGGAGAGCTTTGCTGTTTAATTTGGATTTTACTGGTTGGTCCTTTTTTCACTGGTACCCATGGACCCTGCCACTTACTAACCCCAAGGGAATCAGCCAATATATTACTGAGACTTCCTCTCTCTCTTCTTGCTTTAACTTCTTTTTTTTTTGAGACGGAGTCTCGCTCTGTCGCCCAGGCTGGAGTGCGGTGGCGCAACCTCGGCTCACTGCAACCTCCGCCTCCCAGGTTCACGCCATTCTCCTGCCTCAGCCTCCCAAGTAGCTGGGACTACAGGCGCCCACCACCTCGCCTGGCTAATTTTTTGTATTTTTAGTAGAGACAGCGTTTCACCATGTTAGCCAGGATGGTCTCAATCTCCTGACCTCATGATCTACCCTCGTGATCGGCCTCCCAAAGTGCTGGGATTACAGGCGTGAGCCACAGCGCCCGGCCCTCTTGCTTTAACTTCTAACATTTCCACTTCTAAGCATCAGGCTCCGTGCTGATGAAGAGGAAACCCACTTACAGAAGTTGCCCAAACAGGATGGTGTGGTAGAGGGTCCCAGGAGGGCACTGAACTGTCACCTAGGTCCTCTTTGAGCCACATCCGGCTCCAGTGCCACGCCTGTCCCTGCTGCGGGCTGCAGTTTTGCAGAGGGTGATCAAGCTGGAGACCATCTGCTCCTTGCCCCACCACCAGCCCCAACTGTAGGCAAGGCACACGCTGTTTGCGAGCCAGGGATGCTCCCCTCCAGGATGGAGTGGGGGTCGGCATGTGGAACTCAGCGTGTTTATTTTTTTATTTTTTGAGATGGAGTTTCACTCTGTCTCCCAGGCTGGAGTGCAGTGGCACGATCTTGGCTCACTGCAACCTCCACCTCCAGGTTCAAGCGATTCTCCTGCCTCAGCCTCCTGAGTAGCTGGAATTACAGGCGCCCACCACCCCACCTGGCTAATTTATATATATATATATTTTTTAGTAGAGACGGGGCTTCACCACGTTGGCCAGGCTGGTCTTGAACTCCTGACCTCAACTGGTCCACCCGCCTCGGCCTCCCAAAGTGCTGGGATTACAGGTGTGAGCCACGGCACCTGGCCAGAACTCAGTAGTGTGTTTAGTTCTCTGGACCACAGCCAAAGGGGAATAAACTCACCTTTCCTTCGCCTTTACTTGGGAGAGGGAGACCATGACAGAAGCCAGAATTCTGATTTTGTGGCTCCTGAGCAAGGGCGATGACCTGGTTTTCACAGCGTAGTCGAACCCCAAACATTGTAAAATGTGTCCCTGGCTTCTGAGCTTGCCCAAAGTAATGTCTGACTGTTGGTTTTTCCCTTCACAGGGGACGACTTAGCTTCTGTATTATTGTTGCTTCCTCAGGGGGAGACAGTCAAGAATAAAAAGTATTCTACCACCTCTCTGCCTGACTTGGTTTCCTGGGATTTATCCCTGAAAGAAAACCTACATCTCCCCTAAGACATCAAAGGACACTGGGCAGTAAGCCTCAGCAGACAGCAGAGAGAGAGGCCACCCTAGGCAAGGGGGCATGCCTGTCTCAAGTCGGCTTCTAAGAGGCTCATGCCCAAGCTCCAGAGGACCAGCAATCAGATCTTCCTCCAAGGATGGGAAGTCTAGTTAAGAGACCTAGTCAGATAAGAAAACCTGAATTTTCCAGAGAAATTAAAAACTGCCGCCTCCCAGCCTTAGTCTCAAAGGAGTTGCTTCAACCATTAAAATGGGCAGAGCAGGGTGGGTGCAGTGGCTCACGCCTGTAATCCCAGCACTTTGGGAGGCCAAGGCGGGTGAATCACTTGAGGCCAGGAGTTCGAGACCAGCCTGGCCAACATGGTGAAAACCCGTCTCTACTAAAAACACAAAAAAACTAGCCGGATATGGTGGCAGGCGCCTGTAATTCCAGCTACTTGGGAGGCTGAGACAGGAGAATCACTTGAACCTGGGAGGCGGAGGTTGCAGTGGAGTTGAGACCAGGCCACTGCACTCCAGCCTGGGCGACAGAGTGAGACTCCGTCTCAAATAAATAAACAAAACAAATAAAAATAAAATGGGCAGAGCAACGCTGATTTCCAGACACAGCCAGGCAGAGGCAAGCAATTGAAAGCCACATCACAAATGAAATTCATCCCTGGTCCTTATATGGAAGTCCCAGGCCAAGAGATCATAAGCCAGGGTAGATGTCAAAATTGTGTAAAGGCAGTTTCCGGCCTTCTTCTAAAGCCCATGAAGGGCACGGAGAAGGGAATGTTGGGAGCTGTACTGTCTCCTTGGCACACTCACATTAACACAACCAGCAAGGCTCAAGAGGGCAAGCTCTGGAGCACTGAAGTGTCAGTGTGGTGCCACCAAAACATGGGACACCCAACATGCCAGCACGGAGGAGCCACACACCCCTGCAGACAGCCTGGTTCTTGGTTTTTCTGTAGGCAGGATTCAAATCACCCCCTCCCACACTATGCCACTTGGCCACTCATTGAGGAAGAGCATGAATTTGAGGCAGATACAGGAAGGATTTGTGGCTGTGCACCAGACCATTTGCCAGAATAAAAAGGGTCTTCTTAGAGACAAAAGCCCAAATCCATTATTTGTCAGGCTCCTCTTCCAGTCACCCAAGGTAGCCAAACCAGACCCTAAGGCTTTGTATCTTTGGACCAGTCCCCTGCTTGACCTGTAAGCCTGCCAAGGCCAGTGTAAGCCACTCCATGTCCACACAGCAGAGTAGTGCAAAACAATAAATTTTTATTTGTTCACAGTTAAACACAAGCAACTGCCTTGACATTTTAGAACATTCTAAGAAGGACAGCAAACTCTTTTGATTCCAATTCCCATTCACTAAGATTGTACCATTTTATCCTGCAGTTCATATTTATGGCATCTGATGTGGATTGTTGACATGCTTTTAGGATTGAGGCGGGAAAGTTTAGACCTTTTGACAAGAGCTGACTTTCTTCAATTTAACTAAAAGCAGTCCGTTAAAAAAAATCAGTTTCTTTCACTGATGGGACCCCTTTAAACTGCAAGTTTGCCACACATGGTTCATTCATGATTGAGTTATAAAACTAGATTATGTCTTAGCAAAATCTGTTCCTCCGTAATATATTTGTGGTCCATAGAAGTCTTCTGAAAAGTGATTACTGATTCTTCCTAGTGCAAAATGCGTGGCTGCCTCTTTCATAAGCCAAAGTACTTGCTACACAGAGCAGCACCATACCCTCCTGTCCAAACACTGTAAGAGGTGGGGAAAGGGAGGGAAGGGTTGGTCTGGGGGTTCTCAGACTCTCAGGGTTTCCACTGAAAGGTCCATTCCAATGGTTAAACCAGCCTACTTATCTCAGAGGATGGATAATGTGGCGCTGCGAAGTGGGGAGGAAGCTCCTCTGCCATCATTAACTCGTTTCATGACCAGAAGCCATGGGCACAGGTGCTCGGCTCTTCCAGGCAGGCTTCCCTTGTAGCTACAGCTACTCTTCCCTCAGGCGAGCAGATAAGGACTGCAGGACGGCATGGAAGAGACAGGAACACGCTCCCCTGGGCACATCGAAGAGTCCCGGACAGGCAAACAAGCCACATGGGACAAGGGTCACAGCAGCAGCCTAGGGGCCAGTCCTCGACCTAAACTTGTTCTTTCACCTACAGACAAAAGCTTAATCAAGTGCAATCAATGCCTTGGGATCTTTGCAGCAATCTGGGGGGCATGTGTCACAGAACTCTGGATGTAAACAGATACACAAACATCTTCAGACTGGATACATTTTTCCAATACTTGTTGCGGGTCGGTTTTAAAGCATGTACCCTGGAGAGTGAAGGTGCAGCAGATAGGTATACTGATTTGAGTCACTCCACACCAGGCAGCTTCCTTCTCCAGGTGGGGCAGAGCCCCCTGGGGGAACAACTCTCCAAGAGTATCCGCAGGAGGTGGGCGGCACCCCATCTCACCAAGGTCCTGGCCGGGTCTTCGCTCTGCCCAAACCCTCCTCCAGCCTGTGCAGGCCTCCTCCCACCTCTTAGTGCTTTCAGCGAGAAAAGGTGAGTCTCATTACGCAGAACTTTTGTTTGCTCTTCGGTTCTTTCCTTCTTCAAGTGGTATGCTCTACTATTTGGTAGAAATTCACATTGGCTTGTCACAGCACACTTCAGTTCTGCTGGCTACATGAAACGCATACCCAGTTTTCTATTCTTAACAGTGAGTCTGAGCCTCTGTGGTCTCAGAGATCCTTTCATCCCCATGACCATTTTATACATCCTCCCCTCAACAACTGCTAGAGTTTTATCTTTCCCAACAAATATACCAGAAACTATGTGTGCTGTTGCAAATGGGGACGGCCCAAGAGTCTGGAGTTTTGTTCCCTGCTGCCCTGCTTTTACCCAGTAATGTGCGGCATGGTGGGTGAATTTTTCTAATTGTCCTGGGTCGTAACAGTTCACCTTCTCAGAACAGTTTGGACTGTTTCCCCAACCATGTCACATAAGCTTTGGCTCACAAAGTAGCTCACCTCTCGCCTCTCCACTCTTCAAGCTTAGTAAGAAGATTCCGCAGCTTAGTCCCAAAGGTCAGGCAGTTTTCTCTCCTGAAAAACTCTGTGGACACACCTAGAGAGGTCACTGTCTGCCCACCTGCCTTAGTAATGCTGGTCCTAAAACTCATCTCCAAGGACATCTTTCACAACTTCTCCATCTAAGAAATGACCTTGACCTTCCTACCTTTGGGTTTGTTTTTTTTCTATTCATGACCACGTGTTTCTTCCAATCCCATAATAACAATTTTTATAGACTGTATAGCAGAGCCTTGTCAACGGCTTTTTGAAAATCCATCAAAGTTCTATCAGATGCAGATCTGTGTGTTTATTCACCTGCAGGGACTCCGGAGCTCATTTGCTCTGCGTCTTCCTATCCCCCTCCCCGCTAAAACTGTAGTGCACCTTTTTAAAGGAATTCCATGCTGCACAGCAGCAGACTTCGGGCTCCTCGGGGCCTGTGCTGACTCTGGTTAGTGTCAGGTGGGGATCCGAGTAGGTTATGCACATTGGCCAAACAGCTGAGACAGGTATGCTCACCCATAGTGATTTCTGGATGGAGGCCATCCAATCCCAATATTTATGAATACCAAGCTGCTTAATTGGTTTCAAGGTAGACTCTGCCCTTAACGCTTATTGTACTAATACCTTTGCCCAGGACTGAATTGCCTCTCGAGAGTAATACTGTCACCTTTCCATCCTTAGAACTACCCACTGCAGCATGATCAAGTGACCTGTTGACTCTTGGCAGGTTTATCATGTCCAAAACCAAACCAAACCTAACTACTGACTCTGGAGTTCTTTGCAACATGAAAGCCTACATTTTTAGGTTGGGCACCTTCAACATGACTCCAGGTCTCATTCTCCCAACCGTAGTTGAATAAAACCCACAGCCTCCTAGAACTCAAAGGCACCTGAGCTTGGAGCCACATTTGTTATAAAGCTGAGTAAAAGGACACCCAGGCCGCATGGATGAGCTGAGGACCCTGTGCAGACACGTCCATGGAGCTTCTAGCACAGGCCTCTCTCCATGCTGCCTCCTTTCTTCCCTTTATTTTTATAAGCTGTCCGTTTCTAAAATGTTTTTTCTTTTGCACTTGGGCCTCTTTTCCTTTCCAATTCAGGAAAAGGCTTTAAGTGCCTGGTATCTTGTTCTATGGCACAGATCTCTTGGGCATGAGGAGAAGGAAAGCACTTAAAACCAGTTTCAGGATTCACTGATGGGATTTCCTTCCCTTTCTAAGTTTGTTCACGTTTTCCTTTTCTAAAACGGAACCAGGAAACTAGACTGTATTGGGTTTTAAGCTTTCCTTTGGACAAAGCTGAATTAAATGTGTGGTGTCACTAATACTCCACATCTGACAATTCAGTACCAACTGCCAGCCTGTGCTAGGCTGAGTAGTTGGGACCACGCCCTGCCACAGGCTGGGAATCAGTCACACCCAGAAAGCCTGCCTGAACAGGTTTTCTGCTGGTATAGCTAGGGTGACAGAGTCTCTAACTGTCTAGTCCCCTTTAGTTAGGGATGCTAGAATATTTATTGCCATGCTAAAAAAAAAAAAAAAAAAAAAAGACTTTCATTCTCTCTGCTCGAGGCCTCCGTGGGCACTAAGATTTCGTACCGTGACAGTTTTTTACCTCTTTATGACTGAATCCTTCTATTCTTTTTAATGAAAGATAGAAACAGGAAAGCCAAGTTCACTGGCTCCTTCCTACCAAATCCCCCTGCCTCAGCTGGAACACCAGACCACAGTTCTTAGGCTTCTAGCGTTTCTTTCAGGAGCACTTGTTGAGTTTGGATTCTCTGCCACTGCCAATTTTCTGACTAGTGTCATCTCTCGGGAGCACGTGGGGCAGCCTAGTGGGTATACACAGCCAGCCTTTGCCAGCATTCTCCCGGACTCTGTTTAGACTGCTCTGCCATTACTAACATGGAGAGTGTGATGACATCAGCTCCCTGGAGAGTCAGCCCCTGAAAGTTGGAATTGGTATGAAAAAGCTGCCCCTCTTCTGGTAGCCTAGAACCTGCTACAGTGAGGCAACCCTAATGGCCTGGGAAATGATGGTCACATACACTTTGCAGAAACTCTTTGGACCTTCAGAGCCTTTCTGCTGCAGTGTCACATATAAGCTGACATGAACAAGAGGCGTATGCACACAAAGGGAGGCCAGTAGACAGAAGGGTTTAACAAAAGGCCCAGCAAGCTGAGATGGCCTAAAGGTGCAGTTCCTCATGCTCAAGTGCTTCTCGGGTAACCTCTCCCAGTGACTGCTCCTTCCCTCCTATGGAGAACAGGTTTTACCACCTACACACCAGCCTGTGGTCACAATAGTACCAGCATTCAAGCAAACACCAAATAAATAAGAGGTAGTGGGGGAAGAAGAGACAAGAGCTTTCCCAAAGGGTGTGTGGTCTCCACAGTGCCAGCTCCAGATTTCTGAAACAGGCTTCTGTTTACACAGAACTTTCTAGGAAGCTTATCAGAACTGCCAAAAGAATGCAAGTATGAATAAACCGTTGTTCTTCTAGACCTGCTGCTTTAGATGCTGAACTTCAGAATCAAAAAAGCAGTCGGAAAGTCTCATGTAAACGCTTTCATGTAAAGACAACCAGCTTTGCAGGCTATGTCCTCCTGGAAGGGACAAAACCAGACTTACCTGCAATGCAACAAACTACCTGGTCTAATTGAGAGCCAACCCAGTTATCTGAACTTCGGGAAAGCAGAAAGTGGTGTGTTAGACTCAAAGATTAAATTTGGCCTCATATTGCACAGGTTCAAAGGACGCAACCATTTGGGGGGGAAAGGAAGAAAGTAAAGCTACTGAGGAACACCAACTGGCCCTTGGATTAGAACACACTGCGAGGTAAATGAGAGGGGGTTAGGGCGGGTGGAGGGGAAGGTCAAGAGGCATTTCAATGCCAGATCCAAAAACCGTTCTGCATTCAGTCAGCTGTCCAAAGGACCTCCGTCCCATTTCCACACATGAACTTGCACTCAGACCCTGGAAACAGGAAAGCTTTGAAACGTGCATTCACACCTCCTGTTCTGTGCCAACAATATGCAAGTTAACACTGATTGACCATCATTCCTTAGCTGTGTTCATGATGAGTCTCATTGTAGTCCATGATATGTAGCTGTCCAACACTGTCCGGGGTCGGGGGAGACGGGTGAGGGCCATCTAGGTTCAGGGGAATCTTGGCTTCCACACCCAAGTCTTTGCCCAGTTCTGTCTTTAGGCTCTCAGAAAGGCTACTGGTCATGCCGTCCTCATCACACTGGCTCTCGCTCTTATTACGAAATAACTCTCGAGCCTTCATACCCAGGAAGCTTTTTGAACTGGGAAGTGAGCCCACAGTGGTGGGGATGCTGGCAGACGCTTCTCCCATAGTCGTCTCCCACCGACTGCTGAATGGGCCTGCCCTCTGGTGTGGGGGTTTCTCTGGGGTAGAAAGCTCGCTGCTGCTGCTGCTGCTGCCTCCACCACCTCTGCTTCCACT
Source organism: Homo sapiens (assembly GCF_000001405.40). NCBI lineage: Eukaryota > Metazoa > Chordata > Mammalia > Primates > Hominidae > Homo > Homo sapiens. Next base: position 132,896,643 of record NC_000009.12, read on the forward strand.
ACTGCCCCGGGCGCTGCTGGGCCTGGGGGTCTTGGTCTCACCGTTGTGGCCAGATGCCTCTTCATTGTGCCCTACCATGGAATCTGAGCACCCGTCATTACAACAGTCAAGCCTGTAAGAAAGCCGGGGAGGAAAAAAGGAGCTGGTGATTGGACTGTCCACATTCGGAGGATGTGGAATTACACTGACACTCACTCACACTGACACTGAACTCCGCTAGCCCACTCTCTGTTTTATAATACTGGACTCAAGAGATCTCATCAAGAGAAACCTAAATCACAACTAGGGATAGTAGGTGGCAATCTTAAGTGTGAACACTTCCTGTGGCCATATGGAGGGACTCAAGGCCAGGAACACGAACACGAAGAGATCACTGGGCGTTTTGAGGAAAGGAACGTCAGAGTGGGTCTCTGACACGGAGTGAGCTGAGTGTTGCAGCCTGTCTAGTCAGCAGTAACTGCTTCCCACACCACGTGACACAGTCCTTATGCTGGAATTGGCAGCTTAGTCCCAAGGTCATGAATCAGTTCTTTGTTCCTACCTTTCTTCTGCTGCTTCAGCTGCTTCTGCTTTTTCTTCTTCAAGTTTTTTCAGGAGGCCATCTTTCTCCAACCTGCCATATAAATCTAAGATCTCCAATTCAAACACCTGGGTTATCCTTTTCTGAGCCTCATACCTGCTCTCTGCGGCCTGCAGCTGTCCTCTGAAAGATACAGACCAGCCAGAATATAGGAAGTTCCACTTAATAAAAACACAAAAGCCTTTCCTGATGAAAGTTACCTTGCCTGGAGTTTGACATCCTCTAGATATTTCTTCTGTTCCAAAAGAAGGTGGTCTTTCTTGGCCAGGTGAGATTCCAGTTCCAAAATCCGTTTTTGGGAGGTATCAAGCCTCTGAGTCTGCTGGAGAACATGGCTTCTGTTTTTTTCTAGCTCTTTCCGATAGGCGGCTTTCATCATTTCTACTTCCTGAAAAAAAAAAAAAAAAAAGACTGGAATTAGTACTTATAAAAAATAAACATGCTGTATCCATTTTGAAAAGACAATGTAAGAAGGACTGAGAAGGCATTTTAGTATACTGATAACAGAAATATAAACTAGTACAACTTTATGGAAAGTAAGCTGGTAGTATTATCCTAGTAACCCTTCCTTGAAATCTATCCCCAAGCAAATCATGTGAAACATAAATAGAGATTTTGCACAAAAATAATCATCACAGCATATTTATAAGAGCAAAAACCTGGAAACATCGTTTAAGTCTAATGTCAGGGGAACAGTTAAGTAAATTAAAATACATCCTATATTTCTAAGTCTTTTTAAAAAATGATATGGTGTCAGTAAAAAGATTAAAAAGCAGACTACAAGACTGTGTGAATAGTACAATCAACTATGCGAACATATACATATACAAAACACCAAGTGAAAATACGCCACTATCCAGTTATCATTTCAGTCCAGTGGTACCGCAGGTCACTTGCTTTCCTTTCTCCTTTTCTCCCCCTCCTGACAATAGCGCAGGTGAGGCTACAGAATGGAATGCCAATGGAGCAGGTCTGCTCAAGCAAAGCAGCCTTTGCAGACTGGATGCCCTGACAAGGTTTGTTGATCGTGCTAAGGCAGATGGCCTGCTGCCGACAGATTGGAACAGCTTGAAACCCAGAGCAAGTACACACTAATGCTCAGAAAGAAGGCGGAAAGGGTATTTTTTTAAGCCTGTGTTACATTTGTGTGTGTATGTTTACCGTGGTAAAATATACAAAACACAAAACTTGCCATATATTTGTTTTTTAAAAAAGATAATAAACCATAAACAGCAAGGAGATGAGCTTTCACGAAGGCGCCCTGCCTTGATGCTGTCTGGTAAGCCCAATGCTTCCTTGTTATAGAACGCAACTGATTGAAACTCAGAACTGGCTCTCGGATAATGCGGCTGTTCCAGCTGTGCTAAATGGCTCGACTTCAGCACAGGGTGGATGAACGCATCTATCTGGCCTTCGTCATAAACAACAGGACTTATTCATGGATAATCATGCAAAGCATTGAACCAGGAACATCCGTGCACTCTCACTAATCCTTACAGCTACCCCTACCAACTGTTCCCACCTGATTCCCCACCACTCACTCTTCCTCCTCCTTTGGATGGAACAAGAGCAACCCTAGCTCCAGGTTCAGGAGCAAATCCTGACTGGGTTGAGGCAATGACTAGGCTAGGGATGGGCACAGGACAGGCCTGGCCAACAGGGGTGATGAGAAGTATGGTGGGATCATCTGGGAAAGGTTTTCTTTTCCTTTTCTTTTTTTTGGAGACAGAGTCTTGCTCTGTTGACCGGGCTGGAGTGCAGTGGCGTGATCTCGGCCCACTGAAACCTCCGCCTCCGGGGTTCAAGCGATTCCCCTGCCTCAGCTCCCCAAGTAGCTGGGACTACAAGTGTGCGCCACCACACCTGGCTAATTTTTTGTATTTTTAGTAGAGACGGGGTTTCACCATGTTCGCCAGGATGGTCTCGTTCTCCTAACCTCGTGATCCACCCGCCTCGGCCTACCAAAGTGCTGGGATTACAAGCATGAGCCACCACGTCCAGCCTGGGAAAGATTTTCTTGCTGAGGAATAGGAAGAGATGCTCTCCTCTTCTGTGGGGACATCATTGTGTCTGCCTGTCATATCTGTGCCTGTGGCACACACCTGGCAACCATGAGTGCAGCTAGCTGGAAGACAAGGTCTGCAGGATAAGCAAGGCAGTGCAGAAGAGTGGAAAGAGCCTGGCTCCTCGATGCTGTCCCTGAATGGCCAACTTGACCAACCTGGAACTCACCTGCCTCACAACCTCTTGTCAAGTGAAACAATACAGTTCTTCACTGTTAAGCCAGTTGAGTGCTTTTTGTTTTTGTTGTTTTTTTGGATATTGTTAGGCTTGGTCTAGAACTTCTGAGCTCAAGCAATCCTCCTATTTCAGCCTTCCAAATAGTTGGCACTGTAGGCATGTGTCACCGTGCCCAGCCCTAGTTTGGTTTTTGTTGTCTACAATTGAAGGCATCCTGACTATCACAACTCAGCTGCATCACCCGTTTTATGAACTGGGAAACAGGGCCCCATGGAGAGGCAGCTACTCAAGGTCCCAAACAGCACAAGGACTCCTTGGAGGCCGCCCATCTAGGCTTCTCTCAGGAGATGGCCCAGGCACGTTTCAGCAGCTTTTTCAGGAGCTCTCTTGTGCCTCGGATCTGTTTCTCCCCCTTTCTGTTCCCAGTCATTACACCTCCAAAATAAGTGATAGCTGCTTTCTAGAGAAAGTCCCACACCTAACATCCTTCTAAAAAAGGGAGTCTGAATCTGAGAGCTGAGAGGAGCCAAGAAATAAAGAGTAACTCTATTAGGAAAATTACTCTCTCCAGTTCTAAGACTCCTCTCTACATCCGGCCGAAAAAGACTCTTTACAAAGCACATGCCCAAGAAACCCAAAAAGAAGGCCCATGTGTGATGGAGAAGTTAGTGACAGGAAGTATCTGAACAGCTACTATTAAAATTCAATTCCCACCTCATTCACTAACATTACCTGAGGCTATTTATAAAGTGACTTAAAACTTCTGCCTCGACACCACTGGTGAGGCACTAATTAATGTAAGATCATCCCAATGCTGGCCTTGTTGCCAGGACTGAACTACCATCTGCAGAAATCCAACATTAAAAGGAAAAAAAAAAATGGTATGTACAGCACTCTATATCCATGGTCCTGAGAGGTATGTTAAACAGAATTGGTCCCCCATCCTTCTTTTTCTCTCTCCCTCTTTGAAAGGCAGCCTAGGGAAGAGAAAGGAAACACTTTACACCTACTCTCTACCAACTACCATTAGGTGCTTTCAGTGTGAGTTAACTTCAAAGCAACCCAATAGGAGAAACAAGCTCACATGGTGGCTGGAAAGTGCTTGTATAGCTGGACCACGGAGTAGTGGGACTGCCGCTCCGTCTTTTAGGAAATAAGTCATCAAGCCATTCTCTATGCCATGCGGGAGACATACTGTCTGGGTCTGAAACGCTTTCCCCACTAAGGTCTGGCTCCCGAGCCCTGGCATACCTTTGTGGTATCTGAGTGCTTGTTCTGCAGTTGTTCCAAATAGAGCTCGTTGACCTCCCCAAGAACCAACAGCTGCCTGTTCAAGAACTCCATCTGCTGCTGGACCGACTCACTGTTTGAGAGCTAACCAAAAAACATGAGCAAAGTGAAAAATCCGACGACATAAAACTAGCACATAGACGTCATTAAACAGGGAATCAGCTAGGAGCACACTATTTCAATGTTAAGGCAAAATAAACCAGTCCCATGGGTTCACAGTCCCTGACATAATGGCAGGTGGGGAGGATGGTACCCAAGGACAACAAAAATAGACAGAAACACACTTCAGAACTGTGCTTTGCAAAGGGGACAGCACAAATGCAGTCCATCAAACTGACCACCCACAGAACACCTGGAGAAGGTGGACAGGTATACCACCAAGGCCCAGTGGCATAAAGCCCTAGGGAAAACTCACCGTTCTTGACAAAATGATGTATGAAGTGCAGTGATTCCCAAAGAAGGAGGAATCACGCTCAAAAACCTGAACAAACTTTTGACATTTATGTAAACAAGGTATGAAGAAAGAGTTCCATGGGATACACATAGAGCAGGGTTTAGGATGGATACTTCTTTGTTGCAGGGGGCTGCCTGTGCATTGTAGGATATTTGGCAGCACCCTGGCTCCTACCCACTGGATACCAGCAGCACCAAAAACATGAACCTAAAATGTCTCCAGACATTGCCAAATGTCAGGGACTATGGGGGCAGCAGAACCACTTCCTGTTGGGAACCCATGACACAGACACTCAAGTAATCTATTTCTTTAACCTGTCTGAAGGAAGAATGTTAGCAAATGGTGTTTCAGCAGATTCAGGTCTGCCTCATTTCTTCTTACCTTTTGGGAAACCTGACTGAGCAGCAGCTCAGTGTGACACACCTTGTTGTTGGCCTTCTTCAGTTCTATCCGCAGCTCCGCAATCATGTTCCTGCAGTCCTCCAGCTTCGTCTGCCCAAAGAGACGTGGACATGAAGTTTGAGGAACACCAACAGGCCAGATCACAGGCCTACCTAGCCACCAGCCCACAGAGGACTGGGAATGCCTTAGCTCAACGGCTCTACTTTCTTGGGCCCTCAGAATTTGATGTCTTAGTTTTAAAAAGTAAGTTATGGTTGATTTCTGAGTTCCTTACTGTTTAACAAAAGAAAAAAAGAGACCTTAGATCCTCAGTTCCCAAACTGTGCACCAAAGAGCCCTGAGGCTACACAGCAAACTCACAGGGATGCTGCAGAAAGATTCTGAATTTTCGAGGGAGACGCAGCGCCATCTGTTGGACACTCTGTGAATTACTAACTGGCTGGAAATGATGCTGTGTCTGTGGATGACGTCTTTGTGAAGCCGGGTTTTTTTGGGTGCAGTGATACAAAGCACCACAAGGAAAACCAGTGTGGAACAGGAAATGAGGGTGTCACTGTCCACTCTGATTTCAAGGTCTGAGATACCATGCAGTGCCCAATAGGTGCACACGAGGCATTAGTAATTGCAATTATTTTTTTAAAAATTAATTTATGTGTATTATCTGTGAACAGCTACTAAGTTCTTAGGACATTCGTACTCACTAAGTTATTCAGATCTACTTAATGAGCAGAACTGTTAACTGTTTCCTTTTGGCTGCAGAAAAAAAAATGACTGAGACACTAAGGGAGCTACTATATGAACCAACAAAGTTGGGGAACCTCTGTCCTAAGTAAGATTCACCTGCCATGAAGAATTTCTGCCATGATTTCAGAGAGAAAAGCATTCAGCTTAGTAAAGCTGAACAAGTCAAGGACACCCAGGGAAACTGACTGCCTCCCTCCCCACTGCTCTCCGGCATTCTCGCAGTTGGCTTTGCCTGGTGCTGCAGTTTATACCTGTAATTCCTGGCTCTGGTTGTAGAATTCCTCTCGGTCATGCTGCAGCTGTCTGATCTGGCTGTGGAGCTTGGTTACCATAGTGTCACGCTGCTCCTGGAGCTGATTGTATCTAGCTTGTTCTTTCTGCAGACTAACCTTCCACATCTGGATGTCCTTCTCTTGTAACTTCAACTGATCTTTCTAGCAGAGACCAGAAATGTCATCATTTTAGCTGTCTTCCAACACAGGCAATTTAACACACACTGCGAACATTTCATCTGAATAGTCATAAGCTACCCTGAAAATGTAACTAACTACAGACCAAAACTCTTAGAGCTCACTACTGTCTTACTTGGCCTTAGGTCAAGGTTTTCCAAATTTTACATTAAGCAAATGGATCTTAAGTTGCTTAAATAAATCTTCTCAGGGATCAGTTTGCTTCCAATACTTTCAAAAGTCTGACTACCAACACTGGAATAAAATCTCTCAAACATGGTACTAAGTTCACTGAAACGATGAGCATTTACTGAATGCTTGCAGTGTGCTGGGCGCTCAGCAAGGGCTTACCGACATAATTTCTTTTAACCATCACAACTTAAAGAGCAGGTGCTGCTATTGTTATTTCCATTTTATAGCATGGCTAACAGAGGCTTCAAGAGGCCACGTTACTTTTCTAAGGTAACACTGGTAGAGCCAAGATTCAAACTCCAGGCCTGACTGGCTTCACACCCGCTGTACAATACACGCTTCAGTTTTGTGCCATGAAATAGCTTTACAAGAGTTGGTTTTACATTTGGAGAAATAAAATCATCTTCTGACCCTTCATCATCATGGCCAGTTACATGCAAACATACACACACAAAATCACTTGTCCCCACGGTTTCTGAGAATTATGAGGGAATTCCGAGGTGTCACCATTCATGTCTTAATCTCAAGCGACCTGCCCAAAGGAGTGGGAAGGACTGGGAACTCTGACCTCCTCGGCTGCTGTGCTTTATAAGCTATCATGCTGACCCAAAACAAAACAAAAAGCAAGCTCCACCTGTCCCCTCCCCAGTCCTCACCATGGCAGCATTATGTTCCTCCAGAGCTGCTGCTTTGATCACCTTGCGGAGGAGCCGCCTGTTCCGGAGGGCATGCTGCTGCCTCTTAAAACGCTCATAGAGTAACTGGTTGTGCAGTAAAAGCAACTGGTCTCGGAGGGTGCGGATCTCATCTGAAGGAGGAGAGCCTGATTGTAAAGCAGAGGGAGGGTGGCAGAAATGCCTTTTACAGATGGTTCAATCAAGCCCCCTTCCCATGTGTTGTTAGCTTAACAAACACAATTCTTTAAAAACAAATCACCACTCTCTTTGCAAATGACCACTTGACTCCCAGCAACAGCAGGGGGGAAAGTATGGACTATGTGTCTCCCCCGTGAAGGAATGCAAAAGGTCATATCATGTGGGATGACTCTTTGAGAGCCTGCTTTCCTTTCCCCACAAATCTAGATCACGCATTTCAGATGCCCTGTTTCTCAAGACACTTCCTTCGCTGTGTGTTCTCCCCCAGGAAGATGCTTCACTCTGGTCTTCTCCAGGGAAGCCTGGCAGGAAGTCTGTATTTTGCACTTATACTCTCAAGCGCATAGTACTTGCCACTTTTCAAAAATAAGAAATGCTGACTTGGCAACACTTGAGATCCTTTAGCCAAGCAGATAGCCTGGCCGGAGCAATAGCCAAGGGGAGATCTGTTTCCCAGAGGGCACCTCCTTCAAGGACAGAAAGGGCAACAAGCAAGCAGGAACCATGTGGGCTGGATTTGGAGCTAAAGTAACAACTTTACCTCCAAAGTGGGTCCAGTCGACAGACTTGCTGGGTAAAGGCAACCTAGGAAGAAAGTTTTTGAGTAACAAAGTTACCGATCTTACCAAGAAAAAAACGTATCTGGACTTTTATTTGCAGCAAAGTTAGATCACTTCCTTGTGGTCAAAATCTGCAATGGCATAAGAATGTTTCAAACTCCAGGTCCACAGAGAGTTAGAGGAGAAGCCTACACTGGACACAATGGGAGGCGGCCCTCGCCCCACTGCCTAGGACCTGTGTTGTTAGCTTAACACAGTCCTTTAAAAAACAAATCCAGAGCGGAGAGGGTTGCAGGCTGAGCTGCACTGCATACACCGTGGCCTCCGTTTCTGGGGCCAGCTCTCCAGAGAAACTGAGTAGTCAAACACACTGAGAGCCGTTTTCAACCCTGTCTGTTGAAATATACAGGGAGTACACTCTGTTGTAAAGCTATGTCACTCCGATTTAAGGAAAAAGTAGGTAATTTACCTAAGCCTATCATACCAAATCTCGTTTAAAAAGAGGGAGCTTAAATACTATAATCCCTGTCAAATTCCACCATAGCATAGTATATAAGAAGAAAAATAAAAATATTCCCCAAGCACCTGTAAAGTAGCTAATAAAAGACGGATGGGAAACCGTTTCTCAGCTAGAGTCCTTTCTATGAAAACTTGGGTGCCTCAGGGGGTCTGGAGGGGATGTCAGGCCATCTGAACTTGCATAAAATGCTGATGATTTTATCTCCACCTAATGAACTATGATACCAAAATAGAAAATAATAATAATAATCTGTAGCTAGAGAGGGAAACACTGTGACAAATATTCTTATATTCTTTGAAATACCATAACCTCATTTTCAGCCTACAGCTTGCAGAGGGCACATATGAAAGCATTTGAGTGTCCTCATAGAACAGAGGCATAAAATGGCCTATATAAAAAGACTCATTTTGAAATGGACTGCTAAGGAATCATCCCAATTTAGGTGCACAGAGGTCACACATGGTCACATATATGAAGATGCAACAGCCTAGAAGGACATCTGACAAACAGCAGAGAACCAGCTGCCTCAAGGTGGGAGTGTGAAGAATGATTCTTGTTCCTCTCTTACACTTTCTGTACTTCACAATAAAATGGACCATTTAACACAGAAGAGAGTGCCCCAGTCCCTTACTTGTTCAGCTCCTTGCTGTGCGCGTCTGCTCCCTGCTGTATCAGTCTGTCCAGCACTTCCATTGGGGAGGTAGAGGGCACACCATCTTCCTCTGTGTTTCCTTTTGCTTTCTTTAACAGCTCCTCAGTCTTCCTGATGACAAAATGATGGGCTGTCTTTGGCAATGCCACCTCAAAAAGATGATCATACGGGGGAGGCTGCCCGCTTCCAAAGCCCACTCTCGTCGGAGGTGGAATTTTACAAGGACTGGGAGTGAAGATACTGGTCTCCAAAGAAGTCTGGCATTCCCTGTCTCCCGCAGGGCTTTCATCAGCACTGCCGCAGGGCAGGTCTATGGGAGTAAAGGCTTGCTTTGGTGTGTCAGGCCCAAGCTTGTCCAGGGAGGAGTGTAAAGGCTCAGGGTTCACGCTGGCGCCCTGAGAACTGGAGGCTGCCGAGTGGGTCTTCCGCTGAGAACCTGGGAGACTGTCTCGGTAAAAGGGAGAGTCAAAGCCTCCTCGAGGAACCACAGGCTCTGCCTCTGCTGTGGTGATCTCAGAAAGTTCTCTAGATATTGCAGCTGAGAGGAAGAGAGGAAACAAAAGAAATGGCAGTCGGTATTCCACCTGGGAAAGACTAGGCAGTTTGGGTGGCATGCTGCCACATGCCAGTGTCACTCAGAGAGAGGAGAAAAAGTGGCATCCGGCTGGACACAGTGGCTCACGCCTGTAATGCCAGAACTTTGGGAGGCTGAGGAGGGAGGATCACTTGAGCCCAGGAGTTAGAGACCAGCCTGGACAACATAGGGAGATCCCATCTCTACAAAAAATACAATAAAAATCAGCTGAGCATCGTGGTGTATGCCTGTGGTCCCAGCTACTCAGGAGGCTGAGGTGGGCGGATTGCTTGAGCCTGGGAGGTCAAGGCTGCAGTGAGCCATGATCGTACCACTGCACTCCAGCCAGGGTGACAGAGCAAGACCCTGTCTCAAAAAAAAAAAAAAAAAAAGTGGCATCACTTTACCTGGCATAGGTCCCAGACTAAACCACCCATCTTGTTACCTCAAGAGAAGAAAAATCCAGCAAGCCTGTGAGCAATGGCACAAAATCCCAGATTTATAGCAGAGCGAGGGTCAGGTTTTATCAACTCATAGCAATCCCACATACATTACCTTCTTCTTTATCTTTTTCAATACTATCTTCTTCAGAGGCCAGATCACCTAAAAACCCTGGAAGATCACTTAGAGTGACAGAACCTTTGCTGCCAGGTGGCTCTTCTGAAGAGAAACAAAGACAACTGAAGTCAAAGAAATACAGTGTAATCCCTGTAAGTGTAAAACTGCTTACACTGTATAGAATATGTCTGTAATAACTCTTCATGCTGAACAGAGAAGGCTGGACATGGCTCTGTCCTGGGGATACTACAAAAGACTGAAATATTAAAAATAATATAACTAAAAGTACCAAAAATAATCCCATAGCAAATAAAATTCTCAGTTCTTAATGTCTCTGAAAAGAGATATAGTCAAGTCAGAATACAGGTACTTCACTGCAATAGCTTAAAAACTGTTTTTGATATTATTAGGTTGGTGTTTAGAATTCACTACTCGTTTCATTATGTTTAGGCCTCAGTATTTTGGATATCCCAGAATTTCCTTGTTTCCATTTAACTTTCTTTTCTTAAACACATATAACCCAATTAGAAGAGGCAAGCAAGGCCTGTAGTAACGCAGAAATTTTACCTGATCCTCTGTCATTCAGAAGATGGTGTTGTCTGTGTAGACATGGTCTTGCAGAATCCATTCTCTCTTCCTGAAAAGATAAGTATCATTTATATCACAAGACGAAAAATGTTGCACATGTTCTCGAGCATATTGTAAAGTAGTTTAAAGGTCAGCCGAGTGCAGTGATTCTCAAATTGTTGGGATGTTTTCTTTTCTTTTTTTTTGAGGTGGAGTTTCGCTCTTGTTGCCCAGGCTGGAGTGCAATGGCACAATCTCGGCTCACTGCAACCTCCGCCTCCTGGGTTCAAGCGATTCTCCTGCCTCAGCCTCCAGAGTAGCTGGGATTACAGAAATGCACCACCACGCCTGGCTAATTTTTGTATTTTTAGTACAGACGGGGTTTCTCCACATTGGTCAGGCTGGTCACGAACTCCCAACCTCAGATGATCTGCCTGCCTCGGCCTCCCAAAGTGCTGGGACCACGCCCAGCAGCTTTCTTTATAGTCTTAAAAAATGGCTGCAGACTGGGCGTGGTGGCCCACGCCTGTAGTCCCAGCACTTTGGGAGGCCAAGGCCAGTGGATCCCTTGAGCTCAGCAGTTTGAGACTAGCCTGGGGAACATGGCAAAACCCCATCTCTACAAAAAATTTAAAAAGTAGCCGGGCATGGTGACTGGTGCTTGTAGTCCCAACTACCCAGGAGGCTGAGGTGGGAGGACCACCTGAGCCAGGGAGGTCAAGGCTGCAGAGAGCTGCAATTGTGCCACTGCACTCCAGCCTGGGCGACAGAGTGAGACCCTGTCTCACACACACAAAATAATAATAATAATGAGAAAGTTGGAGAATCCCAAGAGCTTTTACGAGGCATAATTATTATATTAGAAAACCAGGAAATTTTTAAAATATTAATTCCCTTAAAAATAGCAAGCCCATTACAAGTTAATGTAAATTACATATTCTTATTAAAAAACTATATTTCCCGAAATAAAAATAAATTTAGTGAGAAGAATGGAACATTTTTGCCATCTCTTTAATATATGGCTTCATGAAAGACAGCTGGATTCTCATATCTACCTCTACATTCAGTCTGTTGCAATATGTTATTTTGACTGAAGTGTATAAAGAAAATCTGGGGCCCCACAGATATGTAATTGCAAAAGTAAACATATGTGTTGTTGTTTTTCTTTTTGAGACAGGGTCTGGCTCTGTCACCTAGGCTGGAATGCAGTGGCGTGATCATGGCTCACTGCAATCTCTGCCTCCTGGGCTCAAGCCGTTCTCCATCAGCTCCCCGATTAGCTGGGACTACAGATGCACATCACCACACCTGGCTTTTTTTTTTTTTTTAGTTGAGATGGGGTTTTGCATGTTGCCCAGGCTGGTCTTGAACGCCTGGGCTCAAGCAATCTACCTCCCTTGGACTCCCAGAGTGCTGGATACAGAAGCAAGCCACCACGCCCAGCCGCAAAAAGTAAACGTATGTTGACAGACTTTTCAAATAATCATCTTTGTTATTACACCAAAATTTGATAAGTGTTAGTTTCTTAAAGTTACAAAGTGAAATTTGAAACCACATCAATGAGCTTTTCCTGTGTTAAAACCCACTAGTCTACCTTGCACTTTTTTTTTTTTTTTTTGTGACAGTCTTGCCCTGTTGCCCAGGCTGGGGCTGGAATGCAGTGGTGTGATCTCGACTTACTGCAACCTCCGCCTCCTGGGTTCAAGTGATTCTCCCGCCTCAGCCTCCCAAGTAGCTGGGATTACAGGTGCCTGCCACCATACCCGGCTAATGTCTATATTTAGTAGAGATGGTGTTTCAACATGTAGGCCAGGCTGGTCTTCAACTGCTGACCTCAAGTGATCCACCTGCTTCAGCCTCCCAAAGTGCTGGGTTACAGGTGTAAGCCACTGCGCCCAGCCTGCTTTGTACTTTGAATGTACTTTTTACCTATGCATGATTCTGCAACGTATCATACATTGGACACTCTGAAAATATTGGCTCCTCAAGCTATTCAAATATTCCAAATGTTGAAACACTTCATTATACAATATCAAAAACTCAAATTACTAACTAAGCTTCCACAGACTTTTCGGTCTCATCATAAAAGTCCTGGGGCAGCTATCAAGTTCATGGTAGTATATACACGTTTTTTAATATCTTGATTTCCACCTGAGAGTTGACTTTTATTGTTGGCAACAAATACTGTCAGTTGTTTATCTTGAAGTGACAGACTCAGCTCATCATTTGAGAAGCTGCCTGCCAAACACCCAAGTCTGAATAACCAGTTTGTAAGACAGCAGTTCTTTCAAATAAAACTGGCATTCCATGAAAAAAGGCAGCTACTTCACCTCTCAATTCAAATAACTGCATGAGGGCCAGAGGTCACCATCATACCCTGGTATGCAGTACATGTGCCTTATGCATATTTTCTATTTTGCCACGAAGAATATTACACATACATGTTCTCAAGGGCTAAGATTTAATAAAATTAATAATGGTTACTGCTTAATACAGAACACTCAACTTTTAAAATTTTTTAGTTTTTATTGTTTTTAATGGAGAGAAGATGTCAGGGAAGAATGCAAGGCCTCTTGGGATAGGACACTTCAATGCCTGCCTTGATTCAGGCTAAGTTGCCACCATTTCACCCCCCGTCGTATTTGTGCCATCATTGCAGATGCCAATGCAGTGGGAAGGGCAAATGACAGCTTAGTGTTACTATGAAGGTGGGTTTGGTCAGGTGTGGTGGCTCAAACCTGTAATCCCAGGATTTTGGGAGGCCCAGGTAGGAGGATCGTTTGAGTCCAGGAGTTTAAGACTAGCCTGGGCAACATAGTGAGACCTCATCTCCACCAAAAAAAAAAAAAACTTAGCCAGGCATCATGGCACATGCCTGTAGTCCCAGCTACTAGCGAGGCTGATGCAGGAGGATTGCATGAGTCTGGGAGGTCAAGGCTGCAGTGAGCCATGATCGTGCCACTGCACTCCACCCTGGGCGACAGAGCAAGACCCTGTCTCCAAAAAAAAAAAAAAAAAAAAAATCAAGAGAGTAGGTTTGACCTGCTGGGTTCCCCACAAGAGTTCTGCCAAAGCAGAGTTTTGGAACCACCCAGGGGTCGGCAGATCACACCTTGAGAGCAGCTTGTTAGTCCATTTTCAATTATTCTGATTCAAACCCATTGCATTTTAGGTCAGAATTCTATCTGGCATAATTAGGCTTCTCAAAGTGAGGCTTGCAAGTGAGTCACTGTGCCTGGGCAGAGGGATAGCAGACGAGCTGGATCGCACCTTCCTGGGGGGTGTGACTGTGGCCTGGGGGAGTGAAATGTGCACGTAGTCATCCGAATGACAGAGTGGGGCTGGAGGAGGAGAGGTTGCTGGGGTTCCCAGAGGAGTTCCTTTTCCACCTGCTTAGAGACAAGGGCAGAACATATATGAACACTGAGCCCAACTATTAGAAAAACTGCCGATTTTTTTTCAGCCTATAACTATTACTATAAATAAAGCTGCTAGAGTTAACTTTCTGGGGATCTAGATCAGTCTCTCTCTTTTTTGTTTTTAGGTTCACTTTACACATTCTGAAAGCCCCAGGGATTTGCAATAAGTGTCAAAAACAAGTTTACAACAGCAAGTGGTCCCTTAGATCTAAAAGAGAGCTCCTCCTGCCATTAAAGGCAGGCCAAAACCAACTAATCAAATCCAACCTAAGACATACATACCAGTTGTACCAAAGACTTTACTGTAAGGGTGTGACAGATCAGGTGGGACATTTCCAGGAGAAGTTGGAGGAGTGGTCATACCACAAACCATAGATGGGCTCCAAAGAGTAGCCTGGGAAGTTAATAAAGTACATCAGCAGTGGCAAAGGAATGCTAAGTCATCCACGAGGTTTATATCCATGGCCAGTGTTCAGCTTAAATTTAGCTTTTTCATCTAGAAAAAGGCATCTTATTAAAAGCGTATCAAGAAACAAGTTGCATTTTGTAAATCAAGACTTCAAGATGAATCTAAGAGGCAACAGTAACTTTCTTTGCTAATATCATGGATCCTTAAAAGTGACTCCTGAAATGAGCAGTGTGAAATTTTCCCAACCACATACTAAATCTGACCCAAAGGGTCAGCTTCACCAGAAAGCAGAGGAGAGAGCAGGCACACTAGTTGACACCATACTTGTGGTGGTTCAGTTATCAGCCGTGTCGATGGGGAACTCAGAGTCTGAGGTAGCTGCCCTGGCATATTTAACAACATCAGCCGAGACGTGGAGTAAGGGGTAGAAGTAGCACACCCTAAAATGGAAGAGAAGAACACAGGGGGTTAGTGTGTGGTTTTAGGTTATTCTGGTTAAAAAAAAAAAAAAAAAAAAAAAAAAAAAAAGATGGTCCTCTAGA
Source organism: Homo sapiens (assembly GCF_000001405.40). NCBI lineage: Eukaryota > Metazoa > Chordata > Mammalia > Primates > Hominidae > Homo > Homo sapiens. The sequence goes on from NC_000009.12 coordinate 132,911,671, forward strand.
CCATTTGATAATATTCAATTCTCTGTACCTAAAAAATCTGAGGGACTTAACTGACATCCTTGGGGACAAAGTAACACTTCAGAGTTTCTCTAAATGCTCCTTTGAAATAAAGTTCAATAAGGTTTGATGTCTCATTAAGCCTCAAGATAACTTAAAAAAGCACAATACAGATGACAACTTCAGTGGCTGCAACCCACAAATAAAGCCTAGATTTTTATATGAATCCAATTCTAAATTGTTCCGACTCATTCAAACTGTGTCAGTGCTACAGACACAAGAGCCTCACTCTAAATGTCTGAAAATCAGAAAGATTCCCTTATGAGGTAGAGTCTGGAAGTCAAATACTTAAACCCATTTTCTTTCTTAAGTGTTGGAGACACGTCACCAACTCTGTTGGCATACAATCAGGTAGCAGACCAAGGACATCTAAATTAAACTTGAAGGAGAAATTAATTAGAAGAAAATGGAGGGACATGCAAATTTAAGATATTTTGGGAAAAATCCCTAGGAACTGAACTAAGTCTTACTCCAGAAAAGAAAATCAACAAAGACAAATAATGTTTTCCAGAGACAAAGTTGCAAAACAGATAAGTACCAAAGACACTTTTTACCATAGCTATTCTGTGTGTCAGCATAAGGGCTGGTGGTGACATCGGCTGAACGATGAGGAAAGCGGGCTGAGATTTGGTGAGACACAGAATAGCCATCTTCATATGAGGCTTCTGTGGGATCCAGAGAGATTTTGGCACACTCGATCACAACATCATGAGTTTCTAATCTCTTCCACCTGTAAAATGCAATGAAAGTCAAGAAATGCAAACTGTAATCAACTGAATTAAATACTTCAGAGTGTCAACTCAGTGCCAGCCACGGAACTCTGATAGCAAAGAACAAGCGGGACCATGCCAGCCCAAGTCTGAAACAATTCTAGTACATAAAGAAATAGCCATTCATTTTACAATCCTATACCTTCCCTGTTTAAAATGGTTATATCAAGTTTACAAGCTAATCTGAAACAAATATTTCCTCAACAAAAGACTAGGTGTAGCCTCAAAATGGAAAAATGAAACATAAGCTATGCAGCAGAGCAGCAGGCAGGGAAAAATGTCCTTTGGAACAAAGGTCATCAAAAAATAGGGAGACCTGGAGACTGCCAAGCAGCTGAGGCTGACTTAAGGTCTCCTATCAAGGCCTCAGGTGTCAAATCCATCCCTGGACCAGAAACAGAGTATAAAAAGACAAACTAAAGAAAGTCCATGAGAATTTTTTTCTTTTTTTTTTTTTCTTGAGATGGGGTCTCACTCTATCACCCAGGCTGGAGGACAGTGGCATGATCGTGGCTCACTGCTACCTCCAACTCCTAGGCTCAGGGATCCTCCTGCCACAGCCTCCCAAGTAGCTGGGACTACAGGCACGTGCCACCGTGCCTGGCTAATATTCTTACAGAAATGGGGTCTCACTTTGTTGCTCATGCTGGTCTCGAACTTACTGGCCTCAAATGATCCTCCCACCTTGGCCTCCCAAAGTGCTGGGATTACAGGCATAAGCCATGACCATGCCCAGCTGAAGGCATGATTTTTTAAATCAACGTGTTAGTATGGCATAATTTGCTTACAATAAAATTAGTCAATCTTGCTAAGTTTTGACAAAAGTCCCGATCATAATAAAGAACATGTCCATCACCCCAAAAGTTCCTTTGTGCCCTTTGTGGTGAGTCTCTTCCCCCACTTCTTGCAACTATCGATCTGCTAAAAGCATGCTTTTTCAGGGGGTGTAATAATAGTTATTCTATAGAATATAACCCTTTGGTTGAACTTTGGGTTATTTCTTCTTTCCATTACAAGCTGTGCTGTGCTGAACACTGTTGTATGTCTTGACGTACATACAGAAGTGAGCCTGTAATCCCAGCACTTTGGGAGGCTGAGGCGGACGGATCACAAGGTCGAGAGATTGAGACCATCCTGGCTAACATGGTGAACCCCCGTTTCTACTAAAAATACAAAAAATTAGCTGGGCGCGGTGGCGGGCGCCTGTAGTCCCAGCTACTCAGGAGGCTGAGGCAGGAGAATGGCGTGAACCCAGGAGGCGGAATTTGCAGTGAGCCGAGATTACGCCACTGCACTCCAGCCTGGGCGATAGAGCGAGACTCCGTCTCAAAAAAAAAAAAAAAAAAAAAGTGAGCCAATGTGCCAGCCTCCCATGGGTTTTTTGTTTTGTTTTGTTTTTTTTTTTTTTTTTTTTTTTTTTAGACAGAGTCTCACTCTGTCACCCAGGCTGGAGTTCAGTGGCGCAATCTCGACTCACTGCAACCTCCACCTTCTGGATTCAAGCAATTCTCCTGCCTCAGTCTCCCGAGTAGCTGGGATTCCAGGTGCCCGCCACCATCCCCAGCCAATTTTTTGTATTTTTAGTAGAGATGGGGTTTCACCATGTTTGCCAGGCTGGTCTTGAACTCCTGACCTCAGGTGATCCACCTGCCTTAGCCTCCCAAAGTGCTGGGATTACAGGCGTGAGCCACTGTACCCGGCCAAGAATATTTTTAAAACTGTCTAAAGATTCCTGTTATGTGATCCATGGTTTCACTTCTAAGAATTTATCCTATAGAAACAGACATACAACAATGTTCAGCACAGCACAGCTTGTAATGGAAAGAAGAAAGGAAATAACCCAAAGTTCAACCAAAGGGATATATTTTATAGAATAACTATTATTACACCCCCTGAAAAAGCATGCTTTTAGCAGATCGATGGTTGCCAGAAGTGGGGGAAGAGACACAAAGGAACTTTTGGGATGATGGAAGTGTTCTTTATTATGATTGGGATTTTTGTCAAAACTTAGCAAAATTGATTAATTTTATTGTAAGCAAATTATACCATACCAAAGTTGATTTAAAAAATCATGCTTAAGGCTGGGTGTGGTGGCTCGTACCTGTAATCTCAGCATTTTGGGTGGCCAAGGCAGGCGGATTACTTGAGGCCAAGTTCGAGACCAGCATGGGCAACATGGCAAAACCCCATCTTAAAAAAAAAATACAAAAAAAAAAAAAAAATTAGCCAGGCATGGTGGCATGCACCTGTAATCCCAGCTACTTGAGTGGCTAAGACTCGAGAATCACTTGAACCTGGAAGGCGGAGGTTGCAGAGAGCCAGGAAAGCACCACTGCACTCCAGCCTGAGCTACAGGGCTAGACTCTGAAAAAAAGAGAAAAGAAAATCATGCTTTCAGCTGGGCATGGTGGCTCACACCTGTAATCCCAGCACTATGGGAGGCCAAGGCAGGAGATCACTTGAGGCCAGGGGTTCAAGACCAGCCTGGGCAACAAAGTGAGACCACACCCCATCTCTACAACAACAACAACAACAACAAAATAGCTGGGCGTGGTGGCATGTGCTCATGGTCCAGCCACTCAGGAGGCTGACGTGGGAGGATAGCTTGACCCTGGGAGGTTGAGGCTGCCATGAGCCATGCTGTACCACTGCACTCCAGCCTGGGCAACAGAGCAAGACCCTGTCTCAGGAAGAAAAAAAAAAAATCATGCTTTCCACGTGCCTGTACTCTCAGCCACCGGGGAGGCTGAAGCAGGAGGATCACTTGAGCCCAGGAGTTCGAGATCAGCTTGGGCAACATAGCAAGACTGTGCCGCAAAAAAATAATAATGCTTTCAAACATTAGATGACATAAAACGCTTATAATATAATCTTAAAAGAAAAAAAGACACAAAGCTATTCAGAGACACACCCGCAAATATATCTGACTGTAGTAAGTATTCAAATGAAAAGAAGTGAAGTTACGAACAATGTTCATTTATTCTTTCAACTCTTCAGTATTTACCAAACATTCTATAAAGGCCCTAATAATGAACAGAATATTTAAAATTAAACGCCTAGTCAAGCATAAACTATTTTCCTTTAGACAACATAACTTTGCTCTATGTGTTTCTAAGGTGGTTAGTAACTCCATCAGAGATTTGCATTTTTTTTCCAAGTTTACAGAAAACAGCACAGCAACACTAAGGGCACTCCATAGGTTTACCTTAACAAAGCATGTGATCCTACTCAACTGTTGTAGGAAGCTCATTATATCTTAGATGCTGAAAACACGGTATTAAATACAGAAAAGAAAGTGTCCAGGGCATGGGGAGAATATAAGGCAGCTTCCCTGAAGAGCGAGCCTTTCGATTTCAGGGCTGCCCCTTCATTCACTACCTGGGTTCTCACTGCCTGTGGGATCCTGTTAATGGGGATAGGCTCCTATTTATGCATTCTCAGCATGACTAGAAAGTGATTGAGAGCAGGCGTTAGGACACATGTGTACACACAAGAAGATTGATTTTAGAGGAGAAAATGAGAATCATAATAAAAGAGGAATACATTTAAATGTTTTATTTTAATCAAAGTAATTTATGCACTTACAGTATTTCCCTGCTTCTTAAAAGGACTTTTCATATTTTAATATCTAAAACTGGGAACCATCGTCTAATCAAATGCATGTTAGTTTACTTGGCATTTTTTTCTTTCTCAGATGTATATAAAATAGAAGTACAGCACACATCTAACGGCATCTGAGATCCAATGAAATATGGTAGTTTAAAAAGTCAATACGGTACTAAAGGTTCCTCCCATCCCTCCCCACTGCAACCACTCTGGCAGCTGCTTCCAATTCTGTTAGCTGAATTGTTATCCTGCCTCTATAGTTCTAAAGAATATGCCCTGTGCTTTTAATTTCTTGATTTATAAATTATAGACACCATCTATTAACTTACTATTAATGGGAAGTGAGGATTGAGGACTCTTCCATATATCCTTTCCCTCCTCCTCAATGCTCTCAAAATAAATATGTAACTGTTTTTGTTGTTTTCAAAATTGATTTCAACATTATGACTACCTAAGTACTACTCATGGCTGAGCCACAGAGTATACTATGATAATATTTCCTTTCTTGTAAGTTTTAATTGTTCTGTTTCTCTTCCTCACTTTTTTGTGTGTCTATTGCTAATTTTTCCTAAATGTATTCTAACAGCTCTGAAACAATGCCTAATATAACTTTTACTAATGAAATGCAAAGAATCCACCAGGATTATTCCTCATCTTCCAGAAGAGCTCCCTTCTGGAGCACTCTCTCCCTGGCTTCAGATTGGACTGGCTGCTCTCAGCACTGCCTGTTATCCTGACACTTTCCCTGGACATGGTCCTGTAAAACGGTCATGATCAGGCCCCAGTCTCCTGGATTCGGTCTTCCTCCTTCATGATTTTACTCTCATTTTGGTGGAATACATGCTCCAGTGATTAACTGAGGAAGGACATATGGGAAGGAAATTTGAGTCCATGCATATCTGAAAGTGTCTCATATTTGATAGACAAGTTGGCTGGCTATAGAATTCTAGTTGAAAACCTTTTTCTCTCAATTTTGAAGGTATTTCAGAAGCTAACAGCATTCTGATTTCTAATCCTTATTAATGTGATTTCATTTTTTTCTTTCTCTGAAAGGTTAATCCCTGGTACTATAAACTTTTACAATATTGAGACCTGGTGGCATTCTTTTTTATTGATTTAGCTGGGCACCAGGTAAGCCCCTTCAATCTGGAAACTCATATCCTTCAATCCTAGGATTTTTTTTTTGTTGTATTATTTCTTTCACAATTTCTTCCTCCACCAAAGTTTTCTTCTCTCTCTTTTTCTGAGATGGATTCTCGCTCTGTCACCCAGGCTGGCGTGCAGTAGCACGATCTCGGCTCACTGCAACCTCTGCCTCCTGGGTTCAAACGATTCTCCTGCCTCAGCCTCCCAAGTAGCTGGGATTACAGGCACCCACCACCATGCCCGACTAATTTTTTGCAGTTTTAGTAGAGAGGAGGTTTCACCATGTTGGCCAGGCTGGTCTCGAACTCCTGACCTCAAGAGATCCTCCCCCGTCCGCCTCCCAAAGTGCTAGGATTACAGGCGTGAGCCACTGCACCCGGCTCTTCTTTAAAAAAAAATTTTTTTTAATTGGATGCTGGGACTTCCTGAACTGATCATTCTAAATCTCTGTTCTGCTCATATTACCAAGCTCTATCCTTTGGTTCTGCTTTCTATTTACCTATATCTCAGAAAAGTATCTCCCAATTCTTTTACTGAAATGTTTATTTTGGCTATCATTTTTAATTTTGAAGAGTTCTTTTAGTCTCAAAATGGTCTTTTTCTGTGGCATCCTGATGCTTACATATGCACAAACATCTTATCTCTGTGGCTATGGTAGATATTTTCTTCTGCTCTATCATTATGGTTTTGTTCTAGCTCTCTTTTCTCCTCTTAATGTTGGTGTCTGTCTTTACTGTTAAAACCTTCTTCCAAAGCCAAACAATCTGCCCAGCCAAGGTGAGTGAGGCTCTCTATAAGCTGACTGAGGAGCCTTCCAAGTTAATATAGTTGGTTGAACATATGCACTCAACTGTACAACCTCCTGGAATCCCACTGTCTACAGTAAAGACTTCTTTGTTTTTAAATATAAACCCACAAGGAGGAGAACAGGAGAGAGGGAATAGAACCATAAGTTTTTGAAACTAAAAAACAGACAGGCAGGTGGTAACTGACACTGCAAATCCACAAAAGCAGAATCCTAAGCTGCCACTGTCTCAAAGTGAAGAGTCAACTGATTATACTACAGAATCCTTAAAATCATGAGGAACTTATAGCATCTGGTACTTCTGGAACAGGAGATGAGCAGCAGGTAGACAAGGGGAGCTAAAATACTGAAGACAGAGTGAAAACCACTGGAGGAGCAGTCACAACCCCTGGGTCCTGCCCCAACTCTACACTCCCAAGCAACAGCTCTTTTCTCACCAGAAACCTGGATTATTCTCTATAGAGAATAAAACAAGGAGTACCTGGATAAAGTATTCCAGAAGTAGTTGAGGGCATGAGTGCCATTCCAAATGAGGGGATTAAGTGAAGCATATACATTCTGAATGCCCAGACCACCAACCCTTCCTCACCACCAGCCTCTTTCCCCCCAGAGGTAGTCAGACCCCTACCAGCCTGAAAATCAGAAGACTACTTTCTAAAAAACATGACCAGCTCAAGAAGAAAACAATACCGACACCACTATTTCCAACAGATGCTCAGTTCAACATACAACAAAGCTCAAAGTCAACAAGTCCCACCACTGTGAACAAAGCTGTTTTGTCTCCCCATATATAAACAGTTTACTAGATCCTGGCAGAAGGCCTCAAAGATTTAAAAAGAATAACACAAAACCGAAAAGAAGGAAGCTTAGAAGAAACAGATTATGCAGGGAAAAGAAAACTCCTTGTATAAGTATACAGTCATGTGTCACTTAATGACAGTGACATGTTCTGAGAAATGCATCATTAGGCAATTTCTTTGTTGTGTGAACATCAGAGTGTACTCATACAAAACTAGATGTTATAGGCTCCTAGGCTACAAACCTGCACAGCATGGTACTGTACTAAAGACTGCAGTAACTGTAACAACAGTAGGTATTTGTGTATCTAGACATATCTGAACCTAGGAAAGGTACGGTAAAGATGTGGTGGTATAATCTCGCAGAACCACTATCATCTATGGAGCCCATCATTGACTGAAATGTCATTATGTGGTGCAGGGATGAACTGGATTTCTAGAAGGAAAGACAGAGAAAACAGGAAATCAAGCACAAAACAACTAAAGAAAATATCATAGAACTTGAAGAGCTTCCAGCTTGAACAATGAGAATAGATTCATACCAACATACATCACTGGAAATTTCAGAATATTATGACAACAAAGAGAACTCCCTACCAGCTCCCCTAGAGAAAAACACAGCAAATACAGATGATCAGAAATTCTAAGAGCAACATTGGAAGCAGGGTGGCAATGGAATAATGCCTTCAAATTACTGAATGCCTTCAAATTACCGACTCTCAACCTGTAAGTCTACACCAGCCAAAACACTGCATCCTTCCTCAAAAAGCTCCTAGAGGCTATGTCCTATTAAACAAGAGTAAACCAAGAAAGAAGACAAGATACAGGAAATGGGAGATCCTGCACAGGAGAGAGGCGAAGGAAAGCCCCAGGAGACTAGGATGACAGCTGGGTACTAGGCACAGACGAGAACCAGTTCGGATCAGAACAGCAGCTGCCAAGAGACAGGCATGTCTCAAAGTTCCTGCTGTCCTGCACTATCTTTTTAATGAGGGACAGAGCCAGGTGACCCTGGCCTGTATAACTTGTCTGTACTTAGCTTGTCTTAACTACATACTGATGAAATTCCTACTCTCCCTCCTCTGTCTGATCAGCAGAGGACATTCATTTTATCCCACAGAAGGATTCTGTCTGACCTATTCCTGAGAGCTGAAAGCAGGCGCAGAGAGCAGCTTCCCTGCCTGCCATATTTCACGCATGTCCAGTGCCTTGCCCTTGCTAGAAGCCTTGCCAGACGCTCTGATGAGGGTAAGCCTTGTGTTTCCCAGACTCATTCATGACCTTGTGCACTGACTTCCCAGAAGGGGCTGTGAAACCTCAGGGACAGTGAAACCACACCAAGACTCAGATGCGCTGGTCCTCCTCTCATCTCCTGGAAACCTTCAACTACTAGTGACAAGACTGCCCTTCTCTTAACCAGGCTTTGCCTCCTAGTCAACTAGCTTTTCAAAACAAAGCAATACCTACAGTAAAACTACAAAGAAAAGCAAGAGAATGATTAAAAGCAACAATGGTAGTTGTCTCTGAGGTAGTAGGGAGAAAAGAGGGGTTCTCCACGGGGAGCCTCTAAGGTACCAGTAATGTTCTGTTTTTTTTAAGCTAGGTGCCAGCTACATGTGTTTTTGTGTTATTATTAAACTTTACATACACATTTTCTATACTTCTCTACATATAATCTCACAATAAACTGCTTTAAGCTGGCTGAGGCTCTGTGTGGTAGAGGCAGTGTCTGTGGTGAGGTGAGATTCGCTGTTGGGGGATCAGGCAGTGAGCTAGCTTTTTCAGCAGGAGATCCCTAAGTGTCAGTATCCATGGGTCAGTTTCCCCAAAAAGGGCCAGCTCCCCTAACTGGGGAGCATAATAAGCCTGGCTACCAGGCAGAGACAAGCAGAGGGAAGGAGCTGGGCCTCCCACAGCTCAGTCTGTAAATTTCCTTTATCTCCCTCGCTCAGTCTTACCCTCAGTTCCACTCTCCACTGTGCCTGGAATCCTTCAATCAAGGGACTCAAAGGTTCGGTTTTTCCAGAGAACATACCTGGGGGCCTCTGTAGGGCCCTGGGGAGGATGGTATAGTCAACTGGCTTTGCAGAATGGAGAAAGGACCTCAGGGACTCCAAATACTTAATATAGGACTCCCTGAAGTCCTTTCTCCATTTTGCAAAGCCAGATTTATATATATGCTAAATTGTTTTTCTGCAGTCCCCTTGTTTTTAGCCATATGCTTCACCTCCTGCATCGCCCCATCACTGGCACTACTGAGGTGTAAGCCTTTCTGGGGGACAGGCACTTGTGCTGCAACTTTCTCCACTCTGCTAAATGTTATTAGTCCTCCGCCTGTGAAGAGTATGTTTTAAACTCACACAAATTTTAGCTGTATGAGTGCTTCCAAGTGGACTGATTCTGTAAGTAGAACATCTATATTCCCAAATATACCTCAACAGGGATTACCTCCTAGATCACATTTTCAATCTCTCGAAAGATTCTTTAAAATTTTGACACTAGTTTCTATACCTTCGAGGGTCCAGTTCATGGTCCTTGGATCCAGTCACTAATTCCGGATGAATTCGCACATGCTCCATCATTGGCTAGAAGAGTTGGGTTGACAAATTATAAAGGGCTGAATGTTTGTGGAACATCCAAATGATGGAATATTAGTTGACAATTAAAAGGAATGAAGTACTGATACATGTTATAACACAGATGGAACCTTGAGAACATTATACTGAGTGAAAGAAGCCAGTCACAAAAGACCACATATTATATGATCCCATTTATACAAAATGTCCAGAATAGGCAAATCTATTAAGACAGAAAACAGATTAGTGGCTGCCTAGGGATTGGAGTGGCGAGGAAGAAAACTGAATTTCTTTTCAAAATTTCCCTGTCTGCCGTTAAATACAAAAGGTATAAATGCAGCCTATCTAAACAGTATACTAAGTAGCAAACAAACAAGCAGTTTCAATTTACCTTGACCACTTCTTCAAAAGTCTCCAGGTTTTCTTTCATACTGTAATGAGAACGCAAAAAGGAGACGAAGTTGCAAGGGTACATTCCATAAAGGCGATGAAAGAGTGCGTACACACTGGCATGGAGATGGACGAGATAGACTTCCGCCACGTGGCCTAGAAAAGGAACCCGTTGAGAAGAGCCTCTTAGTTGGAGACAGATTGAGGAGTGCAAAACAGCTATAAACAAGTGGCTGCCAGCAGGACTTTTTATCTATGTATATTCCCACCTCACTCCAAAGACAGGAAGAGTGGTTTTCTAAAATGCAAACAAATCCGAACACACCAGACACCCTTATTTCAAATCCATCAATGGCTCCCTATAAGTTTTGGATAAATTCCAGTCTACTAGTATGATCCATGAAGGCTCTTCCTGATCTAACTTCTGCCCTCCTCTTCAGCCACTGCCCAAAAAGGATCCCAAACATTCTCACAATACTGAACTATCTTTATGATGATAGCTCTCTGTAAAATTTATACTTTTCCATTGCCGAATTCAGTACGAGCTTCTTGAGAAAAAAACTGTCTTACTTATTTCTCGGTGCTTTGCACTGGACCTGATATTTAACAAGCACTCAATATTTACAGAATGAATGTGTGAGACTCTTTTAAATCAGTATGTAGTCTTAGCTATGCAGATTTATAACTACAGAGTGAAAAAAACTATTATCTAGAAATTAGCTTAAAGAACTAAGAGTGAAAGAAATTGAACATCTTAATTTAGCCTTACCTAGACCCTGTGGAAACCCACGGCCACAGTATACATAAAGGTCCTCCAAAATAATGGACAGACCATTCCTTTTTCACAAAGGTCCTACTAAACAAGCAGGCACCACGTGGGCCTATGCTTGTAATTTAATCCTATACAGGAAGGCACGGTGTTCTGTCTCACAGGTCTGACATACTTCACCCTTTTGATAGAAATACCTCACACTGGGATAACCCAAAGATTCCAAATTTCACATGCTTACAGCTTCTGATCCCTTTGATAGAGCTCTGCTACCTGCCGATAGGGGAAAAAAAAAAACCACTGCATTTGAAGCTGGAGTGCTAATCAGGACACACCGCATTTCCCTCTGACTCCTACAGGTACAACGAGTGGGTTCTCAGAATCTGACATTTGCGTTCTGTCACAACAGAGCAGCCAAGGAAGACAGAAATGTCCCACAAGCTTAGTCCTGTACTGCTGCAATACAGACGGAGGCTGTTTTTCAGTTTATCAACAATCATAAAGTTTTACATCCTACCACTCAATTTCTCTGACGACTAATCCTTTTAAGCCAAGAAAATAAAAAAAGTTATCTCAACAGTCATGTTTCTTCTATGTGCCTGTAGTGGATGCACCCAAGATATTCCCTCATCTGTCTGGTGAAAACCACTCATTTCAGCTATAAAAGTCTACATGTCCATTCCTTACAGCATATGAGCAATTAATCAATAATGAAAGCATTCACCTCACAGGGCCCAACAGGTATATGAGGAGATCTGTACCTGGTTTCTTCAGGCACCATGATGACAGACGGCCAAAAATGTCAAAGAAATCAAGAAGATGCTGTTTCCCAGACTGTGGAATCATTGGTAGCATGGTTATCAACACCAAGACGCCTGTTGTGAGGACAACGACGTCAGTGTCCATCTGCAGGAGAAAAGGTCAAACAGGAAACGTCTGTCAGGCACTGGCACCAGGATCGGCATTGTACAGTACATGAAGAGGCTCTAAACACTGAGAGAATCACAAATCACAAGTTGACTCACGTACTCATTTCCCTATCCCTAAGGATTACTGAAGGGATAACATTCAAACAGACTCAACAGAACACTGAGCCCCAACTCTACTGTAATGAGTCAGTGAGGACCATTTACAACACACCTATGCAAAGGCATCCGGGAGACGAGTTCAAACTTGACTTGGGGACACCCAAGTCCTGCAGCCTTAGGATGCCCTATTGATAGCAGTTGGATGAAAACAAAAGGAGCTGCTTTTCAACAAAACACAGGAGCACTGCTCTGTTTCATTCATTCAACCAAATCCTAAGATACTTACTTTTTGTTAATTAAAAAAAAAAAAAACTGCACATTGACAAGTAACTTACTATTTTTTAAAGAACTACAACAGAAGTATAATTGAAGGAGAAATTCATATAGCACTAACAAGTCAACTTAAAGGCTCACTTCAAAGCAGTATTTAGAGACCAGTAAATTAAAATATATATATATGGAAACCTTTCAGCACGCCTACAGTTTAAATATTAAGTCAAATAAATAACTTCAGGCTAACTGAAGACACTTAACACCCAATGGATACTCAATCAGCTCTGACTAGCTAGCTACAGCAGCTCACCTGACCCATAATTAAATCATGAATGTTTGCCAGGTAGATGAAATTCAGATTTATGAAACAAGATATTAATCAAAAGACTACTATGTAGGTTAAGACATCCATTATTCCTATTAGAATAGGAATCTATGAGTCTGGGAATAAAGTTTTAAATATATTTTGATTTTTACATCAAGCATCAAGCCTTTCATTACGGAAGATATCCAGTAAGAATAATATATTGGTAGGAGAATTGAGAATATATGAGACTATATAATGATTCTCAGCAGAAAGAACTAGCCCTGATTTCATTTTCCTAACAGTCTAACTGAAGACTTATCCATGATTAACAAAACGTACTCTTTTGGAAAAGATAAGTGTTTTGCAATCTGAACTAAATGATGTGCCTCAAAATTAGATTATATTCTCATCAATCCATTTAGATTATATTCTCACCAATCCATTTAGATTATATTCTCATCAATCCATTTAGATTATATTCTCACCAATCCATTAATTAGATTATATTCTCATCAATCCATTTGTTTAAAAAACATTAAGTTGTTAAAACTGTTCCTATTTTTTCTGAATTAAATGCATGTTTTTATAATACCCTGCCAATGTGACTCCTTGGGACCCACCTCTAGGGATAATAAAAGAGTTACCCTTCTTGGCAGACACAAAAATCAATTTGCATGGTGCTGTAGCAGATGAATCCAATGGTACTGCCATCCTGGAACAAATACTATTGGATATTTTCATGTCTCTGTGAGGTACAGGCAGTTAATATTAACCACATTTTCTTATTTTATAGATAGAAAACAAGTCCAGGAACTAAAACAGATTAAACAAATAACCCTGAGTATGGCTGCACGCCACTGTTAAAACTAAAACCATAAAGTTCTATTTAGATTTTGACTCCCTATATAGAAAAATGCACTAAATTTAGTGCAAAAAATAGAATGCAACTTAGTAGAATTTACATCAACAAAGTCTTAATTATAGCTGCAACCAGACCATACTCCTAAATGGTTAACAGAAACTTTAAGCCATTTTTCTATTAGCTAAAAGATAATTTAGAAACAGGGATTCCCAAAAGATAATCCAGGATGTTTTTAAATGAGGGAAGGCTAAACGATGACGAAATCAAGAGGTTTGGAATAATGTAACATTGAACCCATCTGATCGAAATTTTTCCATACTTGCATGGACAAGGTATTCAATAGTCATAGTGATGTATTTGAGAACTTACTAAGTACCAACTCTGGACAACATTCTATTTGAGAAAAGCCAAATGCCTAGAAGGTTTTAAACTCTAAAAGTTAAAATCTAGCTTCCTTGCTTTAAGTTGCCTAAAATTTCAGAAACTATACTCATAAAACCATTTCATTCAAATCCTTACAAACATCCTACCTTGAGACATTTTAGTAAAGAAGGCAAAAGAGGTGCTTGAGAGAGCTTATGCTTCCAAGATGGCTGCAGTCTTATGACATGACCCAGTAACGAGAGGATGGATAAACGAGTGGCGGCTTTGCCCACATATTCGTTAATCCTGTCCAAGAGGTGCTGAAAATGTAAAAGAACAAGGGCAGTCCTCACATGAATGTATGAAGTTAACACAAATAAAGACAGCAATGATGTGCTCCAATCTCTCAAGTCTTGTCTCTAATGTAAAGCAAGGGTCATGCAGATAAAAGGTCAAATTCAAGATTTTAAAAACCACGTTAGCAAACAAAACACTGCTGCATTTGGCCTGACAAAAGGCAGCCAGTTTGCAGCTCATGAAAAAGGACCCTACAATACACGCATGCAGAAAGGGGGAGACTTGTTCACAGCCCCTCAATAACCAACAGTCCCAAACTGTGATAGGTTACTGAAGCCATGAGGGGATCCTGCTGGAAGCAGCCACTTATTGCTAGAGCAACCCAGCCTACATGGTTTGGCCTCAAGTATCAATTAGGTAGTAGAAGTTACATTTCAGACCAGAGTAAACAAAAAAACAAGACGGGCCAGGCGCAGTGGCTCATGCCGGCAATCCCTGCACTTTGGGAGGCTGAGGCAGGAGGATAGCTTGAGGCCAGGAGTTCAAGGTTACAGTGAGCTATGATTGTGCCACCACGCTCCAGTCTAGGGAACACAATGAGACCTCACCTCTTTAGAAAACAAAACAAAACAAGATGTACTGTAAAAGGCATGCAATACAAGGTCTTCAAATCCTGGGGAAGTTGCTCTCATATATACACTTAAGACTTACCAAAGTCTGCAATAACAATGCTTTATTAGCTACTTACTAAAAACAAAAGGAAAACATGAAGGAGCCCTCCAAGTGCCGGGTGCTAGGAAACAAGACTCATTAATTTGTCATGTTAGTCCTTTGTACTTGAAGCTTTTCCATATCGATAAAAGTCTAAAAATTCTATTCAAAGTATGGGTTGAAAGATGGGTACCTATGGGCCAAATCATCACTATACAATTATAGTACTGGAAATGTAAGATTTCTTTAAACAAGATCTTTTTTTTTTTTGAGACAGTTTCACTCTTGTTGCCCTGGAGTGCAATGGTGCAATCTCAGGTCACTGCAACCTCCGCCTCCCAGGTTCAAGCGATTCTCCTGCCTCAGCTTCCTGAGTAGCTGAGATTATAGGTGTCCACCACCACGCCCAGCTAATTTTTTGTATTTTTTAGTAGAGACGGGGTTTCACTGTGTTGGCCAGGCTGGTCTCAAACTCGTGACCTCAGGCAATCCACCCGCCTCGGCCTCCTAAGGGGATTACAGGCGTGAGCCACCACACCCGGCCCAAACAAGATCTTTAACAGTCTCTGAAATATGTTTTATTTTGTAAACTTTTCAAGAATCATGGGTCCTACAAAGTAATTTTTATATGTAGTTATAAACTGGGAACAATGTCATCAGTGGCGCACAGAAATCAAAAGAATAAGCTCAGGACAAGTTGCACAGTGGCCGTGCACAGAAGCTGTTGTACTCATGAAGAACATATGAAATGCCTATGATATTTCAGCCATTACCTTGTCATGTGGCTCTTGCAAGGTGGTCAGGATGTGCAATGCCGGCTGAGAGCTGGTTTCCAGGTAATAATCCACCAAGGTGTTTACAAGCATAGGGCCACGGTCTAAATCAAGAAAAGGGCAATGGATGATACTTATTCCCCTTAACATCCTAAATTTACCTTACACAGCTTCCTGTCACAAAATCCAGAAAATGTTTCTTTATATGCTATTCTAAGTTTTGTGCAGCATTACAGTTCTGCCTTCTTAATTTAATAATAAGATATTCCAAGCTTATTTGCCTAAATATGCATAAAAACATATGAAGTCATTTTTATTGCCTTTTTTTTTTTTTTTTTTTTGAGATGGAGTCTCACTCTGTTGCCAGGCTGGAGTGCAGTGGCACAATCTCAGCTCACTGCAACCTCTGCCTCCTGGGTTCAAGCAATTCTCGTGCCTCAGCCTCCCAAGTAGCTAGCTGGGATTACAGGCACCTGCCACCACGCCTGGCTAATTTTTGTATTTTTACTAGAGATGGGGTTTCACCACATTGGCCAACATGGTCTCAATCTCCTGACCTTGTGATCCGCCCGCCTCGGCCTCCCCAAGTGCTGGGATTACAGGCGTGAGCCGCCACACCT